>NC_000003.12:119463149-119766180 GCF_000001405.40 Homo sapiens | reverse complement strand
CATCCCATGTTGGATCACTTAATAAATGTGTTGCCAACATTATCAATTTTATTCTCTGCTGTGGTATTTCTGCCCTTTTCACTGCATCCAAATGAATGTGTAAATTTTGTTGCTGGATTTTAAATCTTTTTATATTTTTCCCATCTTAGCCCACTTCCTTTTCTTTTCAGCCTGCATCTATTTTTTGACCTTGTCTGTTATTATTTCCTACTTCAGTTTCTGAAAAGACCCTTTCTTTTTGACTCCTATTAAAAACACTCAGCAAATGTTTCTGCAATTTTCCTTGTTTCTTACAGTAAGATATTCTCTAACATAAGCTTTGTTTTCAGAGTAGCATACATTTTCCTCTATAAATTCATTACTTGGACTCCATGTTGATGTTTTTGTTCATTTACTGTTTTCTTTTTTCCTATTTGACAGTCTTTGAATCAGGAAGAATCCTCCTGGAATCCTGATGCTTGTCAATACACAGGATGGGCAGATTGCCTTTCAATAGCACCATCTCTATGGCTGTTGCATGAACACACTTCTTAGATCTAAAGCTCAAAGGTGGGTTGATGTGCCACTGTAGAAGCAGACCAAAGTATAGTTTTCTGTTCCGATGGAGATGGACACTTGGGTTTCCAGTTTGGGACTATTGTGAACACCACTACTATAAATATTTTTGTCATGCCTGTTGGTGCACATACTCATGCATTTCTGTTGAATATATATCTAGGAGATAAAATCCTGAGTCATGGAATATGCACATTTTCAGCCTTAGTAGATAATGCCAATGTCCTGTGAATAGTGAACCAAAACTACTTGGAAAAATATTCCACAACATTTCCTTTTGTTTGATTCAACAAACCAGCACATCCTCATAGTTAACAAAATATTGAAATGAGACATAAGAAAATGTTCTCTTTAAGTAGGGCATCTAGAAGACACTGAAGAGAATGAAGCTTTTTCATTTGATTATTATTATTGAAAATCATTTTAAATTATTGGATGTTTAAGGAAAATAAATCTCCTTTCTCATGAATCACACACTGGCAAGTTTATGAGCAGTGCACACCTTGGGAGAAGTGCAGACTATTGGAATTATTTATGATGATTCGTACAGCTTCTTTTACAAAAAAATCACAATCTGTAAAAAAGAGCAAAACAAATGTTTATGATTATGTCATCTTTTAGAAACATTATCAGATCAATACATGCAAAAAATTCCTGTGATACAGTGTGTCTGAGCCCTAGCTTTGAACTCAGACAGCCCCACACATATCCCAGCTCTGCTATTTATAAGCCTTATGGATCCAGATGTTTCTTACTTCACAGTGTGTCAGTTTCCAAATTCTAGCACTTAAAAAAATCTGTACATTAACTGGGTTGTATACATACATCATAAAAAAATAAAAATACAAAAGAATGTCAACATGAGAAAGGTAAATCTCTTTTCCCCTGGTGTGAACTCCAGTCCCCAGTTTCCATGCCTGGCAACAGCTACCTACCAACTTCTTATTGACCTTTCCAGAAATATTCTCTGTATACTGCAGGCATAATGTATATATATATATGTATTTGTTTGTATATATACATATGTATTTCTAACTTTTAAAAAACCATGTATGCCTTTATTTCATTACTTGCCCAAATATTACTGGACCATAAACAGAATAGTCAGACATGTACAATAATAACTAAGCTTACCATCTTTGGTTCTTGCCATCTTTCAATTACATAAAGCCCATAGCTGCTTACCCGTTTTTCAATGTTATCATCTCAAAGATATGTTTGTGAAAGTAGGTGGGTAGAATAAATTTTATATAACAGTATGTTAGCCTAATTTACAACTTTATATATTTTCATATGATATGATGCTTCAATTCATCCTCTTGACCTGGGTCTTGCAAATACCAGGAGCAGCCCTGCTTATGAATGTCCTGAAGAGCAGTTATCCATGGAACAATTGTTTGGGAAAAGTTGATATGTAGACACTGGAGGTCATAAATACCGTTTCTGATTCTCTTTCCATTTTACTTTGACTTACTGCCAACATCCTTTACTATTTCATTTATTTACTTTAAACTGACAAAGAAAGATTATATATATTTGTCAGGTACAGCATGATGGTTTGAAATACGTGCACGTTGTAGAATGGCTCAGTCAAGCTAATTAACATATGCACTACTTCATATACTTTTCATTTTTTGTGGAAAGGGTGCTTAAAATCTCTCTTTGCTATTTTCAAAATATAACACATTGTTATTAAATATAGTCACCACGGTTTTACAATGCATCCCTTGAACTTACTCTTCCTAACAGAAATTTTGTATCCTTTGACCAACATCTCCCTACCACACTAGCTTCTGGCAACCAACATTCTACTCTTTACTTCTATGAATTCAACTTTTTTCTACTCTACATGCAAGTGATAGCATATGTGTATGTGTGTGGATGCATTACACCTGGTTCATGGCATTATGCTGGTATTTCTGTGCCTGGCTTATTTCACCTAGCATAATGCCCTCCAGGTTCAGACATGTTGCTGCAAATGACAGGATTTCCTTCTTTTTTTTTTTAAGGCTGAATAGTATTCAATTGTGTGTATACCATCATCTGTTGGTGGACACTTAGGTTGATTTCAAATCTTGGCTATTGTGATTAATGCTGCAGTGAACATGGGAGTGCAGATATCTCTTTCACACACTGATTTCATTACCTTTGGATATACACCCAGTTGTGGAATTGCTGGATCATATGGTAGTTCTATTTTTTATTTTTTGAGGACCTCCATAATGTTTTCCACAATGGCTGTACTAATTTACATTCCCACCAACAATGTGCAACGGTTCTCTTTTCTTCACATCCTCCTCAACACTTACTTTTTGTCTTTTTGATAATAGCCATTCTAACAGTATGAGGTGATATCACATTGTGGCTTTTGTTTGCATTTCTCGAACGATTAGTAATGTTGGGCATTTTTTTCATGTATCTGTTGGCCATTTGTATGTGTCTTCTTTTGAGAAATGTCTATTCAGGTCCTTTGCCCATTTTTTAATTGGGTTATTTATTTTCTTGCTAATGAGTTGTTTGAGTTCCTCACATATTTTGAATATTAACCTCTTACCAGATGTATGGTTTGTACATATTTTCTCCCACTTAGCAGGTTGTCTCTTCACTCTGTTTATTGTTTTTTGCTGTGCTGAAACTTTTTAGTTAGATGTAATCTCTTTTGTCTATTTTCACTTTTGTTGCCTGTGCTTTTGAGTCATATCCAAAAGATCACCATCCAGACCAATGTTAGGAGCTTTTCCCTTATGTTTTCTTCTCGCAGTTTTACAGTATCAGGACTTATGCTTAAGTATTTAATCCATTTTGAGTTGGGTTTTGAATATGGTGTGGAGAAAAGGTTCTAATTTCATTCTTCTGTATGTAGATATCCAGTTTTCTCAGCATCATTTATTGAAAAGACTGTCCTTTTCCCATTGTGTGTTCTTGGCACCTCTGTCAAAAATCAATTGACCACAAATCTGTGGGTGCATTTCTGGGCTCTCTATTACATTCCATTGGTCTGTGTGTGTAGTACCATGCTGTTTTGATTAGCATAGCTTTGCAGTAGATTTTTAAGTCAGGTAGTGTGATGGCTTTGTTCTTTTTGCTTCAAGATTGTTTTAGCTATTTGGGGTCTTTCATGGTTCCATATGAATTTTAGGATTGCCTTTTCTATTTCTGTGAAAAATGTCATTGGAATTTTGATAGAGATTGCATTGAATCTGTAGATTGCTTTAAGTAGCATGGATGTTTAAACAATATTAATTCTTCCAATCCATGAACACAGGATATCTTTTCATTTAATTGTGTCTTCTTTAATTTCTTTCATCAATGTTTGATAGTTTTCAATGTACAGGTCTCCTTGATTCAATTTACTCCTAAGTAAGTATTTTATTTTTTTCCTTGTAGCTATTATAAATGGGATTGTTTTCTTGATTTCTTTTTTGTATAGTTTGTTGTTAATGTATAGAAATGCTACTGATTTTTGTATGTTGATTTTGTACCCGTAAATTAATTACTTTATCATTTCTATTAGTTTTTTTGTTGGAGTCTTTAGGGTTTTCTATATATAAGACCATGTCACCTGCAAAGAAAAACAATTTAACTTCTTCCTTTCCAATTTGGGTGCCTTTTATTTCTTTCTCTTGCCCAACTGTGCTGGCTGAGACTTCCAGTACTATGTTGAATAGAAGTAGCAAGAGTGGAGCATCCTTGTCTGTTTCTGATCATAGAAGAAAAGGCTTCAACTTTTTACTGTTGAGAATGATGTTAGTTGTGGGTTTGTCATATATGGACTTTACTATGTTGAGGTACATTTGTTCTATAATGAATCTGTTAAGAGTTTTTTTTGTCATGAAAGAATATTGAATTTGTCAAATTTTTTTTCTGAATCTATTGATAAGATCATGTGATTTTTGTCCTTTATTCTGTTAATATGGTATATCACATTTATAGATTTGTGTATGTTGAGCCATTCTTGCATCTGTAGGATGAATCCCACTTGATCATAGTGAAAGATCCTTTTAATTTGTTGAATTTAGTTTGTTACTTTTTTTGAGAATTTTTGCATCCACGTTAATCAGGGATATTGGCCTGTAATTTTTCTTTCTTGTAGTATCCTTGTCTAGTTTTGAAACAAGAGTAATGCTAACCTTGTAAAATGAGTTTGGAAGTATTCCCTCCTCTTCAATTTTTTTGGAAGACTGAAATTTAAACATTTGGTAGGATTCAGCAGTGAAGCCATTGGGTCCTGCCTGGGATTTTCTTTGATGAGAGTCTTTTCATTACTGATTCAATCTTCTTACTTATTATTGGTCTATTCTGATTTTCTATTTTCTTCATGGTTCAATCTTGATAGGTTGCATGTGTCTAGACATCCATTTCTTCTAGATTGTCCAAATTGTTGGTATATAATTGTTTATAGTAGTCTTATCTTTTGCATTTCTGTGGTATCAGTTGTAATGTCTCCTCTTTCACTTCTGATTTTCCTTAAGTCTTCCCTCTTTGGCCTTAAGTAGTCTAGTTAAAGGTTTGTCAATTTTATCTTTTCAAAATACCGAATTTTAGTTTTGTTGATCTTTTCTATTATTTTTCTAGTTTCTATTTCACTTATTTCTGGTCTAATCTTTATTATTTCTTTCCTTCTACTAATTTTGGGTTTCATTTGTTGTTCTTTTTTTAGTTCTTTGAGGTGTAATATTACGTTGTTTACTTGAGATCTTTCTTCTTTTTCGATGCAAGCACATATTGCTATAAATTTCCCTCTTAGAACTGCTTTTGTTGCATCCCATAACTATGTCTTGTGTTTCCATTTTCATTTGCCTCAAGGTTTTTTTTTTAATTTCCCTTTTCATTTCTTCTTTGACTTCTTGTTGTTCAGGACCATGTTGTTTAATTTCCATGTAATTCTGAATTTTCTGAAATCCCTCCTGTTACTGATTTCTATTTTATATACCACAGTGGTTGGAAAAAATACTGGCTATAATTTCAATCTTCTTAAGTTTGTTAGGCTTATTATCAGTCATCAGTCTTGGAGAATGTTCTGTGTGTATTTGAGAAGAATGTGTATTCTGCTGCTGCTGGATGGAATATTCTATATATGTCTGTTAGGTCCATTTGGTCTAAGGTGTAGTGTAAGTCTGATGTTTCTCTATTGATTTTTTGTCTAGATGTTCTGTTCATTGCTGAAAGTGGGATACTGGAGGTCCCCACTATTACTGTATTACAGTCTAGCTCTCCCTCCATATCTATTAATATTTGTTTTATATATTTAGGGGCTCCAATGTTGAGTGCACATATATTTATAATTGTTAAAGCCTCTTGATGAATCGACCCCTTTATCACCACACAATGACCTTTTTGGTCTCATTTTATAGTTTTTTACTTAAAACCTATTTTATCTGATGTAAGTTTAGCTACACTTGTTCTATTTTGGTTTCCATTTGCATTGAGTATCTTTTTTCATCCTTTCACTTTCAGTCTATGTGAGTCCTTAAACTGTGAAGTGAGACTCTTGTAGGCTGGACATAGTTAGGTCTCATTTGTTTGTTTTTATCCACTCAGCCACTCTATGTCTTTGAATTGGAGAATTTAATCTAATTACATTCAAGGTAATTATTGATAAAGACTTACTACTATCATCTGGTTCATTGTTTTATGGTTGTTTTGTAGGTCCTTATTCCTTTCTTCCTCTCTTGCTGTATTCCTTTGTAATTAGGTGACTTTCTCTAGCGCCATGCCTTGATTTCTTACTCTTCACCTTTTGTGTATTTAATATAGGTTTTTTGTTTTGTACTTACCATGAGGAATATATAAAACACCTTATAGTTACAATAGGCTATTTTAAACTGGCAACAACTTAAATTTGATTGCATGCAAGAACTCTACACTTTTTATCCACCCTCCTCAACACGTGTGTTTTCAATTTCATAATTTACATCTTTTTATGCTGTGTATCCCTTAACAAATTATTGTAGATATTATTTTTAATAGTTTTGTCTTTTAACCTTCATACTAAAAAGTGATTTACACACCATCATTACAGTATTAGAATATTCTGAATTTGACCGTGTACTTACTTTTACCAATGAGTTTTATACTTTCATATGTTTTTGTATTACTTTCAACTGTAGAATATGACACATATAGGAAAGTACCTAAAAGCAATGTGCAGCCTAATAAATTAATGTACAGTACTCATCTGTGTAAATATCACACAGGTCAGGAAATAGTATTCCATAAGCTCCCATTTACCCCTTCCCAATCACAATCCTCTCTTTACCTCCTAAAGGTAATCACTATTCTGATTTTTATTTTATTTTTACAGTAGTCACTTTCTTGCATTTTGTTACACCTTAACTTTCTAAGTATGCATTCCTAAACACTATAGTTTAATGCTGTTGGTTTTGAACTTTATATAAATAAATTCATACTGTGGATTATTTTTGGATTTGGCTTATTATGGTACTTATCATATTTGTGAGATTCTTCCATGTGTTATATTTAGTTCTACTTTATTGTAATTGCTGTAGAGTAAGGAATGATAAACTTTTTCTGAAAAGGGCTTAATAGTAAATATTTTAGGTTTTGTGAGCCAAATGACAAAATCAAGGATACTCATTTAACAAAAGAGAAAACAAATTTTCACAACATTTTTTATAAAATTCAAAATACACTACTAATAATTGACTATAGTTTTCTGTAATATAGTTATCTTAATGAAAGGAATGGAATTCTTATTTGGGGGAATAACATTTTGCTTAATTTCGGTTCAAGTCATTGAAATTGATTGCAAATGTTCATTTATTAATAGTGATGTGTAATTAGATTTTCCTCTTTCTCATTTCATCTTTGAAAATGAGATTTTTCCCTATCTCATCTCATCCCTATCTCATCTTTGAAAATGTCTTTTCATTCAGAACAGTATGGCCAATACTGGTATCCATCCACAATTATATACTTTTATATAAATATCCATATTTATTGCTTGGAAGGCATTTATAGAATTCTATTAGATTCTTCTCTTGATATTTTCTTTTTAGCAGGTCATTACAATACAGATTAACTACTTCCACTTGAAGGTAAGATGAACATGCTTCCATTGCAGATAAATAATTTTGAAATTTCCTTTGCACTTGTTTCAAGGTCCAAAAATGCTACTAGAAAAGTAGTTTAGGCTCAGAAAATATATCCAATGCAAATATATGTAGGAATGGAGATCTTCCTTCTTGTTTTAACTTTTCATAGCATAGGAAATACATTATTTGGGATTCAAATAATGTTAGTTGCCAATGAAGGGACTTTACTATAGCATAAGCTCTGCATGTAAGTTTTGCTTGCCTTGCAACATTAGGATAGATTCATTAAAAAATATTACCAAGTCTGCAGCAATAGCCAATTTCCAAAGCCATTCAGTGTTCTGTAACAGTAGCTGAGGATGGTGTTCTTACTTAGAAAAATCTCAATCTTGGCCCTGAGCTGGAAAAAAGTCACACTGAAACTTTACCACTCTGAATCACTGAATGTCAGTATGATGGTGCAAGTCAGAATATTCAGCATCTCTTTCTGACCAAAAACCAACCAACCAACCAAACAAACAAACTACACACATATATAAAAACCCATAAAAAACAAAAAATTATAGAAGTGTCAATGGTTAAGTCCATGGAACTGAGTGAATTTTATTACTGACATAACTCATTAAATAACAAGAGATATTCAAACATTTCTCAAGCAGAAAAACAGTATCTACCGAAAACCTAAAGCTAACATTATATGGGAAAATTTGGCCTTACTCTGGGGGCTCCTCTGTACCCCAATCCATCAGGCCAGCCCACACAGCTCCTCTGGTTTCTCTTTCCCCTGGTAATGTCCCTCTGCCCTTGGCAAGAATATGCATTCTGTAGTTGTTGGGCGTAATATTCTATAAATGTCCATTAGGCCAAGTTTTTAAAAATTATGTATCTAAAATATTCCATTTTAATTTTATTTTTATTATTATTGAGACAAGGTCTTGCTCTGTCACTCAGGCTGGTGTGCAGTGGCATGATCTCAGCTCACTGCAACCTCTGCCTCCTGGGCTCAAGCAATCCTCCTGCCTCAGCTTCCCGAATAGCTGGGACTACAGGCACACACCACCATGCCTGGCTAATTTTTTTTTAATTTTTGGTAGAGACACGGCTTCACCATGTTGTCCAGGCTGGTTGCGAACTCCTGAGCTGAACTGGTCCACCTGCCTCGG
Source organism: Homo sapiens (assembly GCF_000001405.40). Lineage (NCBI taxonomy): Eukaryota > Metazoa > Chordata > Mammalia > Primates > Hominidae > Homo > Homo sapiens. Next base: position 119,757,407 of record NC_000003.12, on the reverse strand, counting down.
CCTCCCAAATTGCTGGGATTACAGACGTGAGCCACTGCACCCAGCCAAATATTTCATTTTTAAATGTTTTTTCTCTCCACTTGCTTGTTAGTTCCTGATAAAGATTAAAATTTCCCAGAATTATTGTGGATTTGTCTATTTCTCCAGGCAGTTCTGTTAAATTTTGCTACATTTAGGGGGAGGCCGTGCTATTAAGTATATTTAAATTGTGACATTATATCTTCCCAATAAATTAGACCTTTATCTTTATGGCATGTCCCTCTTTTTCTCTAATACTTTCTGCCTTAAAGTTTTCTTTGATATGAATATTGCTATATCTGCTTTTCTATGGGTGGTGTTTTTATGGTATCTTTTTCAATCTTTTAACTTACAACCATTTGTATATTTAGATTTTATATAGGCTTCCTGCAAGCAGCATATAATTTAGTATGATTTTTATTCAGTCTGGTAAATTCTGACTTTACTTGGAATATTTTGTCTATTTACATTTAATGTAGTCAGTGATAAAATTTGGTTTGCATCTACCATTTTATTCAGTGCTTTCTATTGGTTCTGTTTCCTTTTTTCTCCTTTCTATCCACTTTTTGTATTGAGTGTTTTGAAAATTTAGTCCCATTTTCTTCTGTTAGCTTAGATGTCATATATCTCTTTATTATCCTTTCAGAGTTACCCTAGAGGTTACAAAATGTATCCTTGAGTTGTCATGGATCATTGAGTTATCAATGTCAACTTATACTTTTATCCTCCTCCTAAACAATGCAAGTGCCTTAGAAAAATTTAATCCATTTAGCCCTCTTCTGACTTATATATTACTCTTTTGTTTTATAACTGCATTGCTCCTATTATTGCTGTTTCTTATAATTTTTTTATGCAGTCAATAAGCCAATCCACATACCTGTCCTTAAATTTATTTCCAACCTTCCAACTGGGATAATTTTTCTTCTGCTTAAAAAGTACCCTTTAATAATTTCTTGTGTTGCAGATCTCCTAGTGACAAATTTTATTAGTTTCATTTGTCTGAAAATGTCTTTCGTTGCCATTCTTGAAGAATATGTTTGCATGAAGAATATGTTTGCCTAGAATCCTACTTTATTTTACTATTTCAATATATTGAACATATCATTCCATCTTTTTGGCTTTCATTGTTTCTGATGAGAAGTCAACTGTCAGCTTAATTATTGCTCTTATGAAGGTAATTTATCGTTTTTCTCTGAATGCTTTTAAAGGTTTTTCTTTTTCTTTTTGGCTTTCAGCAGTATTAGTATTCTAAGGTGTATCTAGGTATCGTTTTCTTTTTATTTATTCTGCTTAGGGTTAAGAAGTCTTCTTGAAAACAAGTCTTTTATCGTTTTTGGAAAATTCGTATTCCATATGATCTCCCAACATATTATTCCTTCCTTTAGTAGTGAAATTTCTTCAATCAGTGGTCCATGCCTACTCACTCTTTCTCCTTTTCTAAATCATTAAGCTATTCTAAATCTATCCTTCTCTCTCTTCTGTAATTTCTATCCTTTTGTCTTTCTGTGCTTCTTTCTAAATATCTCTCAGGAGAGATTCACTGAGTTTCTCACTTTTGCTACTGTATTTTTAAATTCTGGAATTTCTATTTTCTTCAAATCTGCTATATCATTTTTATTATGTCCAGTTCTCTTGAAATTTTCAATATTGGCATTTACCCTGTGAACAGAGTAAGTGTCTTAGCTCAGGCTGTCATAACAAAATACCATAGATTGGATAGCTTACAGCAGAAATTTCTTTTCTCACAGTTCTAGAGGCTACAAGTCCAAGATCAAGGTGACAGCATGGTTAGTTTTGGTTGAGAGTTCTCTTCCTGTCATCTAGATGGCCACCTTCTTACTGTGTCTTCACATTGAAGATGGAGGAAGAGAGGGAGAAAGGAAGAGAGAGAGAGGGAGAATGGCAGAGGGGGAGTGGAAGAAGGAGAGGAGAAGCACTGTGATGTCTCTTCTCATAAAAGCAATAACCCCATCATGAGGGTTCTTCCCTCATTACCTTCTCTAAACCTAATTCTCTCCCTAAGGTCCTGTCTCCAAATACCACATTGGGGGTTATAGCTTCAACATACGCATTTTCAAGGACACATTTCAATCCACAAGCATTCTACCCCAGGTAGAATTCATGTTCTTCTTGCATGCAAAGTACATTCATTCTATACCAACAATACCAAAAATCTTAACTCATTCCCATGTCAACTCTAAAGTCTAAAGTTCAAAGTCTCATAAATATTATCCAAATGAAGTACGGGTGAGACTCAAGATATGACTTGTCCTGAGGCAAAATTATTCTCCAGCTATGAGCCTGTGAAACCAGCCACACTATGTGCTTCCAAAATGCTATGGTGGGAGAGGCATAGGAGACATATTTCCTTCCAAAAGGGAAAAATCAGAAGAAAAAAATGGGTGATGGATCCTAAGCAAGTCCACGACCTGGCAAGGCAAATTCCACTGGATCTTAATTCTTGAGTATAGTCTTCTTTGGCTTAGTGTCTTGCTTTCTAAGCCCACTGGGGTGGCAACATCATTCCCATGGCTCTGCCCCTTTGACTCTACAATGCCCCATCCCCATGGCTCTAGGTAAGTGTCCTGTCCCTGTAGCTCTGCTGACCCAGGGTCCCACCCCATAGCTCTGCTGAGCTGGGGTCCACTGGGTGGTCCTTCTTCCAAAGCTCATGGTGAAAGCCACCTGGCTGTTGAAACTGGGACAATGGCCCTGATGATCTCTGGATCTCCTGTGGAATCATTTTTCCTTCTTCTTGAAGAATAGTGCATGTTTGCAGCTGAATAGTTCTATCATCCCATCCTGTCTAATTCAAGAAGTCCAATCAATAGGCTTCCTTAACTTCATCCTGCAATGTTTCTGCTCATATGATCCCATACACTTATCAAATGTCTGTTAACCCACCCTTAGCATTCACATTGGAAAGAGCTTTCTCGTTTTTTCCAATATAAATAGGCTAAGAATTTTCCAAATCTTCACATTCTGATTTCTTTTTGCTTAACATTTCCTTCTTCAATTCATCTCTTGCCATTCACATTTTATGATAAGCAGTCAGGAGGAACCAAGTTGCTCCTTTAACACTTTGCTTAGAAATATCCTCAGCTAAATATCCAATTTCATTGCTTGCAAGTTCTTCCTTCCATAAAACACTAGAACACAGTTCAGTCAAGGTCTTTGCCATTTTATAATAAGGGTCACCTTTCCTCTAGTTTCTAATAACATATTCCATATTTCCACCTGACAACTCACCAGAATCACCCTCAATGTCCATATATATAGTATGTACCTCAAAACTCTTCCAGCTTCTACCCATAACCAGTGGCAAGGCCACTCCCACATGTTTAGGTATTTGTTACAGTAGTACCCAACTCCTGGTACCAAAATCTGGCTTAGTCAGCTGGGGCTGCCATAACCAAACACCATAGACTAGATGGCTTAAACAACAGAAATGTATTTTCCCATAGTTCTGGAGGATAGAAGTCCACAGTAGTCAACATAGTTATTTTAAAGACTGTGTCTAATCACAAAGGCATAAGAATGATACAATGGACTGTGCGGACTTGGGGGGAAGAGTGGGAAGGGGATGAGGGATAAAAGACTATAAATATGGTGCAGTGTATACTGCTCTGGTGATGGGTGTACCAAAATCTCACAAATCACCACTAAAGAACTTACTCATGCAACCAAATACCACCTATACCCCAATAACTTATGGAAAAAATAAAGTCTGGGTCTAACGATTCCAATATTTTAGATCCTTTTAGGTCTGTTTCTATCATCTATTGTTTTGCCACTTGTTCAGACTGTCATGTCTCCTCACGTACCTGAATATTCTTGATTGTGTTCTAGAAATTGTGAAAATAGAGGTCTAGAATAATGTTAACTTTCTGTAAAGAGAATTTACATTTTATTTCTGGCAGGTTCCTTGAAGCAATAGAAACCAAGGATCTCGTTAAGTTCAATTTCTGGGATTGAGATTTTTAAAATCACTCAGATGATTAGAAGCTAAACTATATCATATGCCAGGGATAGTTTACTTCCAGTTAACCCTTACCACTAGGGCATAGACTTTTAGAGTCCCTACCCAAATGAAGAAGGTTTACCAGGGCCCCAACCTTGACTCAAGTTTTTTGTCCCCCTTGTTTTGCAAAGCTTTTAAAAATACTCCTCAGCCTTTCAGCCACATTTTCTAGAATTGTCATATTCTTCCAGGAAAAAAGTAGCTCCAAATGCCAGACCCAACCCTCTAAATTTCTATCTTCTCCTAGATCTTGGCCCAGAAATTCTTCACTACTTTATTAGCTCTCTGTTCAAGCTAATTAAAAATATGTATTTTTAAATATGTATTTTAAATCAGTGGCCCATGACTACTGCCCCTTTCCCTAGACATCATTGAATAATCTCACATCTGTCATTCTCTGCTTCCCTCTGCAAGAAGGAAGAGGGAGGATATACTTTGGGGACAGCTTAGCTTCATGTTCCAACCATTTAATTTATTGGTTGGTCATCTTTGTTGAGTGTCTGTAGTTAGCCTGACAACTAGACTTTTCTGCAACTAGATTTTATAATTATCATATATGCTTTACATAGGCTTTAATGAAATATATTTTACTTTCACTAAGTATAAATAGAAGATGATTTTTTTCTCCTCTGGCTTGATTTCACAGGTCACTATGGATGTCATAGAGTAGGTACCATAATCAGAAGTAAAGGCAGATGCATTCAATGCAAATTGTGTAAATTATTAATCTTATTAAATTTGCATGTCAGAAAAATGACTACCCCAACCTTAAGGCTTGCTTTTATCACAATAATAAGGTAGCCAAATGCTTTGGTCCTTGAATTTACATTTTATAGACAATATATAACATTACATGTAATAGATGTTTTATATTTTCAATTATTTCAGAGGTTATTTTACTATTAAAGTCAAAAGTTTTTCTGCTGTAATTTACAGCCACAGTTTGATATTTAAGAGTCACTTATTAGCTTTCTCTCTGCAATATTTCTTACCTTCCCTCTCATCTCAACCCTCCTTCCATGATTCCTTTTGATTGAGACTTAAGATTCCATTCTATTGGACCAAGGACTGAAGTAGAGAAATTATTTGTGTAAGATTATACAATTGGTGGCAGAGCTGGACAATATACAAAACTTCTGAATGCCAAACTAAAATTTCTCCCTAGCCCCAGTACTCTCCCCAACCTGATGGTTGGTATACCTTCAGGGCAAAACAGCAGCAGATGTGCCTCTACCACAAAAGGGTTGAGGGAGAAAGTATAAGCAAAAAGTTCACTCCATTCCCCTTCTCATGAGAATTTTACTTTCAGTTGACTCCCTAGCTCTATTCTCCTAGTAACTTGATAAGGTGATATGTGTCAACTGTGTTACTAAGCAATTTGAACTACTTAAAAATGACCCCTGATTGGTAAATTCCATCTGAACTGGGAGGAATGTATACCTAATAGAAAACCACAGCTTTGAGTTTCTGTGAGTATGTTGACTTTTGTAGCTGGGCAAATCCATGGTGGGGACCCTGGAAGCTATGCCTATGGAATTATTACAAGAGATTCCAGCCCCTGGGGTGTGAAGTTTTACGCCAGGGCAGCTCCTGTACCCACCCGGTGTGAACCTCTTTTCCTTGTATTGTATCTGCACTCCGTAAACTAAGGACTAAAGAAAACAGCTATGTGTTCTGCATGGGTATGGCAAGGGCTCCTACAGGAAGAGAAATGTCTGATGTTGCCTTGCTGGAAGCTGTTTCCTGTCTTATATTTTTCTAAGTACATTCATGCCAAATATGGTCTGTATTAGTCTCATGAGTATGACAGCCTTTAGTTGAGCCCAAGACCAACCCCTTGTGGGCACTGCAGAAGGTGTCTGAGCTAGAATTGGGCAGGCTCTGTGTCTCATGCCATGCTTACAGCTAGCACAATGCATTAGGGCATACCTTGTCTACTTCCATAAGAACAAGATTGTTTATATGTAACACTGACACATTCTATAGCTTCATTTGACGAGGTACACACATGCTAAAAGAACCCATAAAAATAATTTAGAGTCCTCTTTTTTGTATCACAAGAGTCTAATTGCTGTAATATCAACTCTAATTTTCTAATAATCTCAACAGTAGATAACATAAACTAGAGGAAATGTGCCAATTTAAGTGGAAGTCCTCCATTTCTTAAACAGCAATCTTCACATTATGATTGTTTGAGCACAGCACAAAGCTGAACAATGCCGCTTTTCTTCCTTTCTCTGCTTTTTTTCCTGGTGGAAAATCAAACTCACCTTAGCTGTTGTTCTCATTTTGAGTTTCTTTCTCAAGTAACATGGCAGCATTTGAGGCCTCATCTTGCTCTCCCTCAGTTAATTTCTTTTGAACCATGCTTTCCGTGTAACTGTGGATGATCTGATGGGCTGCAAGAATATGTTTCCGCTGTGCGTTCCTCACTGTGCCAAAGTAATAGAAAAATTTTCATTCTGAAAGTCTGAACAAAACCATTCCCAAATGTTTCAAGAGAGTCATGATAGAAATAATTTTGCAAATTAAAGGTAAAACCCAACCCAAATCTAATTTCTTTCTGCTCCCTCTGTTCCCACTCTCTGGTTCAGCCCAGTCATACTCCTTTCCACCAGGCTTGCCTCCATTCCACTCCTCAGCAGTTTCCCTCATCTGGAATGCCTGCACTCTAAAACCTGGAAAGCTCATGTCCAAGATCCTCCAGGAAGTCTCCTCTGACTACATCAGCCCAGATTTACCACTTACCGCACTTGAGTTTGTACCAACCTATTCAGCATTGAAGCACTTCATGTGAGTTACATTTCGTTTGATATCTAGAGTGTAAGTAACTTACAAATATAAAGACCTAGTCTTATACTTCTCTTTGAGCCTTAGTTCTTAATGTGGAAGGGACTTACTGATTGATGATGAGTTTATGAGCTCATGGCTTTAGAACATAGTCCTAGCTCCAAATTCTAAGAATATTCACTATCAGGGTAAGCACCTAAGCCCTTGGAAAGGAGTAGTGATGATGATGATGTTAACAGTTAGCATTTGTCCTTACTTTGTGCCAGGTACTGTTTTAAGCAGTTCACATGTAATTATTCATTTAATCCTCCTAGAAGATAGTATTTTAATATCCGCATTCTCAGAAGAAGAAACATGGACACAGAGATATTAGGTAATTTACATAAAGTCAAATAGCTAGTAAAGGACCGCAAGAAGTACTGTGGATTCTTTGCTGTTTGGGTATCAGGTAGTTTAGATAGGGTAATTCACTCAGCAGTTTTTAGCACTTCACAGTAATATGGTTGAAAAAGTGGGGGCTTTGGAGTCACATAGACCATGGTTCAAATTTGCAAGTCATATGTCTCTAAGAGCTAATTTCCATTAAGTGAAAAATGAGAATATACCTACAACTCTTGAAAGAAATTGAGATAGTGTACATTTAAAAATGTTCAGTGAACTTCTTGGAACTTAGCATGCATTTAAAATTTGGCAGTTACTATTACTTTATATCTATATACAGGTATCTTTAAGGTCTTTCTGATCCATTGGCTTTTCAAAAAGTGATATACCTCAAAATCGTCTGTATATATTATCATCTTAATTTTGGGTAAAGAGTGTATATATAATACATATGGTTCTCATTTGAACAGAGAGAAAAAGGTCCTAGTGTGCTCCCTGTTCATATGGCTTTTTTGATTTGGCAAAAATATAAAGGGAAGAGGCTAAGGACTCATTCAACTTGCCCATAGATAAGTTCCACTGGATTCCGTTAGCTCAAGTCTTCCTCCAAATCCTCAACTCAGACTCCCAACATGGGAGAGGGGATCACAAACTAGTAAATTTTCTTTTTTTTTTTAGACAGGGTCTCATTCTGTGTTCAGGCTGGAATGCAGTGGCACAATCTCGGCTCACTGCAGCCTCCACCTCCTGCACTCAAGTGATCCTCCCACTTCAGTCTCCTGAGTAGTTGGGACTACAGGTGCATACCACCACACCTAGCTAATTTTAAAATATTTTTTGTAGTAACTGGGTCTCCCTGTGTTACCCAGGCTGGTCTCAACTCCTGGATTCAAGTGATCTTCCCGCCCCAGACTCCCAAAGTGCTGGGATTACAGACTTCAGCCACTGCACCTGGCCACAAACTAGTAAATATTAAACCCAGTTTTCCTCCTCTCTTTCAATCCTAGGGTGGAATTCAACCAAGGGTGTAATGGCTTTGAAGCAGGCTGGCCTCACTTTGAACTCAGGAGAAGTGGAACAGAGTTGCATATTTTCTTAAGGTCCTAGAAAACATAAGGTCCTTTTATAACATAATGTGACACAGAAATATATTACTTGATCTGAAAATTAATTTTTTGTATAAGCACTATCATACACTATTGATGCAAGTCAACAATCATTTTGTGGGGCAATTTGGTAATATCAAATTGGTAGAACAATCTTTTTGTAAGGAAATTTGGTACTATCTATCAAAATGTAAAATACATATACCTTATATCCCAGCAATTGCACTGTTAAGAATGTACTCTCAGAAGCATGGTCAGGATATGTGTAAAATATATTGATTGAAGCACTGTTAGTAACAGGAAAACAAACTGGAAACAAACTAAATGCTTATCCTTAGGGGGTACTGGTTTAAAAATTACACTACAACCATGCAATGGAAAAATCAGGTATTTCTTTGTCCTCTCCAAATGTGTTAGAACTCCACCATTTCTTTATCCCTGATTGAGCAAATTGAAATGTTAAGCATTTTTCTGCTTAAGCCCATCTGGAATTCCCCGGTATAATTTTCAATACTTCTGAGCTGCTATTTCACTTAAATACTGGTCTTCTCCTGGTTGCACCCCTCTGTCTAGGATCAAGCCTGCCATCAGCAGCCTCAGAGCTATGGAAGAATCTTATTTTTCTGTTTAAGATAGTATTTTCTCTTTCTCTATTGACTAAAAGCATCAATCTTTAAAAACATGCCACCGGTGACAAATGATAAATTAGGATATTTATACTTGGATGGAGTTCCAGCAGAAATAAGCTATTTGGGGTACAGGCAGAGCAGCAGGGTAGACTTAGACCTTTCTAGCACCCTTCCTTTTTAACATTCACGGTTCACGTGTCCTGCCTCTGAAAGGCTGCTACAATGTGAAAATCTTTTATATGCTCAATATCTGTTTTATGCTTTTTAAAAAAATAAATAAAAAAATACAGCTCTTCTGAAAACTTGGGAACATCCTTTTAAACAAGGTTTGGATTTTGATACTGTCACTCTTATTAGAACTACAACCCATCTGTACTAGAGTTGATTATATTCTAGAATCAGGCAGCATGAAGAGAACCTGACAAGCTCTGAAATAAGAAAACTCAGTGATCCTCCTTTAGAAATTTCCTCATCCCTCTGTTTAATTTTAAATCTCTGGGATATTGAAAATAATTTACATCTTTAAAAAATCCTAAAGTAAAGCATTTACATTGGCTTACCTTTTTCTTTGACAAAGTATTTTTGCACCTCTGGGATCAGAAAACTATAAACCAACTCAGCAACAATCTCCTCTGACTGAAGATAGGTTCGGCTAAAAAATATAAAACAAATTGAATTATTTCTTTGGTTTTTTCACTTGAGCTGCTGATTTATGCTTTCCTGCTGTGTAAGCAACTCCATTCAAACCCCACCATCACCTTTTCCTTGATTAAGTGATCTGAAATATCACATTCCTGGCAAGTTTGTTTAACTCCACAAAAAAATTTGGATTTGACCCTGTCCTTCAGTTACCCTGCCTGCCAGGAAGGGAATGTTGGAAACACAGCTTATACATAGAAGCCAGCAACCTTGGGATGAAGTCCCAGTAATGTTGCACACACGTATTCACATTGTTTTCATGCTTCCGAGTATTCTTAAAGTAAGTAATGAGAGTAATCCAGATTGCAGAGGATAACTGAGAATACATACGGAGGCATACACATATTGGCTTCTCAAGAGTTAATGTTAATAAAACAATGGACGCTGAAGTATGAGTTATTTGTTTCTACTTGGTGGTGAAATTGTAAGCTCTTGAAAAAATATATATGAGTACCAGCAAATGGGCTGTCCATTCTACAATCTGTTCTCTTGATACACACCGGCTTTCCATTTCATAAGCAATGTCATTGATTTTCTCAGCCATCTTCTCTATTTCTGCCCTGGCTTGTTCTTCTGCAGTATTCGCTTCGGTATTCAGTATTATGTCTTCTAGGTAGGAGCTTATAGTACTATGGTGAACTTTAACCACCTGCAAAAAACAATAATACCCTCACTAAAACAGGTATGCTGTTGTAAACAACACAAGAAAAATACACAAACATTGGTTAACTTTTTCTAGCTCATATATTTCATTTAATAAGTCAACAGTCCCTTCACTAATCATTCATTTTCTTTAGCATCTCATCAGTCTGTTTCTCATCCACCTACCTACTCACTCTGGGCAGCCCACACCCATTTAGCCCATTTCAGAATTATGGATCTTATTGGGCAGGCAGGCAAGACAGCACTGCTGAAGGATTATGGGCTTCAGAGTCAATAACGCTGGTTCAAATCCTGGCTTTGTTCTTACCAGCAACGTGACTTGGTCAAACTATCTAACTGTAGCACAGACTAGGAGGTATTCTGCAGTGTCCTTTCTCTCCTTCCTCTTACATAATAGAACCCCTGGATTTTAGCTAGGGAAACAGGTGCCTAGAATAAAGACTACATTTCCCAGCACCCACAGGAGCTGGATTGCCCATATGACCACGTTCTGACCAAAGAAAGGATTCTTAAAGGGAAAGACCTGGCTTCCTTTTTTCTCTCTTCATTTCTCCTTTCATGAGGACATAATGCTGGAATACCAGCAATCATCTTAAATTGCCAGAAGGCCTACGACCTAGGAGCAGAAGAGCAGAAAGCTAGAAGGATCCTGGGTCTCTAATGAATTTATTGAACTATCATACCAGCCCTTGACTGCTTCTTTTTAAAGTTTACTTGAAATCATGAAATAGGATACAGATTTTAAAAGTGCATTGCAAGCAAACTCAGAGATTAGAAAAATAAAACAAAATAAAAAGTACAGAGCACATAAATGTACAGTGTAATGAATTAGGGTAAAGTCAGAAGCCATGTATTATAGTAACTGCCAGTATCTCAGAAGGCCACCATGGTTTCTTCCTTTACCACAGCACCTTCCCACTTTCATAGTAAACACTTTCTTTTCTCTATAATTTTGCTACCTAGGTATGTAACCATAAACAAAGTAGTTTAGTTTTGCCCGCTTTACAGGTGTATGTATATAGAAAGATTAAGCATCAACTGTGGCATACTTAGTTTTGCCTGTATATGTATGCTGTCTCCTCAACAGATTATCAGCTTTTTAGAGGTAGGGCATTTTTCTGTTTCATGTCTAAATATAGCTTTGTATCTGAGATAATGCCTGGGACTCAGTAACAATTCAGTACCTGTTTGTGGATTGGCACTTTGGCACAATTCTGAGTATATGATACTGTACACCTATGTGTAAAACATCAACCTTCAATCCCTATGCCTTCTCTATGGGAGAGTCTCAATGGCCAGTTTAATACAGTATCAACCAAACAACTAACCAACCAAAATATATCTGCTGAATGCCTATTAGTTACAGGGATCTACACTGTGTTGTGCAAGGCACAAAGGGAATATACAATATTCATGCTCTCATAGAGCCCACCCTCTTATTCAGGAAGCAAGTTGGATCTATATGGATCAATTAGCTCAGTCACGTAATAGTAGAGAGGTGGAAAGTTTACTATGGTCCATCCATAGCTGTATATGTACCTGTGTGTTTATGTATATCTTTATAAATGTGTAAATTTCTGGAGACGTTTGTGCGTGTATGTATGTGAATAAGGAAAAGTGTGGCTATGTGTGTTCCTCTATGTCTTGCTAATGTTGTGCACACCAGATTATATTTGTAAATATGTCCTCATGTATGTGCCTGCAAAATTTATATGTATTTAAAGATGAGTCGATGACTTTATATCTGTGTTTCTCACTATCTAGATGCATATTTTGGAAATTTATTAAATATTACATTTCTGGTTTATAATTTATGTGCAAGCATATTTCTCTTCAAGAGAATCTGAATGGAGGCTGGGGAAGTAGGATGGAAAATAGTCACTATATTTTAATTAGGAAGGTTGAGAATTAACATATGGATGATATTTGAATCTGTGGGTCCATAGCTGAGTACATTTTTTACCTAAGTGGTTCTTAAATCAGGCTAGAAAGGCTATATTAACCCTTTCTTGCCCTTGCTAGACAGAGCTGATGTTTTCTGACATCATTCCCATTTAGAAGGTATCTTCCTAAGAAGCTTTTTTACCAGCTTTTTCCTTTCTCTGCTTTTGTGTATAGTAGCTCCTCTGTTCCATTTCTTCTTATTCTCATCCCCAGCTGGTTCTTCCTTAGTGATATTAGGTAAAGGATGGCAAGTTCTGATTTGCCAATAATTTCTAAATCTCAGTCACTGTTTTTGAAGAAAAGTGTGTTGAGATTAGTAGGAGGCTAGAAGCTGGTCACCAACTTCCAAATTTACATCTTCGGCCAAACCCTCATTTCTAAATTCCATCTTGTAGATCCATCTACTGAAACAATACCTCTGCTTAGATGTCCCAAACGAAATATAAACTGATTTCCTGATTCCTCCCCTGCCCCTAAGCTTATTCCTCTCTCAACTTTCCTACCTCACGAAATAATACCATCATCTTCCAGCTGCTTAAGCCCGAAACTGGATGTAATACTCGACTTCCTGTCTCTCACTCTGGCCTTCACTACTTCAACAGCTCCTTCCTGGCCGCCTTGTTCCCCCTCTGTCCTCCCTCCAGCCTGTGCTCCACACAGCAAGTGAAGTAACTGGCTTAAAATGTGTCTCTGGGCCCTATTTGTTTCCTTCATGGAACTCATTACAGTTTCTAATTCTATACACGTGCGTATTATGTGTTATTTAAGCTTTAGGAGAGACGGGATCGTGTCTGGGTTTTTTCCTCCAAAGTTTCCCACAGTGCCTCTGTAGAGTGCCTGGCATACAGTAGGAACTCAATGCATAAACAAAAGCCAAATGCCATTTTATGTCATGAGCTTCCTTTGGTTTGACTTGGCTCCTTCTAGGCAGCTTCCACACACCCAGCTGCCCCTACTTGCCTCCTTAAATATCTCGTCCTCCTCCCGCAGGCGCTGTTTTTCCACCTGGCGCCGACCACTCTCTTCAGCCTCTCGTACCCGCCGCTGGCGCTCAGCCAGCATGACAAAGGCATGGATCCTCCTCTCCTCCTGCAGTCTCACCAGCTCTTTGGACAGGAAGTCAAACATGTCTGCTAGTGCCCTTCCTTCCAGTCCGGCCAAATGGTTTTCAACCAGTGACACCTTGAAAAGAATAACATAACTTTAAGGACACAAATTCCATTATGAGTGGTGATTATTAGAAGAAGTGCTGGATTACTCAAAACTCTTGGCAGTCAATTCACTTTCAGAATGCATTTAATTTTTACTGGGAATATTACCTCTCAATTGGCTCCAACCCAAGTTCTTATGAGGAAAACTGAGGCACGAGAAAGTCGATTGTCTGGTCAGTCACTGATGGACCACAGCCCTCAAATAAGCAAGAGGATTTAGCAAGACGTTTCTGTTAGTGACCATGGAGAATGGGTTTTTTTTCTTTCAATTTTATCAACAAGGTAAAGTGTGTCTTCTCAGATATGAAGGGAAATGTCAAGTTTTTTATTAAAGATAATATTGGAGTTTAATCAAATTGAATCTCCTAGAAATTCACTCATGATATCAGTTAATTTTTCAATATCTTTCCTTTCACACAAGTTAGGAGTTAAGATCTTGAATAACGTGAAAGTAGAAAACCTTGGTACTTTTTACTTTTTTAATAACTTTGAAGTCATTAACAACAATATTCGAAATAGCACAGGAATGGCTGGGCATGGTGGCTCAGGCCTGTAATCCCAGCACTTTGGGAGGCTGAGGCGGGTGGATCACCTGAGGTCAGGAGTTCGAGACCAGCCTGGCCAATATGGAGAAACCCCGTCTTTACTAAAAATACAAAAATTAGCCAGTCGTGGTGGTGCGTGCCTGTAATCCCAGCTACTCGGGAGCCTGAGGCAGGAGAATTGCCTGCGCCCAGGAGGCAGAGGGCGCCACTGCACTCCAGCCTGGGTGACAGAGTGAGACTCCATCTCAGAAAAAAAAAAAAAAAAAGCACAGGAAACAGACCAAATGTCCATCTAATCACTGAGGCAAAATTAGGGACCCATTGTGCTCTCTGCCAGAAGTCAGCTACAGTGCCTATTTATGAATCCCTGTGTCCTGGCTTTGACATATGGAGAAGAAAAGTGTTTAAGATGACTTTGCAACTTCATCCCCTTTCCTCTCCTATCCTTGCTTGTAAGGGAAAAGGGTTCATCTTCCAGTCACATGCCACCTTCTCAGTGACAGTTCTCCCTCTATGCTCAGCTTCCTTCCTGGTTTCTGTATGAAAGGAGGGAATACTCAGTTCTCAGAGGCCATGGGGCTATGGGTAAAAGCATCAGTCAAGTGTGGTTGTTGGCCCCAACACCACCCATCTTCATCCTCACCTGCCTCCTAGCCCACACACACTTTCTAACCACAAAGTTCAACTTTACTTATATAATAGGGAGAGATGGAAAAAAAGGGCAAAGCTAAGAGCATCTCACTACTCCTTCCATTCATAAACAGTAGATACTCAGCCCAGAGATCACAAATAGATTCTCTCCTTGTCTCCAGGGAGCATAAGCTCCCTCACTCAGGGTCAGGTGCAACCTTGAAAATCCTGAGGTGGCTAGAAATCCTGTTCATGTTTAGCCTCTTCTCTCAGCAAGAAATCTGGGTAGGCACAGGCAGTACCATCTAATTTGAAATTAAGGGAAATGTTTAGGGAGGGGACTCCACTGTAGTCACAGAAAGTACTGTGTTACGTAATTGGGGGTTGTGCATTTTCTGGACTGTTTTCCACAGAAATATAAGAGAAGGGGGAAGGGGGCAGACCAGCATTGCTGCATCTATACATGAGGTGCTCACTCCCTCAGATCCCTGCATATATCCAGGGTGTATCCAAGTACAGCTGAAGGTAAGCAGAGTGAGTCCTTGGCTAAGTGACAGCTTTGCCCATTAACTCCTCCCTTAGCTGTAGGCGGACACGATTTCACTCACATGTATATCCACTAAATGGAATAAATGAGCTGAAAAGCCTGGGTTAGCTTAGCTATACCCACTAAAGTCATGATCAGAAACTGAAAGGGCCAAGGAGGGCATTTTTTCATCCACAGTCTCAGGGCCTAGCGCTTCCAGGGCATTCTGCTCCTTATCTGAGCTTTTCCAGGACTCTAGGACTTCTAGATTCAGGGACTCCAGTGTTGACATTCTCCTCTTCCTTCTCTGGTTCCTCTGTTGGATCTCACAGCCTGTGGCTTGCTTCCTCCCCATTCTGCCTCACCCCCCAAAAGTTCCCCAAGCTCAGCAAACATCCATGGTGCTGCTGTCATGTGAAAGAAACAAAGTTGTGGTCATTTCCAGGCTGCTTACCATTTGTGCCCGACTCCCACATAACACAAGAGTTATGTATGTTGCTAAAGGGGGGGTCATATTAACTTTAAGTATTACTTCCCTATAACACTAAATTCTGTGCAAATTGATTCTTTTTCAGATTGACTTACAGAAAAGTGGGAGAGGGAGTAAAATAAAGCATAGCTATACTATGTCAATAACATTTAAAAGTGTGTATACATATATAGACAAACATTGGAAGAAAATAGGAAAAATATTTACAGTTGTTGGTTTGGAGCTGTAATTCTTAGCTGTGTCAGGCGGCACACAGCTGGGAGGTCATGACGAAAGTCACCACATATCATGAAACAGTAACACATTTAATATGCAGTTTAACCAGCATGAGCTATGACAGCTCTAAAACTCCAAAATAAATGCTAATATTTTAAGATAAATCTTATTTCTCACTTTTTTCATGTTGCTTTTGTTATTTATTCAGTCTACAAAGCCCTCACTAACTGAAATACAATAGTCACTGGATATTTGGGGAAAAAAATGGAAGGAAAAAAATCTTAAAGTTGAAAAGAATGCATTCTTCTTGTTTTGTTGTTATTGTTTTGCAAATAAAGAAAAAATAGCACCATATTCAAATCAGTAAGGGCACATCCCCAATCAAATTAAGGACTACAGCAGCATTATTTAAGAATTCCAGAACTTTGGGAAGCTGAGGCAGGCGGATCACCTGAGGTCAGGAGTTCGAGACCAGCCTGGCCAATATGGCGAAACCCCATCTCTACTAAGAATACGGAAATTAGCCAAGCATGGTGGTGCATGCCTGTAGTCCCAGCTTGGGAGACTGAAGCAGGAGAATCATTTGAACCCGTGAGGCAGAGGTTGCAGTGAGCCACGACTGCATCACTGCACTTCAGCCTGGGCGATAGAGTGAAACTCCATCACACACACACACACACACACACACACACACACACACACAAATGCTGACAGAGTGATGGGATTGTGGGGCTGTTTCTTTTTCATCATTTCATTAATTTTTATTATAATGGTGCTGTGTGATGATAAAATCAAGGGAGAAAATTTAACAAGAAAGTAACAAGAAAACAAAAAAAGGAAAACCTTGTGCTCATGCAAGTTCCTCTGCCGCTGTAAGGCCAGGGTCACTTGCTTCTCGGCTTTTTTCACCAGCTTTTCATCTTCTTGTAGTGCGTGGCAGGTGCGCAACTCCTGGATCAACTCCAGTCGCTTTTCTTTCCCTTCAAACATCTGTATCAAATCAAATCAAAGACAGACCTGCAAGTTACCATCCCTTTGTGCCAAGCACTAGGAGTCACACGCAGTGACTTGTGAGACACTTGTGAACAGTGGGTTCTGTCCTGCCTTTTGGGTTCCACAGAGCAGATGTGTCCCACAGAGCTAGAGCTCAGCCCTCTTTTCTGTGCCTTCAGCTTCTCAGGCAGAAAATGGGCTTAGTTTTCAGTGAGCTGTGCTTAATTTCTGAGAATGCCTCTCAAGGACAAGATGACAACTCCAGGGTCATCTGAAGAAACCAGAACCTTCCCCTCATTTCCTGTGCTCCTTCCCTAATAAACCTGAGGATGGCATTTTTCATGGCCATATGTTTTTTTCCAATAAATCTGTCCCTGGTTTGTAATAATCTGTTGTCTGAATTTAACTGTGGCATTTCTCTTGGGAAAATACTGAAAGAAGAGTAAAGAACAGTGCTAAACACAAGTTGTTCATCCAGATGATTTACTCATCATATCTGAATCTCTTATGAGTTATAGCTATCTGGGAAAAAAAATTAACTGGGGCTTTATATCAGTCCATTTTTTAAGTGAAGTGTGCCTGCTCCAGCAACACAAATAATCTGGCTAAGGCTTTACACTCGGGAAGACCAGAGCTGAATTTGCTGGCAGATAACTAAATCTCCCTCAGACTCAGATTACTTGCCTGTAAAATGAGATTATGGATAGGAAAAAAAAATGAGACAACATATGTAGAGCAAAGAATAAATAGTGTGGGCATATAGTAAAGGTTCAAAACCATAATTTATTATTTAGCTCTTTCATTTATAATGTAGGGATTGCCAGACATATGCAAACTCAAATAATTGTATTATGACTGTGGAAAATTAGGGAATCCACCTGGTTGATAATGCTTAAATAGCCAAAATTCAGGTGAGAAAATGTATGGATTTAACAATTCCAAGGAAGAAGTGAGTTTCATACTGCCTTAGTTACAACCATGGCAAATAGCAGGTAGGTCCTCCCTGTCTCTCTCCTTGACACTGTGCCACCCACCTGGACAAATGATGCCATTAGAAGGAAATGGGTCACCAGAAGGAAATGGGTAGGCAACTCAAGAGTTTAGCTGAATAGGATAGCAGGGTGCAAAAGGGATTCACTCCAAGGAACCAAGCACATATGCATTCTAAAAAATTTATTCTCAAAAGAGAAATGCAGGGCCAGCGGTTGGACCTACACACCATGTTCTGAACGACTCTGCCCCGGAGTAACTTTTGAAGGTAGATCACAGCCATTTCCATTTCTTCTTCTTCCTAAAAGAACAAAGGGAGAACCAAGCAGCTTGAGAACTGCAGTAGTCCAAGCATCAAATATTCTTTTGAAGACTTATTTCAAGCAAAACAGACTGTGCTAGATGCCAAAAAGATTTAAAGAGAAATAAAAGATGGTCCCTGCCCTTATTGAACATATAGTATTTTAATGTTACTTACATTAGAATTCATTATTTTTCATCATTAACAAATCATATTACAAGCAAAAAATTCACTCCCTGCCATGCTATCCCTACAAATGAAACCACTTTCATTTCCCTATATTCCTTTCCAGCAAAATATTTCTTAAAGCAACAAGTATTGCATATAACATCATTTTGCAATAGGATTTTTCATGTTTGATCATCAGTAGACACAAATACAGCTAGTCTATGTCAGAGTAAGGTACTTCTCACAAGAATTTAGCTATGCTGATAAAATCAGAATATAAGAGACAAGGTTAGCCATCTATAAAAATCATCTTAAAAACTCTGTGTCCAAAGCAGAAAAAGCAGGGTCTGGAAATCGAATTAAGATTCCTTTGAATGTAAAAAGAAAACAGCAGTCTAATCGATGACATTAACACACATGAAAGACGATGTGTTGTCAGGCTGGGCACAGTGGCTCATGCCTGTAATCCTAGCACTTTGGGAGGCCAGGGCAGGTGGATCACCTGAGGTCAAGAGTTTGAGACAAGCCTGGCCAACATGGCAACACCCCATCTCTACTAAAACTATAAAAATTAGCTGGGTGTGGTGACACATGCCTGTAGTTCCAGCTACTCATAAGGCTGACGCAGGAGAATCGCTTGAACCCAGGAGGCAGAGGTTGCAGTGAGCCAAGGTTGCACCACTGCACTTCAGCCTGGGTGACAGAACGAGATTCTGTCTCAAAAAAAAAAAAAAAAAAAAAAAAAAAAAAAAAAGACAATATGTCAACCAAAGCCCTGCACAAAGTCTAGAAAAGAGAATGTTATCCAGCAGCACATCCCCGCTGGCTGGTGGGAGCTTTCTGGTCCCTCTGCAGGAGCCACTCATCAGAGGTAGTAACAGGTGTTAGCATGGTCTCCCACCAACACCTGCCCTCAGCCAAGAAACACATCAGCCTTCTGAATACAATCTGGCTTCTTGTGAGGACTGTCCCATACTGAGAGATAATGTGCTGACCAGCCAAGAGGAACAGCCTGATCCAGTAGGCAGTTATAGTTCTCTCTGTAAAGTAATAAATTTGCATCATGGCATCTCTAACAGTTTCCTGTGGATTTGTTTAGTCTGAGTCAGCCCTCTAAATCCTAACCAACTCTGATACTTTGCTCAAATTGAGTCTGGTGAGATGTGGCCCTGGGCAGGGCTCTTTGAGTCATTCCCACCCCAGAAGCAAGTCCGTCTTGATGACACCTCTGGCATTTCATTCCTCTTCGACTCCAACAGTCATCAGCCATCTCTCCATGTGGGAAGATAGCTATGGTAGCTGATCATCACTCAATCTTCTTTTTCTATTTCATATACATGAGCACTACCTTCTGATGCTGATTTTTCATGGAAAGATTTTTTAAATTGTGTTTTTATTTTTGAGAAGGACTGGGTTTAGATTTCATTTCATCTCGTTTGTTTTTCTGTGTCTGATGTTTGATACATAAGAATAAAGACAATATTTAAGTCAGAGCTTGGGAAACTAACACTGCTAAATTAGATTTGCTTTAAGCTAAACTATCCTAAGAATAAGCTGACAATGATATTGAATTTAGCATTTCAACTAAAAAGTTTCCAACTTACATTGGACGTCATTTCCAAGGTTGGAGTTGGAAGCCGAGGTTGAGGTATTGGGTTTCTTTGAAGGAAGCGAGGGGGTTTCTTTACTTCAAGAACTTTATTCTTCTTATCCAACAGTGCCTGAAATAATGCCAATTAATATAATCTCTTTTTTTAACAAAAATTTGCATAAATTTAAGAGGTAAAAGTGCAGTTTTTTACATGAATGTATTACATAATGGTGAAATCTAGGCTTTTAGCATACCCATCACCTGAATAATGTATATTGTACCCTATATTTTCCTTCATTACCAGATCTAGGTCACAGATATAAATATTAATCAGAATATTAATATTCTCTATGGTGATGCTAGGTCAGCTTGAGAAACACTAACAAGAATGTGTGTATCTCTCAAGACGTGCTATGATATTCCTAAAAATATATTAACCGACCAGCCTGATGACCAACATAGAGAAACCCCATCTCTACTAAAAATACAAAATTAGCCGGGCATGGTGGTGCATGCCTGTAATCCCAGCTACTCGGGAGGCTGAGGCAGGAGAATCACCTGAACCTGGGAGGCAGAAATTGCAGTGAGCTGAGATTGCACCATTGCACTCCAGCCTGGGCAACAAGAGCAAAACTTCATCTCAAAAAACAAAAAAAAAAGTTAACCACTGACTAGACATGGTTATATTCTTGGTGTATTCATCAAATGATGAGTAGATAAATAAAATGTGGTATATCCACACAATGGAATGTTACACAATCATAAAAAAAGAATGAAGTACTGAGATGTGTTAAAACCTGGATGAACCTTAAAAATACTATGCTAAGTGAAAGAAGCCAGACGCAAAAGGCCATATACTGCATGACTCCATGTATATGAAATGTCCAGAATAGGCAAATCCATAAAAAGAAAGTAGAATAGGCCGGGCGCGGTGGCTCACGCCTGCGATCCCAGCACTTTGGGAGGCCGAGGAGGGTGGATCACGAGGTCAGGAGATCAAGACCATCCTGGCTAACACGGTGAAACCCCGTCTCTACTAAAAATACAAAAAAAAAAATTAGCCAGGCGTGGTGGTGGGCGCCTGTAGTCCCAGCTACTCAGGAGGCTGAGGCAGGAGAATGGCGTCAACCTGGGAGGCAGAGCTTGCAGTGAGCGGAGATCGCACCACTGCCCTCCAGCCTGACAAACAGAGTGAGATTCCAACTCAAAAAAAAAAAAAAAAAAAAACAATAGAAAGAAAGTAGAATAGTGGTTGCCAGGGGCTGAGGGGAAGGGGGAATTGGAAGTGAGCACTATTAGGCATGGGGTTTGTTTTGGGGATGACAAAAATATTCTGGAATTAGATAGTGGTGATGGTTGCACAGATTTGTAAATATGCTAAAAACTACTGAATTATATATTTTTAAAGGGTGATTTTATTGTGTGCGAATTACATTCCCCCCGCTCCCCAAAATAAAGGGGCAAACAAAAACTGAAGGAATTCATGGCCAGCAGACATTCCCTGCAAGAAATTATAAAAAAAAAAAAGTTCTTCAGGCAGGAGAAAAATGTTATAGATCAAAAACTTAGATCGATATAAGTATAAGAAGAGCAGAAGAGAAGGAATAAATAAAATATATTGTTGTTCTTATTTTTAATCTAAAAGATAACTGTTAACTAAAGCAATAAAAGTAAAAAAGTATTGGCTGATTATATATAGCACTTGGACGAGTGAAATGAATGACAGGAATATCACAGGGAAGGGAAGAAGGAGTTGGGAATAATCTGCTCTAAGGTGCCTGCTCTACCCATCAAGTGGCACAGTGTGATTTGAAGATGTACTTTTATTATTTTACATGTATAATCATATACTGGTCCACAAAGCAAGCCTCATGAAATTTCAAAGGATAGGTATCACACAGACTATGACCTCTGATCACAATGCAATTGAGTTAGAGGTTAATGAGAAAATGAGTTAAAATTCCTGCATATTTGGAAATTTTAAAACACACTATTAAATACTCACAGATTAAAAAATCATAATGGGTTTTTTGATATTAGAAATTAAGAATGACAAATACTACATATCAAAACTAATGAAATGTACCAAAAGTCAGTATTTTGAAGGAAATGTTTAACCTAAAATACTTATATAAAACAGATGAATGCCTGAAACTGATGAGCTACATGTGCAATTTAAGGTAAGACCTGTGAAACAAACCCTAAAAAAGTAGAAAGAAATATAGAATAAATATAGGAGTATAAATTAATGTGATTAAAAATATAACACAGAAAATCAACAAAATCAAAAGTTCATTGTTTGGAAACATAAATACTAAGAAAATAAGCAAGCCTTCAGTAAACTTGATTAAGGAAAAGAGTTAAGGCATAAATAAACAATATTGTAAGTGAAAAGAGTAGACATGAATAAGATAAAACAAACATTTAAAAGATTATAAAACAATACTATCAACAATCATATGCCAAAAAAATGGAAAAGGTAGGTGAAATGGAATTTATAAAAAAAAATTTACCAAAAATAATGCAGAAGAGTTCTATAAGTTGTAAAGAAATTGCAGTAGTGGTTAAAATTTTTCCTATGAAGAAAACATTTGTCCCAGATAATTTTATATGCATATTCTACCAAAGTGAAGGAACAAATCATCCCAATCTTATTTAAACTCTTCTCAAAAAAAGAAAAAGGAAGGAATATTCTCAAGTTCACTTCAGGAGACCTGCGTAATTATAACACCAACCCCATACATAGTCAAAATGAGAAAGAAAAACAAGAAGGTCATTTCACTCATGAATGTAGAAGCAAAATCCTAATCAACATATGAGTAAATCAAATCCAACAAGGTATTGAAAATAAGCTGTATGCTCTGACCAAGGCAGGTTCATCCCAGGTATGCAAGGATAGATTAATATTTATAAACAATTATAAATGTTACTACAATAATTAAAAAATATACAAAAATTGTGTGATAAACATTTGATAAAATTCAACATAAACACATGATTAAAGGCTTTAGTAAATTAAGAAGAGAACTTCCGTAACCTAATAAAAAGAATCTATAAAAAAATCTTAACAGAAAGTGACAGAATGATGAACACAGCATTCAGGATGGGTGAAAGGAGATGGGGGCGTGGGGATGAGGTGGGAAAGAACCACCTCGATATACATAAATTACTGTTAAGGTCCTGTTTTGAGGATAGGTTCCCATCAATTTTTATTAACTACTAAAATCAACTGAACAAACAAGCATGCATGGGCCAGTGATGAGAGTGTATTATAAAACAGTGGGCCTCGAGGTGTGGTTCCTGGACCAGCAGCAGCAGCATCACCGGGAAACTTATAAAAAAGGCAAATGCTCCAGCCCCACCTCAGACCTACTGAATCGGAAACTTTGGGGATGGAGCCCAGCTGCATGTGTCTTAACAAGTCCTCCATGAGATTCTGATGCACAGGAAAGAATGAGAACCACCAGCATAAACCACAGATTCTATACACCTATAGTCCAGCTACCAAAAGGGAAAGCCCAGCTGGTGGATGACGTACTGTGAGTCTTGGTGAAGGCTTTAACTAGAGCCTTTAGAGCTTTAACTACATGAGAAAGGTGTTGAACATGACTCTTTTTCTTCATATGCCCTGATCACATGAACACAAAAGGGAGAAAATCGGGCCTATTATAGCTATTAACACCAACAATAGAAACTTGCTACACCTTAGTATAGCGTCAAATTTTATATAGAGATCCAAGTGGAAAACGCTTTCAGAAAGTAATATGACCTCTGCAAATGGGGAAAAAAATCTCCAAGAAGTCTCCTGAAATGTGAAATGAGGGGAAATACACATTGGTTCAGCACAGCATGGGCAACCTCAGAAAAGTGCAGAGCAGAGAATGTAGGTCTATGTTTGACCCACTGGACATTGCTGCAATTTTTGGAGTGTAGCATTTATCTGCAAAAATCATACTAGAAGCATTTTGTCCTCCAGATAATGATTATACCTTATGAACCTCTGCCAACTCATAGTCCAACCTTGCTGCCCTCTTCAGAAAACCAGCTTTGGTGGTAATGACTTTAGGTTTTGGAGCTCTGATTTGGGGTTGTGTCACAAAATCTGGGAGACATGACTCAAGTTCCACTAATCCTATGGGAAGGAAGCACATGTTTTTAGTATCCAGTGCTTACGTTTATTATTTTTAAGGTATATTGTTAACTTTTGTAGCTGTTTGCCAAGCAGTTTCATTAGAATTGTTGAGAGGGTGTATCTCATATAATAGAATGAAGTGTCCCTGAAATGTAATAGCACATTTCCATATAATTAACTCATGTTGTCAGTGACTTAGACTGTACAATGAGAAATGCATTCTAAAGTGAAAATATTGCCCTACAAAAAAGTAGCAATTCCACAATAATAATCAACAGAAAATTAATGATTCTATGATATGTGGTGCCACCCTTCTAAAGTAGACGTTCACCAATTTATTACATTTTGCTCTGGAGATGGCCAGCCAGAGCTACAAGTTCAGCAGTGTAACCAGCAACTCATGATCTTGGCCATGTGATACTTCAATTTGTCAGTGAAATTAAATAACTAAATAAGCCTCTTTTGAACTTCATAAGAGGTATAGTCCTCTCCGTGAACTTATCACCTGGTTCTCCATCCTCTTGCCCACTAGTTTTTTGACATTTCTTTATAAAAGGTTGATTTCATTATACATATTTCTTGTTGGCTTCATAAACCTGGAATAAAACTTTTCTCAATTTCATTGTTAAATAACTTTGATTATTAGTGACATTAAACATTTTTTTAACATTTACTAGCTAATTGAATTTGGTCCTTGCTGAACTGTTCTATAGTGTGTCCATTTATTTATTTGGGTCTTAGTAGTTTTTATTGGTTTGTATCATCAGTGTTTATTGCAAATATTTTTATTGCTTAGCTTTTAATCTAAATTTCTACATTTTATATATTTAATCATATTTCTGAGACAACCTTCTTATACTGGATTTCTAATTATGTAAATTGCTTACCTTCATAGGTGTTGAGATAGTAGTTTTTTACTACAAAGTCCTCTGAGTTGTTGTCTGGGAAACACCCAAGACGAGACAGAGGTCCATAGACCTGTGATGCATAATCAGAATAATCCTTGATGATATTTCTTCTCTCCAACTTCCCTTCTATATTCTTTCTCTTTCCTACAAGTTTTCTGATTGCTGAAATAAAACATACCTCCATGACTATCTCTAAAATATTGTTCTGAATTACAAATGCAGAAGAGTAAGCCAATGCTAGTGTTATTCACAGAGAAGCTATTGAAATGAATGAATTTCCTGATGACTCACGACAGCCAGAATGTAACATTAAAAACAGAGATCTGCCATCTGTGTGGCCCAGATTGTCATGAGACAGGCAGGAGTGACAGAAGCAGAATCAGCTAGTGTCCTCAATCGGTACTCGTCAAAAATCTTTTATAACTGCATTTCAAGCTCCAGGCCAAGAAGAGGTATTCAGTAAAAGTTTGTTAAATGAATGAAACTCAAAGCAACTGGAAAATACATGTTCAGTGGGGAACTAGGGAATTATTCTCCCCTACAAGGATAATCAAAAGCAAAGACTACAGGTTCATCTTGGTTAACACCAAAATAAACCAAAGACTGTCTCAGCTTACAGCTTTCTGAACTGTTTGGCAGTCAGAGGGAAAGGCTCAACTGTGCACATCAGGAGTATACTCATCTAAAGAGTCATGCTCGCCACCTCCTGTGCTCCTTTTCTCTCAAATCCCATCACAGACCCAAGACCTTTTGGCGGCTCTGCATTGTGCGTTTTCAATGGGGGTAAAAATCTTATACAAGATCGTGACGTCATGCTGCAAGAGGGGGCCTGTGTGCCACTGCTGTCTTGGGGATATTGTTTATGTTTGATTCTCAGCACTTCTGGGTGTGACTTGGGTTTTAGAATTAAGTAAAAATGATTTAAATGTTATTATTCACCTACAAAAATTAGTCAGATCTATCATTAGTTATGCCAAGTACTGAAACAAATGTTGATTGTATCTAAATAAATATCTAGCAGTTAAGTGCTCTTTTCTCAAAAAGAAAAATTTTAAATTTAAGTTCACTAAACATAATTTTAAGCAATAATTTGTTTTTGTGATTGTTTTGTTTTTGTTGGAAAAATAAGTTTTGAATGATTTTTTAAAATGTGATTATATTGTGAATGAGTACATATATAAATAGTCTGCACATGTAATTGATACTATTTATTTATTTATTTTGAGACAAGGTCTCTGTCACCCAGGCTGGAGTGCAGTGGTGCTATCACAACTCACTGTAGCCTTGAGCTCCTGGGCTCAAGCCATCCTCCCACCTCAGCCTCCAAGTAGCTATGACTACAGATGTGTACCATTACATCAGGCTGTTTTTAAAAAAAATTTGTAGAGACGTGGTCTCACTATGCTGCTCAGGCTGGTCTTGAACTTCTAGCCTTAAGCAATCCTCCCACCTCAGCCTCCCAAAGTGCTGGGATTACAGGTGTGAGCTACCTCTCTCGGCCTTAAATTTTTCAAATATAAATTTAACTTGAATCTTTAATTCAGTCATTATTAATCTTGCAGTGAATAAAAATAATAAACCATATACTTCCTCTTTTCATGTATAAAGTACAGAATACATATACATATAGTACATAAACATATATATGTTATATCTGCGGTATTAAAATTTCTTGTAGCAAGGTGATTAGGAAAAAGGATGTCTAAAATGTCTCCTTTAAGGGCAAAATGAAGAAAGGGTAAGAAACAGGGCTCTTTATCCAGGGCTGTGGACCATGAATATGGGGAACCCAACACTTATCCCACCACACACACACACACACACACACACACACACACACACACACACACACACTATCTCAGTAACTCGACTACCTGTTAGGACACCATCACTTGATTTTCTTAGTAAGGGAATTTCCTCCATTCTTCTACCTTTAAGAAATAACTCATCTCTTAGCCCTTACCTATGTGATTCCCAGGACCAAAACAGAATTATATCATAGTTAAGTCAGGTTTGGTCAAAGATCCAAAGCAAAGCCCACTTTTCCACCGTCTTCATTGTTCATACTACACCATTACTTGATACATGCGTGCGCTGAATTTTTGCCATTTTTGCCTCTTTTCCCTCCTGCAGTTTAGACCACCGGGCATTCAAGTGCTTCATATTCACTTCATTCTGATTCTCTTCACGCTTCCTCAACAGCTCTTTTAGAACTTCCAGGCGAATCTCCTGCAGTCTTCAAGTAAATTACAAAACATAAAGAAGCATATGGCATCTCAAACAGAGGGCAAGGGAACAGCTGCCACAGACAGGCTCTTCTCTGTGGGCTGCTATCATATTCATGTATTGCCAAAAGACCACTCTGGCAAAAGTATGACAGATGAATTGAGGGCGTGGGGGAGGCAACTCAATAGAGACTCTCTATATAATAGGAATATATATGGGTGTAGTTCTCAAGGATGAAGAAGATTATGCCAGGCAGATGGGGTAAAAGAAGGGCTCTCTAGGCAGGTGGGCCTAAAGGAACAGTAAGAGGTTTGTGCACAGTGCCAGGTTGAGTGGTATTCCTGGAGGGTTACATAATAGGGGGAGTGAAGAGGAAATGCGGTTCTGGCATGCTATCCTAAGGAGTGAGGTGAAAATGCCAGTTCCTGGCATATAATAGGTACTCAACAAATGTTTGTTTCCTTTCCTCCTACCTTCAACTTGTTCTCCTTGGGCTACCTTGCTCATGTGCATCCAACAATGCACAGATGACTGTTATCTGTACCTCCAGCTTAGATATTTCTTTTTTCTTTCTTTTTTTTTTTTTGAGACAGAGTCTCGCTCTGTTGCCCAGGCTGGAGTGCAGTAGCCTGATCTAAGCTCACTGCAGCCTCTGCCTCCCGGGTTCAAGCAGTTTTCATGGGTCAGCCTCCCGAGTAGCTGGGACTACAGGCACCCACCACCACACCTGGCTAATTTTTGTAGTTTTGGTAGAGATGGAGTTTCACTACATTGGCCAGGCTGGTCTCGAACCCCTGGCCTCAAGTGATCCCACCTTGGCTTCCCAAAGTGCTGGGATTACAAGCGTGAGCCACCATGTCCAGCCCAGCTTAGATATTTCTGAACCAGAATTTCCATCTATTTGAATCTCCAGTCACCACTTGACAATTAAAAAAACAAAACAAAACCCTACTCATTTGTTCCCCCAGAAGTCTGACCCTCTTACACCTTCTTCCCGCTGCTAAGGATCTCTCCTCGGCAATGCTTCTTGTATTCCCTGGCTCATGTCTGGTCATATCACTCCTAAAGTGGACTCCTAGCTGCTAGTCTGTCCTCCTTCTAATCTTTGCTCCACCCAGCTGTCAAGGTTTTCCTTCCTAAAACAGAGATTTGAACATACATTTTACTCCTGCTTAGAAATTCATACCTGAATTTATTCACTTATTCATTTGTCAAATATTTATTAAGTGCCCACCATATGCCAGGCAGGAACAATGATGTACAAGATAAAACACCTTCTCTCAACAAGCACTGTTCTGGTGGAATAGGCATAAGAACCGACATTTCCCGCACAAGGAGATACATACCAGGCTAGAAGAGTGAAAACTCTTCGTGGAAGAAGAAAGGATAGGGCAGGGGGAAAAGAGGGAACAGGTGGGGAAGCCTTCCTTAGAGGAGCTGTTAACTCAGGGTTGGGATTTGCTACATTGACAAAGGAAAAGCAGGGCCTCAGCAGGGGAAGCTGAATGTTCAACTCAAAAGGACTGGAGGGACAGCAAGATGTCACACTGGCAGGGTTTCTCAGAGTGAATGCACTTGAGAGGGGCGAGAGTGTAGTGACAAATGAGTATGGAGAGGTAGGCATTTTTAAAACTAAGCCACACACCCCAGTCACCTTTCTCTTTAGAGTCAGAAATGCTAGGTTCAATTTTCCATGTCACCACTGACCTCAATCTCTTCAATGGTAAAGTGGAGATAATAATAGTACCCTCTTCATGAAGTTGCTGTGAGCATTACGTGAGTTAATGTATACACGAAGTGCTCTAACAATAGTCTCAAATTTAAGAGTGCAGCATAATCTGGAGGGCAGGTTCTGACACAGATTGCTGGGCCTCAACCCCTGATTCAGTAGGTCCTGGGATGGGGCCTGATCACCTCATTGCTACCAAGTTCCAAGGTAATGTTGATGCTGCTGGTCTGTGGACCACACTTTGAGGTCTACATGCTTAGAACATCATCTGGCACATAGTAAGCCCTCTATAAGTGTTCCATGCTCTATAGATATCTTCTTCTTCATCTGATATCATTGACAGAACTCCTTATAGTCCACTCGTCATCATCATTATCATATTATTATTATTGACAGAGCTCCTTACCATTCACTTATCTGATATTGACAGAGCTCCTTATAGTCCACTAATCATCATCATTATCATCATCATCATCATCATCATCATTATCATCATCAATCTGATATTATTGACAGAGCTCCTTATAGTTCACTGGGGCAGGAAGGGGCAGGCAGATGGGCAAGGAGACGGTGCAAAAAATCTCAGACCAACACTTCTCAAGTATTGGTCTACCTGATAGCTTCTGATATTATTGTCTGATACTACTATCTGCCTGATGGCTTCTTACCTACCCTTCAAAACCCAGCTCAGAAGCTACCTCCTCTTAGTAGTTTTCTTTCTCAAATCGCCCACTTTAAATAGAACTAACTGTTCTTTCACCTGGGTTCCACCAAGCACTTTTTGTACAGAACAGCACATCACCTGATAGACACAGCCTGAGAGGGGTTGATCTAACTAAGATCTTTTGTCCCTTCCTTGTCCACCTTCCCTGCTCCCCCTGCCCCAGTGGACCATAAGGAGCTCTGTCAGGAAGAGCAGTTTCCTATTCATCCCTATTTTCCCAACTCACAGCACAGAGTCTAGCATGTAAAAGGGACTCAAAATACATGTATTAAAATTGCCCTCAGTTTAACAAATGTACTTGCTTTCTCAGATGACGTTTTCACTCTGGCCAGATACATTTTTAACAGTTTTAATGCCTTTTGAAAAGACACATATCTTTCCAAAGTACAATAATAAATTTAAATTTCTGCCAACAGGATTGGGTATTTGACACCTACTTTGCCCAAACACTATTTTTTTACTAAATTGCAAGCTTTTATCAAAACATCACAAAGCCTAGATTCAGGCTTAATCTGAAGGTGTTGCAAAAAATTTAACATATTCCAAATTTAGCACCAAGCTGAGACTCTAACTCTCTAGGTCCCTCTCTTGTGTGTAAGGGTCCTTGGTAGCATTGCTTAGAGCAATAAAGTGCGTCAGCACAGCCTAGCACAAAGGACAAACTCAGCAAACGCCCTTCCTTTGTTCTTGCTAGAGAGTTATAATTTTTTGGTTCTCATAATCTCTTATCATTTCCACATATCAGCAACAACTCCATTACTGAAAATATATCAGTTAAAATAATTGAAAACCCAACCACAAGTACCTCAGCATATTGTTATTTATGTATATTGTTATATACTCATCTCTTAATGGAAGAATTCCATAATTTGTCTTTTAACTAGGAAATGCCCCATCAGCTCTAGCTAGCACGCAAGGCATCCTGACTGTGAACCCAGTGTCTTGGGTCGGGGTGGGGGGTGGGTAAGAGCTAGGACTAGTGCCAAGGCTGTTTGAAGGGGTATGAAGAAAGCCCAGGCACTGGGACAGTGGCGCTGGGAATGAACATGAAGGGACAGTTTGAAAGGTGCTTTGCAGAAATTAGTGGGATTCTGTGACAGTTAAGATAGATACTAAAGAGAAAAGGGAAAAGAAGAATCAGAGATGCCCTTCAGGAGTTGTTCAAACCTGGGTTCCATGCTGAGCTTCTTCAAACACACAGAGGGCATTCTACATTTTAATGTTTTTGGAGGGAAAATTATACAGAGCTTCTGGACCACATCAGAAGCATGTGACTGCTCCTGAAAGAACCGGATGCCCAATTTCCTATCTCTATAGGTTGAGGATTGCTTTTCAACCCATACATTTGGGAGAATGCTTTGCAGATATAAAGTATTAACATTATTCCCACCAGTGCAGGAACAGTTGTCTGGGTGATAGAGAACCTACTTTTCAATCTCCTGCTCTCTGAAGGCCCACTCCTTCCTCTCCATTTCATTCATCATTTTCCTCCTCTTCTCAAACTGGGAGGTGTCACTCAGAGCGGGGAGAGAGGCTTCCCAAGCACGCTTCTCGCGGGCTCTTTCTATCATCTCCACCTCAGCTTGTCCTGCTGGGAGACCCCGACCTGCAGGATAAAGCAGCACAGCTTAGGAACAAGTGAGCTGACCCATGCACCCCCCAGTATATAATTAACTCCCTGTCAGTTCCTTTCCTCTTCTCCAAATTCAAGGGCCATGACAGCATAACATGACATTAGGGAACAGCCTCTAGATGTGCCTCACAGCTTGTGTTATCTGTGCCCCACTGCCTCTTGCTAGTAATTGAGCCGTAAGACATTTTAGTTGCATGTAGAATGCTGGAATGCATTTGAAGAATATTAAGTGACTACTGAATAATCACACCTTGGAATGCTCTGTAATAAACAAATTTATATACTGAAATACAAGGCATTTTCAGAGCCCTGAGGTGGGAAAAATATGGGGTAAGGAATTTGTTCGATAAAAGTGAAAAATATATACTTTTTTTTTTTCTTTTTTGTGAATCAAGGTCTCACTCTGTTGCCCAGGCTGGAGTATAGAGATGTGATTACAGCTCACTGTGGCCTTGACCTCCCAGGCACAAATGATCCCCCCACCTCAGCCTCCCAAGTAGCTGGGACTACTGGCATGTGCCACCACACCTGGCTAATTTATTTTTATTTTTTTGTAGAGACAAGGTTTCACCATGTTGCCCAGGCTGGTCTCAAACTCCTGGTTTCAAGCAATTCTTCCGCCTCAGCCTCCCAAAGTGTTGGGATTACAGGTGTGAGCCACTTGGCCACATACTTTTTTAAAAAATAACAGAAAATGAAGACACTAATCACTAGCTGAGAATTCACCATCTTTGGGTTTTGTCCCCATAGTGAATGTAAAATTTAGGGCTATCTCTTACCTGCAACTTTAAGCATTCAAAGACACAATACCTGTAGGTCAGGCAGGAGGATGTGGCCACTGGATATGTCTCCTGACCAGCTCCGAGACACTGGCTGAGACCTAAGCCAACGTATGCCTCCCTGGATCAAGTTTTGAGGATGCCAGCACACTTAGGTGCCTAGCACCTCTAAATGTGGCCTTGCAAAAGCAGGTAAAGGAAAGGGAGGCTGGAACAAGTTTCCTGTTTGATCACTGAACCACAATAAGCCAACCTTTGTTTTATTTTCATTTAAAAATATAATTATACAGAAAAATCTAAGGAAATAAGTAATAGGTCATATTTCTACCACGTACAGTAGGGCATGCCTAAGATTTGTGTCTTATTTCAGATCTTTTGCAATGTTTATGCTTTTAAAAAGCAAATAAGTAATATATGAATTCACTATCTCTTGTTTTTAATATTAGGGTATTGTTAGCCAGGCGTGGTGGTGGGCGCCTGTAGTCCCAGCTACTTGGGAGGCTGAGGCAGAAGAATCACTTGAACCCCAGAGGCGGAGGTTGCAGTGAGCCAAGATCACTCCACTGCACTCCAGCCTGGGTGACAGAGTGAGACTCCATCTCAAAAACTAAATAAATAAAAATAAAATAAAATAAAATTAGGGTATTATAGAGAAGGCTAAAGTTCTGTACTCTGCTTCCTCATTCTGATCACCTTCCCAGAGGCAGTCACAATGATGCATTTGGTGAGGAGTAATACCACCAGCTCATCTTTTTACTTTTATAGATGTATAAAGAAGTAAATAAATCTGTATACAAAATACCACATATATGTATGTGTATATATGTATATATATGTATCTACATATTATTTGGTGGGTCTTGCGTGGCATTTTCTTTAGTAATTTAAAAAATAACTATGAAAATCATACCATAAATATGCAGACTTAACAACTGTACACATTTTGTCATATATACTTCACATTTTTTAATAAAAAATTGAAACCTTATAAATAAAGCCGATGTACCTTTTAACTACCACATTGAGCCCCATTCCCTTCTCCCATTTCCCCAAGTAAACACAAAAAGGAATTTGTGGTTTTCTATTCAATCTTAACATTTTATATACAAATTTATGTGTCTATGAATTATAATAATAATAAAACCTAACATTACTTAAGCATTTTTATTATGCCAAGCACTTTTTTTTTTTTTTTTGAGATGAAGTCTTGCTCTTGTCACCCAGGCTGGAGTGCAATGGCACGATCTCGGCTCCCTGCAACCTCTGCCTCCCAGGTTCGAGTGATTCTCCTGTCTTAGCCTCCCTAGTAGCTGGGATTACTTACAGGCACCTGCCACCACGCCTGGCTCATTTTTTTTTGTATTTTTAGTAGAGACAGGGTTTCACCATGTTGGCCAGGGTGATCTCAAACTCCTGACCTCAGGTGATCTGCTAGCTTCAGCCTCCCAAAGTGTTGGGATTACAGGCATAAGCCATCATGCCTGGCTATTTAAGCACTTTTATTATGCCAAGCACTTTTCTAATGCATTTAATCTTCAACAAATCCCTATCACATAAACATAATTACGCCTGTTTTACAAATAAAGATACTGAAGGGCTAAAAGGCTAAGTAACTTGCACATGGCAGTCTGAACCTCGTATTTTTGTGCACTATACTATACTTCCTGTCTAGTAAAAGCAAATATGAACCAAAAATGAATTCTATAGAAGCAAGACACAGTACTGATGTTTATTTAATATTTACATACATGGTATTGTACTATAGCTATTCATTCTGCAGCTTGCTTTTTTTACTCATCTTTGTTTTGGAAGCCTAGCTGTACTGATATATACAGATCTAGTTTCCTTCTTCCACTGTAAGGCTTTATTACAATTTAAGCTATCTATCTTCTCAAATGACATTTAGATTGCTTTTAATTTTTTGATCATACATAATGTTGCAACAAACATCCTTGTACTGGTCTCATTGTACCATATGTGAGCTTCTCTAGGATTCTTAGAAGTAGAAATGCTAGAGTCTAGCAGCTACATCATAAAATATGATTATTTTTAATTCTGGATATTGCTTAATTTACCCTCAGAAGTATATTTTTGCCCCTGCCTTCTGAGATCCCCTAATGGTTCCTCTCCCACGGTGCATGCTTCACTTCCTCCCACATTGCATCTGCCCAATCTCAGCTGCTTTTTGCAGTCCTTACAAATATTTACTGGTTCATGAATTACATATATTTTTAGTTTTACTGAAAATGGAGTTCGTGGGAGTATTGTTGCTTTTGCTTTTGTATAATTTCTGGGAAGAGAAGATGAAAAGTGCTAATTTACCCAGGCATAGTTATATTGAGAGTGGGAATCTGGATTAGAACTACTCGAAGGTATAAATTATTTGAGGGAGAAGTCTTATCTATTCAAGCATGAGTTTCCCATTGATAAATATTTTCTCTCTTTTCACCAAATCTTTGTTTATGTGCTTAAAGAATAATTTATACTTTTCACCATAAATCCCTTGTACATTTTTATTAAGTGATTCCCTAGGCACTTTGTTATTCATTGCTACCGTGCATGTAATTTTTTTCAGCCAAGTGCGGTGGCTCACCTGTAATCCCAGCACTTTTGGAGGCCGAGACAGGAGAATTTCTAGGTCCAAGAATTGGAGACCAGCCTGGGCAACATAATGAAACCCCATCTCCACAAAAAAATATATTTTTTTAATTAGCATGGCATGGTGGTGTGGACTTGTGGCCCCAGCTACTTGGGAGGATGGGGTGAGAGGATCACTTGAGCCATAGGGTTTGAGGCTGCAGTGAGCTATGATCACATTACTACACTTCAGCCTGGGCAACAGAGTAAGACTCCATCTCTAAAACAAATAAATGAATGTAATTTTTTTCAAGATTTTTTTCTTTTTTTTGGCAGAGTCTTGCTCTGTCACCTAGGCTGGAGTGCAGTGATGCAATCTTGGCTCACTGAAACCTCCTCCTCCTCGGTTCAAGTGATTCTCCTGCCTCAGCCTCCCGAGTAGCTGGGACTACAGGCATATGCCACCATGCCCAGCTAATTTCTCTGTATTTTTAGTAGAGACGGGGTTTCACCATGTTGGCCAGGCTGGTCTTGAACTCCTGACCTCAGCTAAATAATTTTTCTCTTCTTTTTCTTTCTTTCATCTTCTTCCTTTTTTTTTTTTTTTTTTAGAGACAGGGTCGCACTCTGTTGCCCAGGTGGGAATACAGTGGCAAGATCATGGTTCACTGTACACTGTAACCTTGAACCCCTGGGCTCAAGCAATCCTGCATCAGCTTCTTGAGTAGCTAGGACCACAGGTGTGCACCACCACACTTGGCTAATTTTTCTTTTGTAGAAATGGAGGTCTTACTATGTTGTCCAAGCTGGTCTCAAACTCCTGGCCTCAATCAATCCTCCTGCCTTGGCATCCCAAAGTGCTGGGATTACAGGTGTGAGCCACTGCACCTGGCCTCAACAATTTTTCTAATTGGATATTTCTCTCATATAGGAAAGCGACTGATGTATGTTGACTTCTTGTTGAACTCTCTTTTTAGTTCTGATAATTTATTTTTCTAAGAGAGCACGTGTGCAAATAAGGATAGTTTTGCTGCTTCTTTCTAATCGCCATGCCTCCATTTTTCTCTTATCTTGCTGCACTGACTCAGTGTTCCTCAACCAGGGTGCTATTGCCATAATGGGCAGATAATTATTTGTATGAAACTCCCCCAAGCAGTACAGGATGTTTAGTATCCATGCCAGCCTATCAGCTATACCCTGTCCCACGAGCTAAATACCAGAAGCACTTCCTATCATTATTACATAGAAAAATGCCACTCATATTCCCAAATGTTCCTGAAAGGAGAGATCATAGCCAGGCTTGATAAACTCTGGGCTAAGATCTCCTCTACGTTGTTAAATAGTAGTGATAATGAGCATTACCAATGTCTTTTTCTTTTAAGGTAAAGCTTCTGAAGTTTCACCTTTAGTATGATGTTTATTACAGGCTGTGGTAGATATTCCTTATTAAGTCTCTAAAGTTTCCTTCTGCTCCCAGTTTATTCAGAGTATATGTCATAAATGAGCACTGCATGCTATAAAATACTTTTTCCTGCACCCAGAGGATTTTTCCTATGTTTTCGGTTAAAATGGTAAATTACATGAATGGCTTTCTGGTATTGCAACAAACTTGAACTTCTCTGATTAACTCCATCTGGTTATAAGTCACTCTTTTAAAATACAGCAAGATTAGATTGCTAGTATCTTATTTAGAATTTTTTTGCATATTTCTTCATATGTGAGATTGGCCTGTAAGTTTCCTTACTAGTATAGTTGGCCCTTCATATCCATGGTTCTACATCTGTGGATTTGACCAACTGCAGGTTGAAATTATTTTTTTTTAAACTGTGTCTGTTCTGAACATGTACAAACTTTTTTCTTGTCATTATTCCCTAAACAATACAGTATAATAACTATTTATGTATAATTTACATTGCATTAGGAATTATAAGTAATCTAGAGATTAAATATATGGGAGGATGTGTGTAGGTTATATGCAAATGCTATGCCATTTTACATAAGAGACTTGCGCATCCAAAAATCTTGGTAGGGTTGGAGGGTCCTAAAATCAATGTGCTACCAATACTAAGTAATAACTGTACTGTCCTCATTCAGTTTTCAAATTAAGGCTATACTGGTCTCATAAAATGAATAAATTAACTTTTATTCTGTGTTTCCTGAAAGAAGTTGCATAAAGCAGTTTATTTGTTCCTTAAAGGTGTGGTAAACTTACCTGTAAAACTGTTTAGGCCTGGTGCTCTTAAAAGAATTTTTTTTTCTTTTTACCAGGTCAATTTCTATAGTTACTCTTCTATTCAGGTTTGTGATTTCTTCTTAAAACCAACTTAGTAATTTACATTTTCTTTAAAAATTGTATAATTTATCTAAGTTTTCTTTTCTTTTTTTTTTTTTGAGACAGAGTCTTGCTCTGTCGCCCAGGCTGGAGTGCAGTGGCATCATCTCGGCTCACTGCAAGCAGAGCCTCCCGGGTTCACGCCATTCTCCTGCCTCAGCCTCCCGAGTAGCTGGGACTACGGGCGCCCGCCACCGCGCCCAGCTAATTTTTTTTTTTTTTTGTATTTTTAGTAGAGACAGGGTTTCACCATGTTAGCCAAGATGGTCTCGATCTCTTGACCTCGTGATCCACCTGCCTCAGCCTCCCAAAATGCTGGGATTACAGGGGTGAGCCACCGCGTCCGGCCCCTAAGTTTTTTTTTTTTTGATTTATGTATTTGAGACGGAGTCTCGCTCTGTCACCCAGGCTGGAGCACAGTGGTGCAATCTTGGGTCACTCACTGCAACCTCAGCCTCCTGAGTAGCTGGGATTACAGGCACCCACCACCACGTCTGGCTAATTTTTGTATTTTCAGTAGAGACGGGGTTTCACCATGTTGGCCAGGCTGGTCTCAAACTTCTCACCTCAAGTGATCCGCCTGCCTCAGCCTCCCAAAGTGCTGGGACTACAGGTGTGAGCCACCACGCCCAGCCTTTCTAAGTTTTTAAATATAGGGCAAAAGATATTCATAGCACTCTCGTATTTCTTAAGTTGTTTATTCTGTAGTTACTCTGTCCCCCTTTCTATCCCAATACTCTGTTTGCATCTTCTGTCTTCTTTCTTGATGCTTCCTACAAGAGGCTTGGCTGTATTATTAATCTTCATTAGAAAATTACTTATGGCCCTAATGACCATTTCTTTTGCCTTTTAAAAGATCTGTATTGTCAACTATTTGTTTCAACTTTATTATTCATTTAACATGTGAAGACTGAATAGGTTTAAAATGTAAAGCACTTGGATCAGTTCTTGACACATCATAAGCACTTAATTTTATCCCCGCAGTGCTTACAGTGTCATCCTTTTTCACTGTCGTTATTTTTCCCTTATCTTTATGTAAACTTTTCATGAATGTACAGCATACATAAACAAAAACAAACATCCCATATAATCAGCACCCAGATCAAGGAATAGAATATTACCAGAACACTAGAATGCCCATGATACTCCCTTCCCAGTCACTACCTGTCCCAAGGATAGCTACCATTCTCATTCCTAATGCGTTAATTTAGTTTTGACTGGTTTTACATTTTATGTAAATGAAATCACAGTGTAGGCACTCTTCTGTATCTTATTTTGTTCAGCATTATATACGCAATTATATACACATCTACAATCTCCCTTGTAATCACATGTAGTTGTACTTCATTCTCATTATTATATAGAATTCCATTATGTGAATAGACTATATTTCATTCATCCATTCTATGGTTGATGGACATTTGGGTTGTTTTCAGTTTGGAGTTATCATAATTAATGCTGCTGTGAGTTTTCTTGTATATGTCTTTTGGTGAACACTCCTATGCATTTCCGTTAGCAGAATAATGTGCTCATTTTTTTTTTTTTTGATGTATACTTAGGAGTGAAATTGCTGGATTGTAGGTATGAACACATTACATAAATAAATTTACTTAATCCTTACAGTATCCTATGAGATAGATATTCTTCTTATGTATGAAAATGTCTTTATCTCGCCTTCACTCCTCAATAATAGTTTGCCTGGTAAAAGAATTCTAGGTTTGCAATCATTTTCCCACAGCACCTTAAAGGCAATACTACAAAATATCCATCTTTTTTTTTCTTTGTAGGTAATCTGAGTTATCTTTCTAATAGTTTTTCTAATAGTTTTTTCACTTTTTCTTTCTCTTTTATTAGGAGGTGTGAGTTTTTAAAAAATCATTCTGCTTGGTACTCAGTGGAATTTTTCAGTGTGAAGGCTAATGTCTTTCTTTAGTTCTGGGGAGTTCTCAGCCACTGATTCTTGCATTGCTTCTCTACCATTTTCCCTATACTCATGTCCTAGCCCCCACAGCTCTTACTTTTCTTTTATCTTGTTCTACCACTATATGTTGCATTGTGGAATATGTGTCCATTTAATCTGTCATTTCACTAATTTGCTCTTCAGCTCCGTCTATTCTACTATTGAGTTCACTTTATTTCAAACGTTATAGTTTTCCTCCCCCTTGATTCCAACTGGTTCTTTTTCATGACTCCCATTCTTGTTTTGGTGTTGCTATTTCCCCCTCATCCTTTTGAGAATATAGAAAGCACTTCCTAAGTCCTTTTCAGACTGCTCCATTTTCTGTTTACTCAGAAATTTATTCTTCCATTTCCTTTATTTGTTGTGGGTCACTCCTGGTGTCTCTGTTCCTTGTGTGCTTTGGGGTTCTTGGGTGGAGACCAGCTGCAGGTTTCTCTCATAAGCACCCTGGTCAATAAGCAGCCTTGACCTGCGAGTGGCTACTACCTAAATTCATTCTTAGAACCCTGCTCATCACCACAAGGTGAGGAGTCCAAGGCCTCATGCCCACCTGGAGCTATTTCCAGGTGGTCCTGGAAATCCTTCTACAAATGGCCCCGAGCCTGCTTCCAAAGGTTCCATGGGCCTCTTCACAGGATTCAGATTCCTGAGAGCATACTATATGCTGCTGTTTCTTCACCCTGAAGCCCAAGGTGGGGCCAAATGGCAGCTGTTCGTAGGGATGTGTGAACATTGAGAAGAAGAGCTGGGGTAATCACGGGCATGCATGACAGGCCCCTCAGATGTAGAGCAGAGCCAGGGTGGGGAGAGAAAAGGGCAGGCCACAGCAGGCTCTCACCTCGCTGCTGCATTACAGTATGGAATCCCAGGAGTCTAAGAATTCCAATTTAAACTTGTCCTTTTAACTTGTTATAAAGATGTTTGTGAAAAAAAAAAAAAAAAAAACCAACGTATTTTACTTAACAGATATTAGCTTGATTTATAATTTTAAAATATCTATACATATGGTAGGTGGGCCTCCCTTAGAGTCCTGGGTCCCACAAATGGTAGGAGTAGGCCTGTCTCATAGAGGCTTTTATTGACACTTTAACTTCAGTTCTGCTATGACAGTGTACCAGATTAGGTTGTTTTTTTTGTTTGTTTTTTGCCTAATGAAGCATTTCTGAGCCTCTGCCTGGCTCTTGTCCTTCTGCAGTTTAACGCCAAGTCCTTATCACACCAAGAGGTAAAGTCCAAGGCCACAGGCAGGAATGCCTGACTCTGCTCTGTCTATAATCTTTATTGGGCAGGCACCAGGCTTCAGTTGCACCAGTGTGCAGGAGAAGGGCGCTGGCCCCTCACCTTCAGGCAGGTGACTTGGACCTGGTTCCCTGCCATGCACAGCTCCTACTCACCACCAAAGGTTCCCAGCTACTTCTTTCTTAGGAAAAAGTCTCCATTTCTACATTACGAATATTTTCTTTCTTGCTTTTAAGTGTGTCTACATGTTTATTAATTTTTTCCTGTAATTTTTATGCATTCAGAGCAGAAAGGGAAGGTTTCAGCATATTTTTAATTTGCCATCTAGGCCTGAAAGTAGAGCCTCTGCTTTAAAGTACGGGTGTTGGGCCAGGTGCGGTAGCTCAAGCCTGTAATCCCAGCACTTTGGGAGGCTGAGGTGGGCAGATCACGAGGTCAGGGGATCGAGACCATCCTGGCTAACACGGTGAAACCCCACCTCTACTAAAAATACAATAAAAAAATTAGCCAGGTGTGGTGGCATGCACCTGTACTCCCAGCTACTCGGGAGACTGAGGCAGGAGAATCACTTGAACCCAGGAGGCGGAGGTTGCAGTGAGCCAAGATCGCACCACTGCACTCCAGCCTGGGCGACAGAGTAAGACTCCGTCTCAAAAAAAAGTATGGGTGTTGATAATGCTTAATCTGGATTCATAAAGTGGGCCAGGAAACAAGAATCAAAACTAGAGCCCAGATATGAACATCTTCTTTGTCTGGGACGCAGACTTGATCACAGCTATCTGTTACAATGCGGGGGAAAGTAATCTCATTTAAAAATCATTACCATGAACCAACTATCTCTATGTCCTTGGAGGAATTAGTTAACCTCTCTGGTTCTCAGTTTCCCAGCTATTAATACAACTAAGTGAGTTACATAAGCTAATTTCTAATAATTTCTAAAGGTAGTCTCACTTATTAATTTTATAGGTTCACATAATATAGGCCTAGGCCAGATTTTATTACATTCTAAGAGTTAATTTCTGAGCCTGAAAGATATTTAGCATTTCAGAGATAATGTCAAGTCATCCAAATCATCTAATAAAGTATATAAGGGAGGATTGGTAAATTAAGATATTTTGGCAAATTAAGATAATATGACATACATAGGAATGTGCATTCAGTATTTTACACTCAAAGCTTATGTTTAAAGAAGTATGATTGCTCAATGAAAAGGAAGTGGTTCACTAGGAGAGAGAAATGAGAGGACATAGGTGAGTAGTCAGCAAAGCAACTGCAATATTAAGCTGAAATTCAGCTTCACAGATAGAGTACGATAAAACTACTCACAATAAAAAGATAGTATCTTTATTTGACCAGAAGTATCAGAAAAATTATGAGTCTATGAAGTTGCTGTACTAAGACACTTTATATAGCAACACTGTAAACCACAATTGCCTGTACATGGGCCATTTGAACAGCATGCGTGGTTATCAGCATCGTCATCTGCCAATAGTCAGGAGATTTACCAACTCACCCCAAGTAAGCGTAGCCAGGGTCAAGAGCTCAGGGATTGAGTCCTGACATACTACATATTCTGCAGAGTATGGATCTGTTTGAACGTCAGCATCCCGATAATCAGTCTGAGTGCCCACAGTAGACTTTGAAGGGATGGATAGGTGCTTAGTAGAAGTAGGAGGAAAAGTGTATGGTTCTGCCCTAAAAGAGAAAAATCAGTTTAAAAATTGAAACCTGTTATGGTCACTTAAAATATTATATAATCAAGTAGAAACAAATCTTCGAAGCTTTGTCAAGTCCATTCCTCTTTTAAATGTTGACAGGTACAAA
The DNA here is from genome assembly GCF_000001405.40 of Homo sapiens. Classification (NCBI taxonomy): domain Eukaryota; kingdom Metazoa; phylum Chordata; class Mammalia; order Primates; family Hominidae; genus Homo; species Homo sapiens. The sequence goes on along the minus strand of NC_000003.12, from coordinate 119,715,432 downwards.
ATCATGAATCCATTATAACCAGGATTATGCGCACAAATCTTGAGAGAATTGCCTTGTTATTCTCACCTCTGCCAGGAAACTAAGTGGGTCAAAGTACCATGGTTGACCCACAGAAGTGCCTATTTATATGTGTGTCACTGGGCAAGGTTGTAGAACAGAGCTATTCTAGAATGCTGTACAGCACTTCTGAACCTGTTCAGCATTACTACATTCTCTGGTTTCTTTCTTCTTTGTTTCAGTTCCATACCACTCTCTGTTTCCCTCCAGAAATATGGGAGCAGAGAAAAGAGAAGAGATGGTTTCTGCTGAAAGAAAGAGAGAGAAAAAGGAAGGAAGGGAGGAACCAAGGCAGGCAGGCAGGCAGACAGGCTCTATCTGGATAAATGATTCAATAATTAATGCTGGGATCACTTTGTTATTAACATGTGGGAAAGTTAGCTTGTCTCTTGCAGAAAAATTAATTCCAGATCTTTAAAAAAATTAATGTAAAAATGAGACTATAAAAGTACTAACAGGAAACATAAGTCAATATTTATATCATCTTTGAGTGAAGGTCTTTTTAAGCCGGGCTTAAAAGCCAGAAACCATAAAAGGAGATGATCAATAGAATTGAGGGTAAGTTTCAACTTCTATGCCTCAAAATATCACAAACAAATTTAAAAGGTGAATGGCAAACTTAGAAAAAGGTTTTGGAACATATATGATAAAAAGTTTAAATAGCCTTTCTATATAAAAAGCCCTTGTAAATCAATTAGGCAGTTAAATACCCCATGGAAAAATGAGTAAAGGAGAATTCACAAAACAAAAAGTAAAACTTCTAACAAACATATGAGAAGATAATGAAAATAACTAGTAATCAAAGAAAAGTAAAACAGCAAGATACTATTTTATGCTATTTTATCACATAAGCAAAGATTTAAAAGACTGAAAGTACCTAGCATTGATTATGTTGTGAAGAAACAGGCCTTCTCATAAACTGTTGATGGAAATACAAATAGGTACACCAAATTGACAAGTTAAAATACGCTTTGCTCCAGCGTTTCTTTCTTTTTTTTTTTTTTTTTTTTGAGACGGAGTCTCGCTCTGTCGCCCAGGTTAGAGTGCAGTAGCGCGATCTCGGCTCACTGCAAGCTCCGCCTCCTGGGTTCAGGCCATTCTCCTGCCTCAGCCTTCCGAGTAGCTGGGACTACAGGTGCCCGCCACCACGCCCGGCTAATTTTTTTTTTGTATTTTTAGTAGAGACGGGGTTTCGCCATGTTAGCCAGGATGGTCCCGATCTCCTGACCTCGTGATCCGCCCGTCTCTGCCTCCCAAAGTGCTGGGATTACAGGCGTGAGCCACCGCGCCCGGCTGCTCCAGCATTTCTACTCCTAGGAATTTATTCTAGGAAATAACTGGACAGGTATTCAAAGATATATATGCAAACATGTTCATAAAGTCTCATTTCTAAGAGTGAAAAATTAGAAACTTAAATGATCACATCAATACGAGAATTGTTTAAAAAAATATGAAACAGCCATAATGGAATTTATGCAGCTATTCAAAATAATAATGTAATCTATACCTGTGAGCATTCAAAAATATCCATGATTCATTGTAAAGAAGAAAAAAATGACACTATTAAATGGTATGTATAGTAGGATTCCATTTTTACATTTTAAAACTGTGTTTTTATGCATACAAAAATACCTAGATGTATATACAATAAATTAATAGTAATTATTTCTAGATGGTAAAATTATACAGATAATTTTTTTCATCTTTATACTTTTCTGAATCTTCTTTTTTAACATGTACATGCATTGCCTCTAGAATAAGAAAAAAACCAATATAGCCACTTTGACTTAAGGCATTTTTTTCAAGTTGGTGAAAGCATTGATTAAATTACATAAATAACTAAAGATGAAGGCAAAAACAAAGAGATATTTCCATTTTGAAAAACAGAGGCAATGGTAAGAGCTTATATACGAGCACAGCAAATACATACACCAAAGATGTTTAAAAAAAAAAAAAAGGGCGAGGTACAGTGGCTTATGCCTGTAATCCCAGCACTTTGGGAGGCCAAGGCAGGCGGATCATGAGGTCAGGAGTTCGAGACCAGCCTGGCCAACATGTGAAACTCCCTCTCTACTAAAGATACAAAAAATTAGCTGGGTGTGGTGGCACGTACCTGTAATCCCAGCTACTTGGGAGGCTGAGGAAGGAGAATCACTTGAACCCTGGAGGTGGAGGTTGCAGCGAGCCGAGATCACGCCACTGCACTCCAGCCTGAGTGATGGAGCAAGACTCCATCTCAAAAAATAAATAAATAAATAAATAAATAAATAAATAAATAAATAAATAAATAAAAATAAAATAAAAATTTTTTAAAAAAGCATTTCAAGCCAGTTAGAAAGAAATACCTGTTTGGAAGTTCAACCTGTGCTGGAGCAAGTACTTTAAATAGTTGTTTTTTTTTTTTGTCTTGTTTTGTTTTTTGAGATGGAGTCTCACTCTGCCACCCAGGCTTGAGGACAGTGGCGTGATCTCAGCTCACTGCAACATCCACCTCCCGGGTTCAAGTGATTGTCCTGACTCAGCCTCCCAAGTAGCTGGGATTACAGGTGCCCACCACCTCACCCAGCTAATTTTTGTATTTTTAGTAGAGTCAGAGTCTCATCATGTTGGCCAGGCTGGTCTCAGACTCCTGACCTCAAGTTATCCTCCTGCCTCGGCCTTCCAAAGTGCTGAGATTACAGGTCTGAGCCACCGCACACGGGCTTTAGTTTGTAATGCTGAACTGTAACTGCTATTGAAGTCACTTTCCAATAGTTGCTATAAATTTCTAACATGTAGATAATATATGGCTTCTTATGTTTTCAGTAGAAATTATTCTACTATAAAATTCTAGTTGAATAAATAACTTCAAATCAGCTTTGTCATCCGAAGTCACATGAAGTTTTATTATATTACTGCACCATTATCTTGAATCAAGAGAATAAATTATTTTTTCTCAAATTAAATAATTACACATTTGAACCATGTGATCAAATGTGCTTAGTTTATAATAAGGCCTAATGAACTCCTCTGATGAAGGTTTCTGGCTTCGTATCTTTCCAGGTGGGTCAGGGAATAGAATGTAAAAGAGGAAAGCTACTTTGAACTCTTTCAGTAACTTAATACATGGTTTCTTAACTAACTTCTTAATTTCTCCAACCTATTTTTTCCCCATTTCTGTTGGCTTTAGGGGAGAGTAAAATATGAGTAACAAAGAGCAATGATCCCTTTCCCACCTCCTCCCCAACCTCAAACAGGACCCAAACTCAGAAAGGTCCCACATCTGCTCCATGCTGGCCTGACCCCTGCTGTGTCCTGGCTCCTGCCCTCAGGCTCACCTGCTCTGGCTTTAGTACTCTTATGGCAGCCAGGGCTGCTCTATGTGTTCTATCCAGGCCCTTTCCTCCTCCACCACTGCCCAGGCACCAGGAGCATGCACTGTCTGCCATACCTACAGTCTTCTAGATTTTCTCTCCCAGCCCCAACAGAGCTGTACAGAGAGGGGCTTCACAAACCTAGCAAATCCTGTTCTACTATGAACTTCATTGAATGTTTTAAAAGTATTAACTTTTTATTCTCTTTGAAAAGGTGCTTATGTAGAATCCAAAGGAAAGACTCCAACAGCTAGCCATGAAAAGGGTGTGGCTGGAGAAGGCCAGCTGGTCCCAAGACAATTCCATCCCTGATAACACAAGGTGGCATTATACTCACTGCTCAGAAACTCAAACATACTGGAATTCCAGAATTGACCTCACTCAGGAATACTGATTCATTCTTTAAAAAGTTCTAAGACAGATAGAGAGTAGCTACAATGTCAAATGTCATGGTTTAACTCTTGGATGGAATCTTTATCCCTTGTGTCACGGTTATTTAGGGAGGAGTTGGGGAGGTCATGGTGTTCATCACTGCAGGCCTCTGAACTCCCTAGAATTAGTTAACAACTTTTAGACTGAGGCAGTTATGACCTCCAAAGCAGGTAATTCAGTGAGCCTGATTTTAAAGAATTACCAGAAGGCTCTTTAGGGATCTACATAGCTCATAGCTCCCCTTTTGCTCATACAAAACATTTCATAGAATATAAGTCTACAGCTATTTCTGGATAAACTGGTACCCCAAGAAGTTGCTCTGTCTAGGGAGAGCAGGGAATCTGTACTCCATCTCTATAAAGAGCCAAAGCCATCCACACAGTCTTAAAAAAATGTCAAGGGTGAAGTAGAGTCATAACTAGCATTTATCTTGAGGATTACAGACATTTAATAACACATGTCCTGTTCATATGATGATATATATTATTAGGAATAACTATATTCTTTAAATGCACCCTTGAAAACCTAGTCCTGAATAAATTTGTATTCAGAAATATGAGACCTTAAAAAAGGTTTCTATTCCTGATAATTTCATGAATACCTTAGACTTTTTTCTCTTACAGAAATATTAAATTATATTAACAGAGGAAAGAGTGTAGCAAAAATTAGATTTTTAAAGGAATACTCTACCAGTCTGCTGTCTTGTCCTGAAACTAGAGACAAGAAATACACATTTGTCTCAGATTCAGCCCTTGTCCCTTACCTCCCTCTTACCTTGGTTCACTCCGTTGTGGGGCAGAAACCATGTTTTATTTATCTTTGTATACCACATTATCTGTGTAGATTAGATGGTTATTAAGTTATAAAATTCTAGCATTCAAAAAATATTACATGACTGATTTGTTTATTTAATGAAATGTTGAAGAACTGTCATCAAATAAGTGTTTCAGAGAAGCAAAAGAAGATATTTAAAGCACTTTTCAACTTTTTTAAACTACAACTGCTACAATTTGAATATGTGTCTGTGTCTTCTCCAAAATTCATGTTTAAACTTAGTCCCCATTGTCGTGGTATTAAGAGGTAAGGCTTTTAGGGGAAGTGATTAAGTCACGAGGACTCCACCCTCATCAATGGATTAGTGCCTTATAAAAGGATTACAGAGAACTAGCATAGGTCCTTTTTGGCCTTCCACCTTCCTCCACGTGAGGACACAGCATTTGCTTCTTCTGCCATGTGAAGACACAGCAAGAAGGCCCTCACCGACACTGACTGCCCATTGGACTGCCTTGCTTCTTGGACTGCCCAGCCTTCAGAACTTCAAGAAATAAATTTATTTTATTTATATCACCCAATCTGTTAATTTGTTATAGCAGCACAAATGGACAACTAACAGTAAGAAATACATTTTATATCATAATCCATCATATACATATAAACATATGCATATATTTTTCTGAAACAAAAGTTATAAACAAAAACCAACTTACCCTCCATATACTTGATGCTTTGGTTATTTTCTATTCTGTTTCATGTTTTAAAATGCTGCTCATGACACACTAGAAGATTTCATACCCTTCTAATGTTTTGTGATCCACAATTTGAAAAATAGTGATTTAGTGAACTATCTTCTAAGAAAAAATATGGAAGCAAACAATAAATAAACTGAAAAAGAGTTTTCAAATAATGGTTACTTACTTGGATACGGCATAAACAACATTGAATGGCATCTGCTGAAAAAATGGGAGAAAAGGCCTGGGAGGAAAAAGAAAACATAAATGTGTGGGACTTTTGCAATGAATGCACTCTAAGCTCTCTTCCAGCTCTAATATTTGTCCCTTAAAAATCAGTGAGCTTAAATATCCCATATATCAGTGTTACTCAAACTTCTGGACATAAAAAATCACTGCAGGGTGGGGAGGTTCTTGTCTAAAATGCAGATTCCCAGGTCTGGCCCATGAGATTCAGTACATATAGGGTAGAGCCAATGAATGTGCATTCTTAATAAACACTCCAGTATTTTCTCTTCAGATGGGAAACAAGTCACACTTGAAGAAGCCACACTTTAAGCCCTGTACTTGGGCTTCAGCTGGCCATTAGTTCCCAACAACTTCTCAAGTTCCTGAGACATTCTGGAATTCACAGTGATTTAATATGAAGCCTCCCCCTAAAAGTTAAGAATTGTACAGTTAACTGTACAGAATTGTATAGTTAACAGTTAAGAATTTAACATTTCTCTGGAAAAGTCAGTATCACAAAATTTCCATAAGGAGGTTGCTCATAAATAATAATGTGGATTAGAAATTTACTTTCTCAAGGAAGCTTATACAGATGTGGTATCAAGACTATTTTTTCTAACTCCAGTAGGATATATAAGGAAATCCCCATCTAATTTTAATTTGATTTGAGTATATGGTTATTACATAAGCATAAATCACAAATGAAATAAAATGAACCTTTTGGCCTTGTTGGTTTAGGCAAGATTCATACAAAGAGAACAAATGTTATCCCTTTGAACACAAGTTTCCCCTTCACTATGACTTCATGGTATCTCCAACTGTGTGTCGTTCATTTGATGACTTCATTTCAAATATTTTCAAATACATATTCTTAGTTGCAATCAGTATCTCTAAAGTCAGGCAGGCTTAGTTGGAACCCCAGATCTACCCCTTGCTAGCTTATATGACCTTGAGCAATCTATTTATCATCTCTCGGTCTCAGCTTCATTACTGGTAAAACAGGGATCATATATATCTTAGCCTACATTCCTGTTTTAACGATTAGATCATATGCATGTAAAGCACTTAAAATAGAGTCTGGCACGTTGTATGCACTGAAAAATGATAACTATTATTATTATCATAAAGAGGTTCTCTAATAATATTAGGGCTCAAATATTCATTAGTAATTATGTTCTACCTTTCAAAGTATTTATAGCGATTCTTTCCAGTAACTTCAGGATCTTCATAAACTTCTTTAGGCATCTGAAAAGAAGCGTCAGTTCTAAAATGAAGCAAGAAAACATTATTCAAGTCTAAAATATTTCCACATATAATTTCTATTTAATATTTCTATGTGTATAGAGTAGGACCTACACAGAGTATCTCATACTGAGAGTAAAGTCTTCCATAACCTGCATTTGACTGCCATACAACTTAGAGTATATATGATTCTTCCCCTGAGCCAGGAGACCAGAACCTAGTCAGACAGAGCAAGAGCTGAGAAAAGAGTGGATTTATGAAATCCCACATACAAAAATGCCCAATTTTAATTAAAAGCACACAAGAATAGCAAAATATTAAAAGACAATTTTTTTTTTTTTTTTTTTTGAGACAGAGTCTCGCTCTGTCACCCAGGCTGGAGTGCAGTGGTGCAATCTCCACCTCCTGGGTTCATGCCATTCTCCTGCCTCAGCCTCCCAAGTAGCTGGGACTACAGGCACCTGCCACCACACCCGGCTAACTTTTTGTATTTTTAGTAGAGACGGGGTTTCACCGTGTTAGCCAGGATGGTCTCAATCTCCTGACCTCATGATCCGCCTGCCTCGGCCTCCCAAAGTGCTGGGATTACAGGCGTGAGCCACTGTGCCTGGCCAAAAGACACTTTTTCTATGTCCAGGTTAAAAGGCTTTATAATTTTTAATTTACTAAATGTGAACTTGTAAGTAATTAAAAGAATAAAGAATTCGACTTATTCTTGAAGGTGCTTTGGCCCCAAGTTCCCAAAAAATATTTTAGATACTAGCAGAACAGAGCACTTTCAGTTGCTAAGTTGGATCCAAGCAACAACAAACTCAATCATCCCTACCTTTGGTGGCAAGTTGTCATTATATATATGACAAAATTATATATATATATATATCTCATATATACAATATATAATCAGGTTTGTTTGGTCAAAAGAGGTTTAGAAAGAAAATTTGGCCTAGGTATAACACCACAACTGAACATTTTAAAACCACACATGGTAAATGAATTTAAAGAAATGCTTTTAATGCATTTATTTTAGGCCCTGGAGCCACCCGACACTTACGTGGTGAGCTGCCGGAGGGCTTCTCTGTGTTTCTCCTTATGTCCCTTCCATTCCCGACTGATAAATGGTGGGACAGGATCTGACTTGCTCCAATATAGAGAATATCTTGGATAATGGATCAGGTTACTGAACATGGTTTTAAACCTGGGAACTTTTCTCTAATGTTAGAGAAGGGAGGCAAAGGACAAAATTATACCATCAGCTTTTCTAAAGCATTTTAATTACATTGTAAACTCTTTTTAAAAACATACAAAACAATGTATACAGCATAAGAAGAGGGGTTATTGCTGTATGCGTAAAATATCTTTAAATACATGCCCAAGAAACTGATGACAATGGCTGTTTATGTGGAGGGGGTAGGGGATAGGGCTAGAATTTACTTCACACTGTATATGCTTTTATACTACTTGAATTCTTTTAACATGGGCATATATTATTAAATTTATCCCATTGAAATAAATTAGCTTATGGGTTCTCTGTTCATTATTGGTGACTTAATCCTCACAATGAGCCACACGTATTAAGATGCTTTGCCCTCCAGTAATCTTGGCAAGGTAATTTCTGTGGAACCTAAAATCCAGTGAAGATTTGGTGATTAGTCAATCTGATCAATGCAGTCAGGCAAACTAGATGGTTCAGGTTCATCAGGTAGCCTTGGCTGATGAATTAGACATACCAGTCTGCTGCGAATCAGGGTAGCTTGGATATTTGCCTGTGTATGGTCTTTCTCACTTGACACAATAAACAATGGATCTGCAAAATAAACAATCAAGTAGCATAACAGATAGAACATATCTACCCCTAGGCTGAGAATAATGGCAAAGTAATGTAATCTCTTAATTGGAAAACAAATTTAAAAGTTTAAATATTGTCTGACTCTGCAGCAGCTCATGCTCTGTTGTGCATGTGGCCCTGTTACTCTACCACTTCTACCAGCAACAGTTGTCAAGATGTTTTTCTTTTCTGAGTATTCCAAGTCAGCTTACGGAAGTGGAATTCATAAAGAAAGTCTAGCATGTTTTCAAGTACTACACCCTGAACACACTTTCTTCTCTCCTATGAACAAAACTCCTTTTGAGCCTGGGTAACCCAAAAAATTCTTCAAGGGAAAGACCTTGTATATACGCACTATGCCAATTTGCAAGTGAAAGAAGCAATACATTTATACCATCTCCCATATTTGGTGCACTAGAAAGATGCAAACCACATGATATCTCAGAATTGGTGAACACGGTTAAAAAAAAAATCAGCTATCTTCAGAATTCACCCCTTAAGTTTGTAAGTTTGCTGATGATGGAACTGTTATTTTTACAAAGTTCAACAAAATATTGCCCTGCTATTATAAGTATCTGTTTATCAGGTATATCTTTAAAGTGATGAAGAATATTCATGATTGACTATACTGTACCACCCTTTAAAATCAACTGATTTGCCATTAAATTAACAAGCAGCCTTTGGATACACTTGATTTCCCAAGTAGACTTGTCTCTGGGGAGGCAAATACCCTGACCAGCTAGTCTAGATAACATGGTAACACATATTTCTCCATAGAAATTAATAATTTGGGAATTGTGATTTAGAAACAAGTCTCTTTTGAATTTGGATAATGTGTGTCAATTCCTAAAACCTAATAATTCATTAGTAACCCAACAAATACGATTTACTGAATGCAGACATTGGATATTCCCACCAAGGCTGAAAAGCTGCAAGAGGCTCAGGCTCTTTTTGCTCCTTCATTCAACACATGTTTATTGACTGGCTACTCTATCTAGGTGCTTAGAATACATCAACAAAACGACAAAAATCTTTGACTTCATGAGAGAGAGACAACAAACAACAAACATAATAAACTAGCAAATTACACATTAGAATTTGAGGGTTGTTATTTTTAAAAAAGAAGAAATCGGGTAAGGAAGATTGGGTTGCAATTTTAACTAGGGTGGTCGGGGCAGGCCCTTGAGAAGGTGGCATGTAAGGAGACTTGAAGGTGAGGGAGTTAGCTAGTTAGATATCTGAAGAACATTCTAGGATGGGAGCATGCCTGATACATCTGAAGAACAGCAAAGTCCCTAGGATGGGAACATGCCTGATACGTCTGAAGAATAGCAAAGAAACCAGGACAAATGAGGCAGAATGAAGGAGGGGAAAGAGAGTAGATAAGAGGCCAGAGAAGTAACTAGGGAACTAATCACATAGGGCTTCATAAGGAAGGGTAAAAGAACCTGGAAAGGTGTTCATCTTTGCACCACCACAGTTCTGTCAAGGTGGAAACCTGGCCCAAGGCCAGTCAATTCATTGGCCAGCCAACAACCAATCTTAAATTTCTAACTTAAATTTTCAGCTACAATACACAAAGACGCTATACAATTGGTGGTGAGCTTTAGGGCTAATTAGTCAAGAAGCACGCCACCCTAGTCCCTATCATAGTAAGAGAAATCCATACACAAGAGGCTTTCTGTCAGATGGAAGGAAGCAAGCATAGAGATGTGTTGCTTAATGATGGGGATACGTTCTTAGAAACGGGTTATGAGGTGAGCTTATCGTTGTGTAAATATCAGAGGGTACTTAACATAAACCTAGCTGGTATAGCCTACTCCACACCTAGGCTATATAGTATAGCCTATTGCTCCTAGGCTACAAACCCATACAGCATGTTATTGTACTGAATACTGTAGACAGTTGTAACACAATGGTATTTGTATATCTAAACACAGAAAAAGTGATGCATTGGGCTACAATGTTATGACAGCTACAATGTCACGAAGTAATTGGAGTTTTTCAACTTCATTATAATCTTATGGGACCATCCTTATACATGTAGTCCACTGTTGACCGAAATATCATTACTTGGGGCTTGATTATACATAGAAAGAAGGCTAGAGTTGCCAGATAAAATACAGGATGCCCAGTTAAATTTAAATTCAGATACACAATGAATAATTTTTTAGTATAAATGTGTTCCAAAATATTGCACAGGACAAAAATTTATACTAAAATATTATTCATTATCTGAAATTCAAGCTTAACGGTGCCTCTTGTATTTTTATTTGCTAAATGTGGCAACCCTAACAAGGTGAAAGGTCATAAGGTCAAAGAAAGAAAGCAGGAGAGCACAGCATCTTAGTTCTGATTTTCCCCATCCAGGTTCTCATCCGCCCTGGCTATACTTCGCTTCCTGTCCATGACTAGCGGCGAGATTGTTTTATAACAATCCAAACTTTTATTTGATCTACTCTGAGTGAATTTCTGTTCTTAGCAAGGGACATGGAAACATTTAGCAATTCCTCTGCAAAAGAGACACTTCGGCATCAAAGAAACAACCAGCTTAATAAATACTTTGGGGAGATGTTTGTCCTCCTTCTCAAATTACCCGTGAAAAAAAAACATGGTGATGTGTTTACAGGAGCTAACTTGATTTATTTCACAAAACCAAGAGTAAATACAGAAAAACACTGGCCAGAATATGTCAGCAATCATTACACAGCCTCTATCTAGGAATGTGTACCCTAGATTCCCACACAAAGGAGACTGGGATTCCCAGAGGCAACACCACATTGCTGAAAGCAATGCAAGGTTCAGGTGAAAAACCTGGGATTGCAGAGGGCAAAATTGGAAAAAATCATGCTTATAGCTGGTTACAGTTCTTGCCACGGCAAATTCAATAAACATTTATTTATTGAAGCGCCTAGTATATGTATCAGCACTAGAATAGGTGCTCAGAAGGCTACAAAAATGTGTAGAACAGGAACTTAAGGAACTCAAGGAGCGTGGAGAGAGAGAAAACATAAAATGGACAACCAAGCCGTTAAAATAAACTGGGGTTTTATTGGCCCAAGAGGAGCCAGCGGACCCAGTCTATAAGCAATGCTTTGACGCAGAAGTTAAAAAAAACAAACAACAACAACAACAAAAAACCTAAAAACAAGCATGGGATAAACTGGCACTTCTTTTCGCCCAACTTGGATTTGCCCAGAGAGTTGGAGAGAAAAGATCATTTTTGTAGGGCATTTTATGCAGGAACGTTGAGTGAATCTCCGAGTGTACAAATCGTTGCACACTTTCTGGGTACCAAAACGCCCGGAACAGGTTTCAGGAAAATCGCCCCCCGAAGCGGAGCGCACCCGCGCCTTTCGATGTACCCGAACCCCCGACCCCAACCTGAGTGCGGCCACCTGGAGGGCTCGGAGCTGCCCCCACCCGACCAAGGACAACCGTGGGCAAGAGGTCAGTCCAGAGGGTCGTGTTTCGTTCGCCATGCCCCTGGCCAGGTCCCACCATCTGGGAGCCCACCTGGCCTAGGAGGCGACGGACGCGGAGGAAGGTCTGCGGCGGTCCTTACCGTACAGAAAATCATACGCTCGATTGGAGGAGATGTGGCTCCCAGCCCGCGACCTCTCCCGGTACCGAGTTTGAGACACCTGCGGCTGGGCCTGGGGCTCCTCGATGGTTACTGCGTGGCTCATGGTGCCGCCTCTTTCCTCCCGCCAGCAAGGGACCAGCGGGTCAGGCCTGGCTACTGCGTGCACGTCGCTATGGTAACGGCCGCCGGCGCGCAGGGATAGGGGGCGGGGCAAGGAGGAGGGAGGAGGCCGCGGGGCGGGGCCGAAGAGGAGTGGAGAGAAGTGAAAGCAGGAGTGGCCAGGCCAGGGTCAGGAGGAGAGTGGAGGGGAAGATGAGAAGAGAGGGGAGGGGCAGGATGGGGGAGGAAAAGGCTGGCTTCCCTCTATACTCCAGAGCCAGCGGGGAGGCTGGGAGAAAGCTACTCTTAAGTCATTGATTTGCCAGTTACACCTCGTAGCCTCTCGGAAATCCCTGGGAGATCTCAGAACCTTCTAGAATAATTGGGTGCCTCCCCGCCCCTCCCCCCAGCCCTTTTCCAGGGGGCTTGTCCCGAGAGCTGCGGAATCCAGTCAGGTTCCTAAATGTTGCTCCTTAGCACGCTGTGAACTTTGCCCCACACTCATTAGCATCAGTGTTTAGGATGGGTTAGGACATCAGTAACTGTTGATCTGAGACTGCTGACCCTTTCTGAGTCCTGGGCATTAAATAACAGAAGATGATGTGGGGTAGGCACTGGCTCTGCTTTTGAAAACTATTTATAATGGAAAATTTTAAACATAAGCAAAAGTGATTCTACTTTTAATAACAAACCCTCAAGTAACCCATCCCTCAGAATCAACATTTAGCAACATTTTGCCAATCAAGTTTCAGTTTCCTTCCCCTCTTTTTTAAAGAAATCCTAGACATAATATTATTTTACCCTTAAATTAGTCTGCATCTCAAACTGACATAGATTTTAAAAATTTAACTACCGTTATCATATCTAACAAAATTAACAATAATTCCTTAGTACTATAAATAATTCCAATTTTCCTGTTTGAGTCCAAATTATCTTTTATAGTTGGTTTGTTCCAGTCAAGATCCAAAAAAAGTCCTCATGTTGCATTTTGGTATGTCTCTTAAGTCTTTTATCCTAGAGCAGTGAATTTCTAATCCTTTCAATAATTCTCTATTATTACCAGAGGTTCTTCTATAAAAGGAATCTTTTCATACCAACTCATTGGTTATCCTGAGATAACCAGGATAATCTCATAGAGGAAAGACTGGGTAAATGCTGGATTTGTTCTTTTTAATTATGAAATTTCAGAGACATGAGTTGGTGCCCTACCAAACTCCAGAGTTAACCACAAAGTTTTTGTTTGTTTGATATCATTATGAATGCATGCATTTTTTACAGATCTGATGTTTTAATCCGTTATGATCATTATTATTTATTACACTCAGATTATTAAAGCTAATGGCATGCCTTAGAGTTGGCTTCTTTGTCCTTTAATGTTGAGACGAGAAGTCTTCTTCCGATCAAAGGTTTTTCTCGATCGAAGGGTTCATGGTCTCACAGGCTTCAAGGAATGAAGCCGTGGACCACAGTGGCAAGTGTTACAGCTTCACTAGAGAAATGCGTGGACCCAAAGACTGTGCGGTGGCAAGATTTATTAAAGCCAAAGCAAAAGTAAAGGGAAAGCGAAAGTAAAGCTTCCACGTGGTGGAAGGGAACCTGGAAGGGTTGCCATTTCTGGTTTGGGTATCTTATGTTTATATCCCCTTATGACTCCTCCCCTTTTCCTTTTTCTGTCCCATAGGATTAGGTTATTTTCTATCCACTTGTGGGTTTGTAGCCGGACGAGCCACAGACAAGAACCGCTCAGACACCGAGTTATGGAAGGAAAGGGCTTTATTCAGCTGGGAGCATTGGCGGACTCACATCTTCGAAAACCGAGCTCCCGGAGTGAGCAATTCCTGTCCCTTTTAAGGGCATACAACTCTAAGAGGGTCTGCGTGAGTGGGTCGTGATCGATTGAGCAAGTAGTGGGTATGTGACTGGGAGCTGCATGCACTGGTAATCGGAACAGAACAGAATAGGACAGGGATTTTCACAATGCTTTTCCATACAATGTCTGGAATCTATAGATAACATATCGGTTAGGTCAGGGGTCAATCTGTAACTACCAGGCCCAGAGCACAGTGCTGGGCTGTCTGCCTGTGGATTTCATTTCTGCCTTTTTGTTTTAAATTCTTCTTTCTTTGGAGGCAGAAATTGGGCATAACACAATATGAGGGGTGGTCTCCTCTCTTAGGTTGGTGGGCCTGATTGGTTAAAAACATCAGGCTGCAGCTAGAGCTTAAACTCTCTATATGATTGGCTGAAGTTTCAATCCCTTAATTTGCAGCTGGGACTCACTTTGGCTTAGGGGAAAGTCCCCTTTGATTGGTTGAAGTTTCAATCCCTTAGCTTGCAGCTATGACTCATTTTGGCTTAGGGGAAAGTCCCCTTAGGGAAGTCCCTATTGAACCAGGAAGTCCAGCCAACTTAGCCACTTAGTCCCTCAATGTGATCCACAGACACTTCCTGAATACGCTTCCTGGCCTACTACTCTTTCTGCATATACTCCTGGTTTTAACTTATTGTCTCTACTCCTAAACTTCTTGGGGTTTTTGAAAACCAGCCATGTCCTAGGTCTGTCTGTGTACTTTCTTGTAAAATCCAGTTTTAGCAAAGAACCGTGCTATGTCAGTTTGGTAAGAATCCCCCATCCTAGATATCTGACTGGGGTCCTCATCCTTCGCTTTCGCTTTTCACCCCCAGGTGAAGTCTGATTACCCTGGCTGTCTTCAGCAAGAATCCTTTGAGATGAGTTTAACCAGAATTCTCTTTACCTCTGATATTTCCTCTTAGTAATTTTTCATCCACTGACCCTCAGCCTGCTCTTTGCTATAAATTTCTACTTGCTTATGCTATATTCGGAGTTGAACCCAATCCCTCCCCCAACTACAAGACCCTGTTGCAGTAATTCCTATATCTATTGCAATGGTCTTGAACGCACTCTGCCTGTCCATGCCTTAATAAGATCATTGAATAATTTTTTCTTTAACACCCCTCAACTAATTTAGGTACATTTCAACACTCACCTCTAACTTTGCCACTTCTATGCAGTTTCCTCATATCTTTCAAATACAGTGAGATATCATCCTTCCAATGCTGTAGTAGCACCAATAGCATTGACCACCTTGTATTAGTAATCAGTAATTGTTCACAACTCTGCTTCCCACAACTTTGAGTTCACTGAGGGCACAGCCCTTCACCTGGTCATTTTTGTATCTCTGAGGTATCTGGTACATGAAATCTTAATGAAATGATTACTAAATCCATCCCTTTGTTAAATAAATTTACTGAATGTCTACTATATAATAGGTGTTAAAGATTTTGAGATAATTTGTACAGCTCACTGGATGATAGAGAAAGCTGACACAGAAGCAAAGTACAATATAATAATGGTATAGTACTTTTCTGTCTGGGGTACAGCTACGTTCTCAGAGCCGCCCACTTTTCGTTTCTTCTTCTCAATGTTCCTCACTCCCACCTCCTTATCTTCTCACAGCTAGCTCCTCAACATATGACATCACCTAAAATGTTCTCTCTATACCGGAAAGGGGTCTGCATCCAGACCCCAAGAGAATGTTCTTGGATCTCACGCAAGACAGAATTCAGGGCGAGTCCATAAAGTGAAAACAAGTTTATTAAGAATGTAAAGGAATAAAACAATGGCTATTCCACAGACAGAGCACCCCCGAGGGCTCTGATTATTTCTTGATGATATGCTAAACAAGGTGTGGATTATCCATGCCTTCCCTTTTAGACCATACAGGGTAACTTCCTGACATGCCATGGCATTTGTAAACTGTCATGCTACTGTGGGAGTGTAACAGTGAGCAAAACCAGAGGTCACTCTCATGGCCATCTTGGTTTTGGTGGGTTTTAGCCAGCTTCTTTGCTGCAATCTGTTTTATCAGCAAGGTCTTTATGACCTGTATCTTGTGCTGACCTCCTGTCTCATACTGTGACTTAGAATGCCTAACCATCTGGAAATGTAGCCCAGTAGGTCTCAGCCTTATTTTACCTAGCCCCTACTCAAAATGGAGTTGCCCAGGTTTAAACGCCTCTGGCAATCTCATCAGAAAGACTTTTCCTCAGCCAGCCATGGTGACTTACGCCTGTAATCCCAGCACTTTGGGAGGCTGAGGCAGGCAGATCACCTGAGGCCAGGAGTTCAAGACCAGCCTGACCAACATGGTGAAACCCCGTCTCTACTAAAAATACAAAAAAATTAGCCAGGCGTGGTGGTAGGCGCCTGTAATCCCAGCTACTCAGGAGGCTGAGGCAGGAGAATTGCTTGAACCTGGGAGGCGGAGGTTGCAGTGAGCTGAGATGGCACCACTGCACTCTAGCCTGGGCAACAAGAGCAAGACTCTGTCTCAAAAAAAAAAGAAAGAAAAGAAGAAGAAGAAAGACTTCTTTTCCTCATTCTATCAGATAAACTATCTAAGGTAGTCAACAGCCAGCAGCCTCCATAAACACATCCGAAGACACTATTACCTTGATTTTTTTTATAGCACTGAAATGTTACTGATTTGCTTATTTATTATATCTCCTCCCACTAGAATGTAAGCTCTGTGAGACCAGAGACCTCAAATGTCCTGTTCACCCTGAATTCATCCATATCTCTTAGGCCAGTAAAACCACCTTTGCAAAAGATTATAACTGAGAAAATTATGACAGTGAGAAAAATCTGACATGGCTGAGTCCATCTTGACTCTAGCCTCACAGGTTGGCTGTCTTTGCTCATTCTGGGACATGAGCCAAGCTAACTTTGGGAGAAATTTAGAGTATACTTTTGTTTGTTTGTTTTTTGTTTTTGTTTTGAGATGGAGTCTTGCTCTGTTGCCCAGGCTGGAGTGCAGTGGCACAATCTTGGCTCACTGCAACCTCCACCTCCCAGATTCAAGTGATTCTCCTGCCTCAGCATCCTGAGTAGCTGGGATTACAGGTGCCCACCACCACACCCAGCTAATTTTTTGTATTTTTTAGTAGAGACAGGGTTTAGCCATGTTGGCCAGGCTGGTCTTGAACTCCTGATCTCAGGTGATCCACCTGCCTGGGCCTCCCAAAGTGCTGGGATTACAGGCGTGAGCCACCGTGCCTGGCCTAGTTTATAGTTTAAATGATAATAGCCCCTCCCAAAAACTAAACTATTTTTATAAAATGAGTGAAAGTCCACAAAGTTAGGATGAAAGGGGCCTGAATTATAAATAATTACCAGCCATTTTTTCGGAGGTCATAAGATTTGCAACTTCCCCAATTACTCTTGAAGATAACATCACTATTATAGAACCTAAGACTGGCCTTTTGAGGTATCTTTTTAGGCCTTTGCATTTCTGACAACCAGATGGCCCCACCTGGACCTGCCAACGAGTCCTGTCGTCCTCCACCTAGGAACTGACTCAGCCCAAGAGGACAGCTTCAATTCCCTATGGTGTCATCTCCAACCCAGCCAATTAGTATGCCATGCCCCCTACCATACCCCCCTTGCCCTCCACACTGTCTCCGAAAAACCCCTAACCTCCAAGCGTTTGGGGAGTAATAACAAAACTCCAGTCTCTTGTACAGCTGGCTCTGTGTGAATTAAACTCTTTTTCTATTGCAGTTCCCCTATCTTATAAACTGACTCTGTCTAGCCAGCGAGCAAGGAGAACTCACTGGGTAGTTACACCAGCACCTGGCACAAAGCAGGTGCTAAAGGAAAATACATTGGAATGAATTGAGCTACTGAATTATTCATGTATTTACCTGTCTGCCATCAGTGACTTTCACTTCTGTCTCACTGCCAATTTCATACCTTCACAATCTTTAAGATATTCCATTTCAAATGACCAAACATCTACTAGACAAACTCAATACATCCTCAGTAAAACTAACACTTCCGTACACTGCAGAAACTCTAATACAGTGATTAACTACGTGAACATTAGAATCAGATTTCCTAAGTTTGAATCTTTGTTCTAAAACAGTTCGTGTGATCTTCGGCATTTACTTAATATCCACATGCATCAGTTTCCAAAACACTAAAATGAGAACAAACAGCAATAATATCAGGGAAAATTATGGGAGGTAACACCTACAAAGGACTTAGAACACAGTCTGTTAGATAGCGAGTGTCCGATAAATGTTATAATACTACCTAGCTTCATAAATCTTCTCAATTTCTCCATTTCTGTCTTCGTGCATCATGAGCTTCCCATTTACCTAGAACTACATCTGATATTCATCTTAAAATATGTAAGAATACAAAGGGCAAATGTAGGGCTAAAGAATAGGCATGACTGTTAAAGATATAATTCATATACTTAAACACATATTTACATTTCACTACTAACTGAATAGCATTTAGTAGCTAAATGTAAGTAAACATGGATTTAAATATATAAATTTAGTAGCTAAATGCTATTCAGTTACATTTAGTAGCAAAATGTAACTACTATGTAACTACCAGTTACATAGTACTAGCAGTAGTATCAGCAGTATTAGTACTGTGTACTACTAATACATACTATTAGTTACTATGTAACTATTACATAGTAACATTTACTACTACATTACATGGTAGTTACATTTAGCTTCTAAATGCTATACATCAGCTTTTGCTACTGTTGGAAAACATCAGTTCAATCAGAAAAAACAAATGTTATTAGAAAACAAAATTTCCAGTTTAAGCTGGCTCATTAGGTGAAATTTTAAATTTACAGGTTAGTATATATATATATATATATAGAGAGAGAGAGAGAGCATTTAGGCCAGGTATGGTCGCTCATGCCTGTATTCCCAGTACTTTGGGAGGCTGAGGCAAGAGGATCACTTGAAGCCAGGAGTTTGAGACCACGCTGGGCAACATAGTGGGATCCTCTCTCTACAACAACAACAGCAACAAAATTAGCTGGGCGTGGTGTCATGCGCCTGTAGTCCTAGCTACTCAGTGGCTGAGGTGGGAGGATAGCTTGAGCCCAGGATTTTGAGGCTGCAGTGAGCATTTGATTTTGATCAGTGTTTTGCAACTTATTGGAGTTTGTTCTGAATTTTGGTTGATGGTCTCACAGCTATAGAAAGGAAGAAATTCTTCCCAACCGGAAGCTAAAGACAAAAATACACAGGCTTGATCTCATTTATTTTAGGTAGTTCACCAACTTTTATTCATTTGTGTGTATGTTCACACAGTCTCTTATTAGCTTTTTATCTTCTATCAATAACAAATATATAGAGAGATGAATCTCCAAGCAAAAGAGGGTTTATTTTGGAATAAAGAAATAGGGTTGCAATCTGGTACACATGCGTAGACCAGGGTGGTCTCTGATATGTGGTAGAACAAAAAAATGGTGAAGGTTTTATTGGGAAAGGAGAAAGAGTATGTGGGTTGTTATGAAAGAAAGCTCTTTGGTGCTTGCAACATGTTTTTTGCAGGAGCTGGTGAGCTCTGATTGGTCAGTGGCCACAATTTCTAGGTAAAACTAGTTTTAAAGTCATGGTGGCTGTTTCCTTGTAAAACTAGTCTTAAAACTGTAGCAGCTGTTTCGTTGAATTGGGCTTACTGGACAGTTTCTGGAGCAGGCTTTTGAGACCTGAGTTTTGTTTTCATTTTTGTTTTTTCTCTATGCCCCCCCACCCTGCACTGTAAATTTTAGTTGGGTATGACAGGTATGACTCCATTTAGATAATCAACTTTCACATTCTGCTCCCTGCCACCCCCCCACCTTTTTTTTTTTTTTTGAGACGGAGTCTTGCCCTGTTGGCCACTCTGGAGGGCAGTGGCGCCATCTCGGCACACTGCAACCTCTGCCTTCCAGCCTCCAGCAATTCTTGTGCCTCAGCCTCCCGAGTAGCTGGGATTACAGGCATGTGCAACCACTTCAGGCTAATTTTTGTATTTTTAGTAGAGACGGGGTTTCATCATGTTGGCCAGGCTGGTCTCGAACTCCTGACCTCAAATGATGCACCCGCCTCAGCCTCCCCAAAGTGCTGAGATTACAGACGTGAGCCCCCGCGCCCACATTTCCCTTTTTTGACTAAGATCTTTCCCTGAAAGCATCACTGGTCAACTATCCTTGAAGTTAGGCTTGATCTCCCTCAATGCCGGGATGTGCTTTGTCCTAGTTGTTCTGACCCCACACTAGAGGGAAAATAGGAGTCAATAGGAGTCAACATTAGAGGCCCAAGTCACATTTGGACAACAAAGGGGCCGGAAGGAAAGACCCTTACAGGATAGGTCTACCTGAGATTCAGCATTGGATTCCATCTTATCAGTTACACAGGCATTAGCAATCATCTGGAAGCACTGGACTAACATTTTCCTGTTGGGAAAGCAGGCTTTGCAAAGATTAGACAGGCAACAATAATGTAACTTAACTATCATAATGTCAAGAATAAGCAGCAATAGTATCATGAATTCAGTTTGAAAAATAGCTCTAAACCATGAATCTTATTTTGAAGGTAAGTCACTAAACAGATTGAAAAGTCCAAATGCATTGGGTGGAACTTTCTGGAGCCAGGTGGCATGTTCCGTTATCTTTCATAATTGTGTTTTCTACTTCCATGTGCAGCTAGTGTAAGCAATTGCACGAATACCACCTTGTTCAGCTAATAAGCAATCTAGAGCAATCCTGTTATCGAAAACCACTTTGGCAAGAAAATCTAAGGAAGTTTGGTGAGCTGCCATGGCTTTGGCTGTGGAGTCAGCTGGAGCTCCAATAGTTAGGGATAAATTTCTAACCATTATTTCTAAGGTACTAACCCCAATCCAGAGGAAGAAGGATCTAACAACTGAGGCCCATCCTGCTGAGTTTATGCCTCTAGGTAGAGTGTCTTTTTTGATATGATGGTGCAAGTTAGTAGATGTCAACCAATGTTCAGATTTTGCAAGTTTAAATTGAATGTAGAAATATCCCAGACCACATTGGTGCTTTATTTTCCATTTATTGAGACATGATGTTGCCCATGAATAAAGCTGACTGTAGGCTCCCCCACAGATGAAAATGTATCTCGATGTGTCACAACAGGTAATTCCACGTAGATGGAGTACCTTGTGCATTAACAGTTACTTGTAGGGAGGTGTCAACAGTAATTATCCAGGGTTCTATTATTGAATTATTGCACTGTTGGAAGTCATCAACAATTAGAGGAGGAAGGTCATAAATATTTTTATAAGCTGTCAAATTTCTTTTCTCTTGAATTCTATCAGCATGTTGTTTGCATAATCTTAATCTAACTTCAAGGCCTTTTTTGTAGATCTTAGGTAATGTTAGGGTGAAACAGGAAATCTGAATATGTGAGTCTAAAAGCTTGACCTTGTAAAAAGGACTAGATGTATAATTAGAACAGTTACATGGGGAATATCAGTAAAATCTGTTCTGAGGGCTGGGCACCGCTGGTCACACCTGTAATCCCAGCACTTTGGGAGACCAAGGTGGGCAGATCACAAGGTCGGGAGTTTGAGAACAGCCTGACCAACACAGTGAAACCCCGTCTCTACTAAAAATACAAAAATTAGCTGGGCCTGGTGGTGCGCCTGTAATCCCAGCTACTCAGGAAGCCAAGGCAGGAGAATCGCTTGAACCCAGGAGGCAGAGGTTGCAGTGAGCCAAGGTCACACCACGGCACTCCAGCCTGGGCAACAGAGCAAGACTCCATCTCAAAAAAAAAAAAAAAAATCCATTATGAGTTAGACCAGGGGTTCACTTGCATCATGGAGATTGAAGTTTTTTTGGTACCAAATCCAATAAATCGGTTATGTTTCTCATTTTGGAAATAGATTAGAAAATGCAAATTAGAGCCTTATTTTTCCAGGAAAATAAAAGCACATAAGAAGAGACCAATAGTAAAAGGAAAAGGGTATATTGGCCTGGTCTGGACGTCTTGTGAATAGCAGTTTATTTCAATTGTTGTCTGCTTCAGATAACAGATAAACTTTAAATTGCCTGCTGGGGTACCGGTCCAGGCAGAAGTAGAAGCCCTTTTAAAATGAGAGATGTGGATCAATGAGTCAATGCCTTTGAGTTTGGTGATACAGGGATTGGTGAGAAGGTCTTGGTATGGGACCTTCCAATGAGGTTGGAGAGAGTCTTCATATAGGTGTCTTTTCAAGATAGACAGAATCACCAGGTTGTAGCTTTAGGTCTTGGTGCTTTAGGTCTTTGTCCTCCAGGAGCACACTGTGGAAAGATTTTTCTACCAAAATATAATATTTGTCTACTACTGTAATAATTCCCTTACAGTATTATAGTATCTCTCCTTTTAACAATTGAGGGTCAAAGGCAGTGGGCATTAAATGCATAGGATGACCAGTGATTATTTCAAAAGATGAAAATTTGTGGGCTCTAAAAGCAGTGGTTCTCAGTAATAATACCAAGAGAAGAACTTTAAACTAAGGGAGGTGCAAGTTTTCCATACATTTTGCCAACTGAGTCTTTATGGTTCCATTTGTTTATTCTACCAGGTCAGAAGATTGGGGATGGTAAGAACAATATAAGTCCTATAAGATGGTAAGCATAATAAGAAGTCCATGTGGCCAGTAAAGTGGGTTCCCTGGTTACTATGAAGCTCAAGGGGAGTTCCCCAAAGAGGAATAATTTTTTTCAAAGAAAAGTTTGGCCATAGCTAAAACAGTAGCTTATCTAAAAGAAAGCCTTCCACCCAATGGGAAAACATACAGATCATAACCAATATATATGTATACTCATGGGAGGGAGGTAGTTGGAAAAAATTCAGTTGCCAAACCTTGAATGGCCTATTAGGTAAATTTAAATGTCAAGGAGGAGTCTATACAGATTTTCCTTGGTTAAATTTAGGACAGGTGGTAAAAGTCAAATAAGCATTTTAGTGGCTTTTAAAATATTTCCCCACCCCACCAATATTGTTTTCTGGAAGAAATTAATGTCAGTTGCCTAATGAATCAAATTATGTACTGTAGTTAATAGTGGATATTTCCTTGAATCTGGGAGAACTGGTTTGTTCTCAGGTCCCGATCAGAGTTCCTTTTGCTCATCAAACCAGAAATCATGGTCCTTTTTCGGTTTCATTGTTGTTTTTGAGATAGGGTCTCACTCTGCCACCCAGGCTAGAGTGCAGTGTGATCATGTCTCACTGCATCCTCAAACTCCTAAGCTCAAACAATACTCCTGCCTCAGCTTCCTAAGTAGCTGGGACTACAGGCACACCTCACCACACCTGGCTAATTTTCTCATTTTTTTGTAGGGACAGGGTCTCACTGTATTGGGAGGCTGCTCTTGAATCCCTGGCCTCAAGCAATTCTCCCACCTTGGCCTCTCAAAGTGCACTACAGGGGTGAGCCACCACACCCAGCCTGTTTTGTTTTGTTTTGTTTTGTTTTGTTTGAGACAGAGGAGTCTCACTCTGTCGCCCAGACTAGAGTGCTGTAGCAAGATCTCGGCTCACTGCATCCTCTGCTCCCCAGGCTCAAGCGATTCTTGTGCCTCAGCTTCCTGAGTAGCCCAGGATTACAGGTGCATGCCACCAAGCCTATCTAATTTTTTTGTATTTTGACAGAGTTTTGCCATATTGGCCAGGCTGGTCTTGAACTCATGACCTCAGGTGATCCACTCACTTCAGCCTCCCAAAATGCTGGGATTGCAGTTGTGAGCCACTGTGCCCAGCCCTGTTTTGTTTTTTTGACTTCAGTTTTGTTTTTTGACTTCTGAGGCCCAATTCTGTGCATCTTTGGTAATTGTTCTTTTTTTTTTTTCTGGGTCTCATTCTGTCACCCAGGCTGGAGTGCAGTGGCTTGATCATGGATCACTGCAGCTTCTACATCCCTGAGCTCAGGAGATCCTCCTACCTCAGCCTTCTGAGTAGCTGAGACTACAGAAGCACACCACCATGCCCAGATAATTTTTTGAGTGTGTTTTTTTGTAGAGATGGGGTTTTGTCATGTTGCCCAGGCTGGTCTCTAACTCCTGGACTCAAGCAATCCACCTGCCTCGGCCTCCCAAAGTGCACAGCCATGAGCCACTGTGCCTGGCCTCTTTGATAATTATTCTTAAATCATTTGTTGAAAGTTCTTTTAGTAGGGCCATAACAGAGATTTGATCAAATGAACCTTTAATGGCAGCATTCTTTGCTGCATTATTAGCAAAGCGGTTTACTCTCATCTCCATAAAAATGTAGATTTGAATGTACAGAAAATTAGATAATAGCCAAAGCAGCTGGTAGCTAGATGATATCCAGTAAGTCTTGTGTGTAGGATCCATTTGTAATTTGGCCTCCCATGGAAGTGAGGAAACCTATTATTTCCATAACATCCCCAAATCATGAGCAACCTCGAAAGCATACCTACTGCCTGTAAATACAGATTAGTAGATTTCCCTTTAGCAAGGAGGCAAGCCCAAGTAAGGGCAAAAGCTCAGCCTGTTTGACAGAAGTAGCCACAGGTAGGAAGCTAGCCTCAGATACTTCAAAAAAAGGTAATAATTGCATATCCTGCACACTCTTTGCCAGTGTCATCCTTTAAATATGATCCATTTGTAAACAATGATAGTTCAGCATTGTCCAATGGACTATATTGCAAATCTTTCTGGGGAATCAAAAGATAGTGAGGGTCAAACACTCATGGGGGGTTTCATCAGAAAGAAGGGGTGAGATGCAGGATTAAGATTGTTACAGAGAGAAAGTTATGTGAGGAGCAGCTAGTAAACGAAGTTCATAAATGCTAAGACAACTGGTAGAAAGGTGTTGGGTATGATGGGAATTTAAGAGCTTCAACAGAATGGGGAACAAAAGTGGTCAAAGGAGATCTCATGATTATTTATTCTATAGCTATAACTAGTAGAGCAGTAGCTGGAATAGTTCCCAAACAGGAGCATAATCCCCAAGCCGCTGGATCTAGTTATTGGCTGTAATATCCACTGGGGGCAGTGTTACTCTCAATGATTTTTTTAGTTAAGACGCCCAAGGAATTTCCCTTTTTTCATAAACAAAAAGGAAAATAAGGAGTGGATAATTGGGATGTCTCAGAGTATGGGGGGTTTAATAATTCTTTCTTTAATTTAGTAAATGCAATATTTTTAGATTCTTCTCAAACAATGGGATCGGTTTTAGAGGTCTTGAGTAGGGTGTACAGGGGTTGAGCAATTAAGTAAAAGTTTGGTATCCAGTTACTGCAGTATCCAGCAAGTCTAAGAAACTCTCTGAGTTGCCATTTCATTTTAGATTTGGGGAACTGCAGGACACCTTGGATCTGTTCAGGGCCCAAACGTAGTCATGTTCAAGAAGTCAGATGACCTAGATATTTAGCTTGGGTCTTAACTATAGTTATATTTTTTCTTAGAAACCTTATGATTTTTTTGTGGCAAGAAGTTTTAGAAGATGCACACTGTCTATCTCACAGGCTACCTGCGTGAGAAAGAACAAAGAAATAAATTACCTACATATTTCAGTAAGGGTGAGCCTTGAAGAAAAGCCACATTTTGTAAATTAGCTTTCAGAATTTGAGAAAAGTAGGAAGGGCCTTCCATATAGCCCTGAGGCAAAACAGTCCAAGTATATTGTTGTCCTTTCCACGTAAAGGCAAACAGATATTGACTAGTTTGATCAACAGGGATGCTGAAGAAGACACTACAGAGGTCAATAACAGTGAAAATTCACTATCAGTAGGTATAGAAGTCAGCAGTATGTGGATTTGGGAACAGAAGTATGTATATTTTGGACCATGAGGTGACAGGGTATAACAATATTATTTATGGCATGGAGATCCTGAACAACTCTCCATCCTCAACAATTAGGTTTTCTTACTGGGAGGGTGGAAGTATTAGGGGCTGATACAGGGAATTATTAGGCCTTGAGTTTTGTATTCTTCAATATTGGGTCTAAGGCAGTTTGGTTAAGGAATATTGTTTAATACTAGGCAAAGGCTTGGTTGAATCAATTTGGATTTTGATTGAGGGTGCATTATGAATTCTACCAACATCTGTTGATGATGTGGCTGATAAAGAGACAGTTTTCTGTTCCAATAGGGAACTCTGAGACTCAGTGGAGAGTTCTTTAGTACATGGGACAACATAACAAATGAGTGGGAGATTATTGGTAGAGTTCAACAGGCTATTGGGCTTATCAGACTCCAAAATTATTTCCCCCTTTAGGGATAAAGAGATGCCAACATGACATATATTTTTTTTAAATCTCATCCCAATAAGTTAGCTGGAGCAGATTCTGCTAGTAAAAAAGGATAGGTATCTTGTAAAAACCCAAGGCAAAAAGCAATGGGCTGAGCTTGAAATGCCATCAGTGGTTTATTAGAAACTCCTACTATTTGAATAATTTTATAACTCCAAGGCAAGGCCTGGCTTAGGTTGGTGGGATTGAGTACTGATAGGGTTGCTTCTGTGTCAATGAGAACAGGTAGGACCTCATTGCCAAGGAGGTTGAGGGGAAGAATTGGAAAAAGCCCCTGTATATTTTTGGATCCCTTTCATTAGGAGGCAGGAGTCAAAGGGCTAAATGAAGAAGACTATTTAGATTGGTTAAATTTATAACAGTTTTTCTTGCTGTGGCCAGGTTGTTTACAATAATGACGGATGCCAGGAGGTGAGTTTCATGAATTAGAGGAGTGGTGCCATTCAGAGCCCTAATTGTTTTCTCTGGGACCTTTCATTTGTTGTAATTGGAGGTTTGGGATTTTTGTAGTCTTCTTTTTATTGGTATCCTCTAGGGTGCTATCTAATTGATTTGCCAAATTAACAAGGTAAAGGATTGGCATGGGTTTTCATTCCCTGCAAGCTTTTTTTACTAACTGAGTAAATTGTTAGGAGAGACCATTAACAAACATAAAGTTAAAGGCAACTCTAGTAGAGTCAATGTCCATGGGAAGGCCAGAATTCTCTTTAAATACAATCTGGAGTCTGTTATAATAGTTATGAACTGGTTCGTTTGGTTCTTGGGTACATGCTTGAATTTTATTCTAGTCAATGGCTTTACGGAATGCTTTGGGGATGGCCCTATATAAACTTTTTGCAAGTTACCGTTCCTGCTCCCAATATTATAAGCTAGTTTATAGGGAGATGAGGAGGGGTCTTTCTAAATTCTGTTAGGGGTGTGATATGGTTTGGCTCTGTGTCCCCACCCAAATCTCATCTTGAATTGTAGTCCCATAATTCCCATGTGTTGTGGGAGGGAGCTGGTGGGAGATAATTAAATCGTGGGGGAAGTTTCCCCCGTACTGTTCTTGTGGTAGTGAATAAGTCTCATAAGATCTGATGGTTTTATCAGGGGTTTCTGCTTTTGCATCTTCCTCATTCTCTCTTTTCCTGCAGCCATCCATGTAAGATGGGACTTGCTCCTCCTTGCCCTCCACCATGATTGTGAGGCTTCCCCAGCCATGTGGAACTGTAAGCCCAATTAAACCTCTTTCTTTTGTAAATTGTCCCTTCTTGGGTATGTCTTTATCAGAAGCATGAAAATGGACTAATATAGTAAATTGGTACCAGGGTGAGATACTGCTGAGAAGATACCTGAAAATGTGGAAGCAACTTTGGAACTGGGTAACAGGCAGAGATTGGAACAGTTTGGAGGGCTCAGAAGACAGGAAAATGTGGAAAAGTTGGGAACTTCCTGGATACTTGTTGAATGGCTTTTCCCAAAATGCTGATAGCAATATGGACAATAAGATCCAGATTCAGGTGGTCTCAGATGGAGGTGAGGAACTTGTTGGGAACTGGAGTAAAGGTGATTCTTGTTATATTTTAGCAAAGACACTGGTGGCATTTTGCCCCTGCCTTAGAGATTTGTGGAACTTTGAACTTGAGAGAGATGATTTAGGGTGTCTGGTGGAAGAAACTTCTAAGCAGCAAAGCATTCAAGATGTGACTTGGGTGCTGTTAAAGGCATTCAGTTTTAAAGGAGAAACAGAGCATAAAAGTTTGAAAAATTTGCAGCCTGACAATGCAATAGGAAAGAAAATACCATTTTCTGAAAAGAAATTCAAGCCAACGACAGAAATTTGCCTAAGTAACCAGGAGCCAAATGTTAATTCCCAAGACAATGGAGAAAATGTCTCCAGGGCATGTCAGAGGTCTTCATGGCAGCCACTCTCATCACAGGCTTGGAGGCCTAGGAGGATAAAGTGGTTTCATGGGCTGGGTCCAGGGTCCCCAAGCTGTGTGCAACCTAGGGACTTGGTGCCCTGCATCCCAGCCACTCCAGCCATGGCTGAAAGGGCCAACATAGAGCTCAGGCCATGGCTTCAGATGGCCAACCCCAAGTCTTGGCAGCTTCCATGTGGTGTTGAGCCTGAGGGTGCACAGAAGTCAAGAATTGAGGTTTGGGAACCTTTACCTAGATTTCAGAATATGTATGGAAATGCCTGGAAGCCCAGGCAGAAGTTTGCTGCAGGGGCAGGGGTCTCATGGAGAACCTCTGCTAGGGCAATGCAGAAGGGAAAGGTGGGGTTGGAGCCCCTACACCTACTGGGGCACTGCTTAGGGCATTGCTTAGTGGAGCTGTGAGAGGAGGGCCACTGTCCTCCAGATCCTAGAATTGTAGATCTACCGACAACTTGCACCATGCACCTGGAAAAGCCGCAGACACTCAACACCAGCCCATGAAAGTAGCCGGGAGGGAGGTTGTAATCTGCAAAGCCACAGGGGTGGAGCTGCCCAAGACCATGGGAACCTACCTCTTGCATCAGCATGACCTGGATATGAGACATGGAGTCAAAGGAGATCATTCTGGAGCTTTAAGATTTGACTGCCCCACTGGATTTCAAACTTGCATGGGCCCTGTAGTCCTTTTGTTTTGGCCAATTTCTCCTATTTGGAATAGGTGTATTTACCCAATGTCTGTATTCCCATTGTTTCTAGGAAATAACTAACTTGCTTTTGATTTTACAGGCTCATAGGCAGAAGGGACTTGCATTGTCTCAGATGAGACTTTGGACCATGGCCTTTTGAGTTAAAGATGAAATGAGTTAAGACTTTGGGGGACTCCTGGGAAGGCATGATTGGTTTTGAAATGTGAGGATATGAGATTTGACAAGGGCCAGGGGCAAAATGATATAATTTGGCTCTGTGTCCCCACCCAAATCTCATCTTGAATTATACTTCCATAATTCCCACATGTTGTGGAGGGACCCAGTGGGAGACAATTGAATCACGGGGATGGTTTCCCCCATACTGTTCTTGTGGTAGAGAATAAGTCTCACAAGATCTGATGGTTTTATCAGGGGTTTCCACTTTTGCATCTTCCTCATTCTCTTTGCCTGCTGCCATCCATGTAAGATGGGTCTTGCTCCTCCTTGCCTTCCACCATGATTGTGAGGCTTCCCCAGCCATGTGGAACTGTAAGGCCAAAGGCCAATTAAACCTCTTTCTTTTGTAAATTGCCCCTTCTTGGGTATGTCTTTATCAGCAGCATGAAAACAGACTAATACAGGGTGTGTGCAATTGACCTTTTTCTTCTTTCTTTCCTTTTTTTTTTTTTTTTTTTAAGGCAGGGTCTCACTTTATCACCCAGGCTGGAGTGCAATGGAGTGACCTCGGCTCACTGCAACCTCCGCCTCCTGGGTTCAAATGACTCTCCCTCAGCTTCCTGAGTAGCTGAGATTATAGATGTGTGCCACCAGGCCTGGCTAATTTTTGTATTTTTAGTAGAGACGGAGTTTCGCCCTGTTGGCCAGGCTGGTCTCGATCTCCTGACCTCAGGTAATCTGCCCACCTCAGCCTCCCAAATTGTGGGGATTACAGGCGTGAGCCACCATACCCAGCCACAACTGACCTTTTTCATCCAGTGATTAGCCTGGCTTTCTCCCACAAGCATGTGGACAAGTTGATTAAGATCAGAGAAGCTGGGCTAGTAAGCTTCAATTGTAATGTTAAATTCATCAGCAAAGCAAAGAGGGTCCTGGGTAACTTTAGGAAATTCCTTGGCTTTAACATGGATTTCAGCCTTATTCCAAGGGCATAGACAATCTAAGGAACCTCAGGATTGTTAGTGGGTCTAACCCTACAGGGACAAGTTTTTATAGGTTGAGGATGGGGATCAGAAGCTGGGAGGGTAGTAGGGGAGGAAGTATCAGGATTGAGTGGGGTTTTCAGAAAGGGAAGGGTAGAGAGGAGAGAGAGGTGGTGGTACCAGGGGAGCAGAAAAACTCTGAGTTTCTAAGGCCTTTTAAAATCTTCCTTTCGTTGTTTATCTGTCTTAGTTAACTTAGTGATGGTATTTTGGAGTTAGGTGATTTTTGAGGCTTGAATACATTTAGATGCTTCAAGATACCACTTAAAGTTTATGCTCCTTTCAGGCAATTTAATTTTGTAGCCATGGCCTTCTAATTTAGTTCTAAGAAAACAAGTTAGGGAGTTCAAGAGATGGCCATTGTAATTCCAAATTTTCTTTAGTGTAATTGGTCCATTGCGATAAAAAAAGAATAGGAAGATGGACCATAATAATTAAGCATATAACAAGCTAGAGTCCCCAATGTTGGGGGGCTATTTTGGTATATCTTTGAATTTGGGGAGTTCATTTGTAAATAAACATATCCAAGTGAGTCAGTGCAAAGCCAAACACACAAAAGCCAAAATAAAAATCAAGCACACAAAATGAACCAAAGAGTAAAGTACATACTCACCGGGAAGAATGACAAAGCCTTCTTCAAATCCCTTACAAATAGAGGCCTAATAAATAGGAGAGGAAAGGCCCTTCATAAAGAAATCCCAAATAAAGCTGAAGAACTCAAATCCAAAAAAAAAAAAAAAAAAAAAAGGGGTGTTTAACCCAAGAAAGACTCACTGGGGTGAAAAAAGATCACCAGCGGAAGTAGGGGGCTCAAGGGGTCTGACAGTGAGTACTGCACACCATAGTTCCAGGGGCCATTATCTTTCCAAGTGAATCTGCTTTGCATCTCACTTCTGACACCATGTAATGTCAATAACAGATAGAGACTAATCTCCAAGCAAAAAGAGTTTATTTTGAAATAAACAAAGAAATAGGATTGCAATCTGGGACAAACATACAAACTGAAGTGGTCTCCAATATATTCAAAAAAAAAAAAGGAAATGGTTGAGGTTTCATTGGGAAAAGAGAAAGGTTATTGGTGCTTGTGGCATTTTGCAGGAGCTGGCAAGCTCTGATTGCTGGGTGGCAAAAGTTACTAGGTAAAACAAGCTTTGAAGTCATGGCAGCCATTTGTTGTCAAACTAGTCTTAAAATTGTAGCAGCTGTTTCATTGGATTGGGCTTGTGGGACAGTTTCTGGAGCAGGCTTTTGAGACCTGAGTGTTTTTTCACCCCTATGGTCCTCTAACTCTAAATTTTAGTTGGGTATAACAGGAATGACTCCATTTGTATAATCAATTTTTCACTTTAGATAATCGACCTGTGGTAGACAGATTCTTAAGGTGGCCCCTGGATCCTGACCTCCTGGTGTTCATGTTCTCATGTGATCCCCTCTTTTCAAGTATTTTAGCCAATAGAATATGCCAAATATGATATGATAGATGTAATTACATGGTTCTCTTACATAAGACTGTAATGCCCATATTTCTGGGTGGCTCTCTATCCCTTGCTGGCTTTGAGGAAGTAAGTGACCATGTTGGGAACCCTATTTGGCAAGGAACTACAGGAGGCCTCTAGGAGCTGAGGGTAGCCTCCAACTGATAGCCAGCAAGAAACCAAAGCCTTTAGTCCTACAATAGCAAGAAACTGAATTCTGTCAACAACATAAGATTGGAAGCATATTCTTCCCCAGTAGAACCACAGATGAGACCACAGTCTCAGCTGAAAGCTTGATTCAAGTCTTGTAAGACCCTAATCAAAGAAGTCACTTAAGTAATGCCCTTGACTACAGAAACTGTGAGATAATAAATATGTATTACCACCAGGTATGTGGTAATATTGTTATACAGCTGTATTAGTCTCCTTGGGTTGCAATAACAAAATACCATAGACTGGGTGGCTTAAGCAACAGATATTTATTTTTCACAGTTCTGGAAGCTGGGAAGTCCTAGATCAAGGTGCCGGTCAATTCAGTACCTGGCAAGGATCCTGGCTTTACTTCTGACTTGCAGAGTGCTGCCTTCTTGTTGTATCCACACATGGGTACAACAAAAGGACTCTGGTCTCTTCCTCTTGTTATAAGGGTACTAATACCATCATGGGGGCTCCATCTTCATGACATCATCTAAACCTACTTGTCTCCCAAAGGCTCCATCTTCAAATATCATCACACTGGGGATTACGGTTTCAGTATATAAATTATGGCAGGACACAAACATTCAGTCCATAGTAATAGCAATAAATCACTAATACACAACCTTCGTGAAATCAGGTCATGTCATTTAGGTTACTTGTATTAAAATAACTTTGATATTGGAAAGGGATGTTAGTTCATAAAATTTAATTAAAACGAAGTACATAGTAATGTTGGGAGATAATTCTCCATGGGTGCACATGTTTCTGCGTGTCTTTTTTTTTTTCTTGAGATGGAGTCTCGCTCTGTCGCCAGGCTGGAGTGCAGTGGTGTGATCTCGGCTCACTGCAATCTCCGCGTCCCAGGTTCAAGTGATTCTCCTGCCTCAGCCTCCCAAGTAGCTGGGACTACAGGCATGTGCCACCATGCCCAGCTAATTTTGGTATTTTTAGTAGAGATGGGGTTTCACCATGTTGGCCAGGATAGTCTCGATCTCTTGACCTCGTGATCTGCTCACCTTGGCCTCCCAAAGTGCTGGGATTACAGGTGTGAGCCACCGTGCCCGGCCTTCTGCATGTCTTTCAAGGGGTGGCACTGTTTGCCTTTGTTCCTTTGTGTAGGAAACAACCTTGGAAGACAAAGGTAGTGTCTACTTTGGGAGCAAAAGTCAGACATTTTTACTGCCCACAACTAAAGATTTGAGTTTCCTAAGCTCACTGTTCCTTTCCTGTAATTCAACCCAGTGCATATGTGGATATCATCTGGCTTTCTTCACATCACCCTGTGGGACTTGGAACTCAGGGAACTGGCATAAAAATGCTGATATTCTGCTGCTGCTATTGCTATAAGTAATAAATTGTCCTTCATCTGTGACCTAGCTGCTTGGAGGCTTCTACCAATAATATGGTTTGGCTGTGTCCCCACTGAAAATCTCATCTTGAATTGTAATCCCTATGTGTCAAGGGTGGAACCAGGTGGAGGTAACTGGATCATGGGGGCAGTTTCTCCCATGCTGTTCTTGTGATAGTGAGTGAGTCTCACATGATCTGATGGTTTTATAAGTGGCATTTCCCCTGTTGGCACTCACTCCGTCCTACCATCTTGTAAAGAAGGTCCCTGCTTCTCATTTGCCTTCCACCATGATTGTAAGTCTCCTGGAGCCTCCCTAGCAATGCAGAACTGTGAGTCAATTAAACCTCTTTCCTTTATATTACCCAGTCTTGGGTATTTCTTTATAGCAGCATGAGAACAGACTAATACAACCAACATTCATAAAACTGTGGCAGGCAATTTGAATAAAATTGCAGCTATAAAGAACGATGTACAGTACATATTTACCTGTGGAAATTGGAAAGCATTTTTTCCTTTGCAGGGGCAGATATAAGGACAAAAATTACCTTACTTACTTTTGTAAGTTAGTTTATACAAAGTAGACATAGTACATTAGGCCAATGAGAATTTAAGTCTTGTAATTCTTATCTCTCAACATATGGTGTCACTCCTTCTCCACCAACAACTACTCACCCTTACTTGGTAAAGCTGGCACACCTGGGATTAGTTAGGCCTGAAAAATGGCTAAAAATACCTTTATCATAGAAGGATTTTAGAAAGTACTTTCTCAGTTGTTGCTTCTGGCATTACCAGGGCTGTCATGCATCCACAAAATTGCTGTTTGGTGCCACTGGTAGCTAATGTCCCCATTCAATAACATACAATAAACATATTCACTGTGCTATGAAAAAATCCACTACAGTCACCACTTCAAGTCTTAATGCCTGCTAATTTAGCAATTATAGTAATAGCAAAGCATTCCAAAGGTTTAAAAGAGCTCCAATTCTGGTTAAAATCAAAATTGATGAGCAAGAGCTTGATATAAAAGGTATGAATCAAACTAATTTCAGAGTTGCCTTTGTAAGACAGATGGGTGAATTTTATCTTTTATTATTTGGTATTCATCAGCCACCTACTGTCAATTTAAACTCTAATTACAGCTCTCTAAAATTATTTTTCTTGGGGGAAGTGGGCTATTAAGATTTTTGTTGGGGTAGAATGGGAAAGGATAAATTTCTTATGTTATATACTCCTACCTTTCCTTTAATACCGAAACAGGCCATCCCACGAGTATAAAAGCATTTAGACTGGGTAGGAGAAGAAAAAATGATAGAGAAAGAAGAAAAGCATAGTGATAACATAAAAATCAAAAGTTGACCTTACAGCTTACTTTATATAAATTATTATTATTATTATTTTGAGACAAAGTCTCACTCTGTTGCCTAGGCTGGAGTGCAGTGACGTGATCTCGGCTCACTGCAACCTCCGCCTCCCTGGTTCAAGGGATTCTCCTGCCTCAGCCTCCTGAGTAGTTGGGATTACCGGCGCCTGCCACCACGACTGGCTAATTTTTGTATTTTTAGTAGAAACGGGGTTTCACCATGTTGGTCAGGCTGGTCTCAAACTCCTGACCTCAAGTGATCTGCCCACCTCAGCCTCCCAAAGTGCTTGGGATTACAGGCGTGAGCCAGCACGCTCCACCTTACTTCATATAAATTAAAAGGTAGAAGGAAAAGTAACCCACATATGTGGGTTAGCTGTACCATTCTGAAGCAAGAGGATAGTTTAGTAGCTAGATATAAATGACTAAATATTTCACTTTGGAAAGGCCACTGGTTGTTTTTTTCAAAGTCAGGAGAATATTTCATCCTGAAGAAGCAGTTGTTGAAAGAGTGTTAAGGGTTACAGCACTCAGTAAGGAAACCAAAGGTTGTAAATGTCTGGAACACAGCAGGTTAAAGAAGTGTGGTGCAGAAAGGGCTGCTACTCAACTTCTTTGCCTGAGGCCTGCCTATATTAGCTAACCTGAGGAAGTCACAGGCAGTGTTATCACAACCAGTAATCTTTCTTCCCTGAAGCAAGGAGGGACAGTGGGCCAAAAAATCTTCTCAATTGCAGAAAAGCTGTTTGAGTCTTTGGGTCTGTTATCTGTCCCTACTGTTTATCTCAATTCTCTTAGCTCTCTAAACTCTGTTAGATATTTATCTTCCTTTTCTTCCTTGTTCATTTCCTATACATAAAAATGCAATAGCACAAGTGAATACAGATCAATGATTAGTTTTAAAATAAAAAAATTTTGCTTTGCATTAATTAATTAATTTTTTTTGAGACAGTCTCACTACATCACCCAAGTTGGAGTGCAGTGGCACAATCTCGGCTCACTGAAATTGCCACCCACTGGGTTCAGGTGATTCTCATGCCTCATCCCCCCAAGTAGCTGGAATTACAGGTTACCACTCCTGGCTAATTTTTGTATTTTTAGTAGAAATGGGTTTTCACCATGTTGGTTGGGCTGGTCTCAAACTTCTGACCTCAGATGATCTGCCTGCCTTAGCCTCCCAAAGTGTGGGATTACAGGTGTGAGCCACTACACCAGGCCTTGCCTTGCATTTAGATAAATTAAGTAGGATAGTAGACAGAGTACAGGGAGAAGATGATGAGACTCAGGATTGCCACTTTCAAGTTACGCAGCCTTGAACAAATGTACACCTCTGAACTTCAATTTTTCCCCAACTATAAATGTAGATAATAATTTTGACTGCCATGAAGATTAAATGATGGTTCACAACCTCGACAGCCCTACATATATGGAAGATATTGCGACTGAAGGTGACATTGTTTCAACTGAATACATATTCTAAGTGAACACATTAGTTTTTTAACTTTTAAAATTTTTAAAAATATGTAGATTTCAAATATTTTCTCCCAATTCTATCATTTATTTGTTAACTTTGTCTATAGTATTGTATGTAAAACCCCAAGCCTTTATTTTGCTGTAATGAATTTCTTCAATTTTTTTGACATGCAATTTGTACTTTTGAAATGTAACATAAGTTATTCCCCCATCCCTCAGTATTAAAATATTCTCCTCCACAATTTGCTATTAATTTCATATTTCAATCTTTCCAATCTAGGTCTTTAATGCATCTAGAGCTCTTCCTTTTAATGTAGTGTTTAATTTTCTCCAGATGGTTAGCCTATTTTCTTTTCCCCAATAATTTGTTGAACCACATTTTATTGTATATTAAGGTTACAAGTGATGTTGATATTGCTCATCCAGGAAGCACTGTTTGATTAGCAAGATTCTAAACAATGTGAGTTAGCACCTAGTTGAAAGAATTGATAATAATGGATGAGGGTGAATTTAGAACATGAGGGTAATATGTTGTATTATTAAAAATATCAATCCAGAAGGAAATAAAAATCATCCTTATTGAAAGTTTTCAGATGACAAAATGGGGATGGTCTTAGTAACCTGAAAAATACACATATAGAAATTACTCTTATACAGCACCAGTTCACAGACACGCCTGTAAATTCCCTGAGTTAAATATCTATAATATAGAAACAAACTTTGATTAGGTGATGCTGAAAGTTTAAGTACCTAAAAATACCTATCACCCTGCAGCTATTGAACAGTGCCTCCAAGTCCTGCTTTAAAAAATGATTTTATTGGCCAGGCGCGGTGGCTCATGCCTATAACCTAGCACTTTTGGAGGCTGATGTGGGCGGATCACCTGAGGTCAGAGTTCGAGACCAGCCTGGCCAGCATGGCGAAACCCCGTCTCTACTAAAAAATGCAAAAATTACTCGGGCGTGGTGGTGCACACCTGTAATCCCAGCTACTCAGGAGGCTGAGGCAGGAGAATTGCTTGAACCCAGGAGGTGGAGGTTGCAGTCAGCCAAGATCGTGCCACTTCACTCCAGCCTGGGCGACAGAGCAAGACCCTATCTCCAAAAAATAAAATAAAATAAAATAAAAAAGAGTTTATTGCCTGTTTCCAACAATACTCTGCAGGAAAAAAATCCAATGATTATATCCATTTCATTGCGAATAAGACGGGCACCAGTTTATCTATGTACCTGAGGAAATGCTATGGAAATGGTATTTTTCAATTTTATTCATCAGTATATTAACGAATATATGACTGAATAATTCATACTGAATTCAGATCAGTTGGAGGGGGGCTATAAATGCAAATTAGCTGAGGATTTAATGTGCGTAGGAGGTGTATAGGGGGTTATAGGACCTTTTAAATTCCCCCAATAGTTGTGGACTCGGTGGTTCTATGTCTTGCTATTCATTTTTAAATAGGTCAATGAAAGAGAGGAAAGGCCTGCAGTGTGTGGGGATCAGGAAGAAGGCGGATAAAAGAAAAGGGGGAAACTAGTCTGTTATTCAAGGGAACTGGCTTTCACTTATGGTTTCTCCTGTTTGGCTTGAACAAATCATTTCACCATCTTGGGCTTCCGTTTCGATATTGGGTGGGGAGGAGCGGGTGTTACGAGATCTCTCAGTTGTCTTGCTGCTTTCTTTCTTCGTGAGCCCTCCCCAAGTTGATTTAACAAATACTCTATGACCTAGAGTCCTAGAGTGTAAATACCACAGTCCAGGTGAGCGTTCAGCGGGCCTCCTTGCGCATGCGCTGAAGGGGGCACCCTCTCGTTAAGGCCCGAATTTTGCCTCTTCTGCGCACGCGCTCCTTTTAAATTCCCCACCTGTCAGAGAGAAGCAGGACTTCCTGTACTTTTTAGAGCGACTGCCGGAAGTGACTGCGGACGAATCGGCGTTTGCCGAGGCTGGCATAGATTTGGCTGTCTCCGCTCATAGCTGCTTTTGGCGCGAAAGATGCCGGGTCTGGTTGACTCAAACCCTGCCCCGCCTGAGTCTCAGGAGAAGAAGCCGCTGAAGCCCTGCTGCGCTTGCCCGGAGACCAAGAAGGCGCGCGATGCGTGGTCAGTGCGCAGCCGGAGAGGGCGCGGCCGACGAGCCCCGGGCCGCGGCCTGTGCCTTCCGGTGCCTCTGCCCTACGGCCTCTGCCCTCTGCCTTCTGCCCTCTGCCCTCTGCCTTCTGCCCTCTGCCCTCTTCCTTCCCCCCTTCCCCCACTCCTCCTCCCTGTCTGCCCCCCCCCCCCGCCCCGCCCCGCCCCGCCCCATTGCGGCGCTCTGGAGATAATTATTGGGCCTTGTAGGTTTCGTGGTCGGGTCTCTGTTGACTTATCCCGTAGCTTAGTACCGGGAAACGATGGAGAGAGAGGAGAACGGCAAGCTTCAACCACTCATTCCTTCCTACAAATGTGTGTTGAGTATCTGTTATGGGTTAAGCACTGCGTTAGGTCCGAAGATGTAGACATGGATAAAGATGCATCTTGATATAAAGGAGCTTAAAGTTAATGGAGACATAAACCAGTGACTTGTATACGACGTGGTAAGGGCTATGATAGATTTGTTAAGACCAAACAGGAAAGGTTTTCTGGTAATTTCTAAGGCTTTCTCCCAAAATTTAGAGACAGTAGGACACAGAGTGTATTCCTTACAGTTCTGAAGAGTTACGCTTCAACCCTTTTAAGACAACCAAAAGTTGAAAATCAATCAGTCTACGACGCAGGGGACAAAGTATTAAGAATAGTTCATCTAGATTGTCAATCCACAAAAGATTTGTTCTCATTTTATATAGCCTCTCTTGTGGAGCAAATCTCATTAGAGGACGTCCTCAGATAACGTGAATGTGCATCTCTTCCTCTGGCCCCTTTTGTCTTCCCAGATAGTAGATATAAGAAAGAAATCATTAGTGGTATAATGGGATAATAAGAGTGTAGGAGCTCAGTGCTTTTATTAATCCTCAGTACTTTGTAAATAATACGGGTAGGATTGAAAGACTAGTCTGAACAAATTGTTCCAGTGGTAACAGTAAGTGCTGTTGAACCTTGAATGGTATGACAGCATGATTAAGAGTCTGGGATCCACAGTCAAGGTTTGAATCTTAATCCACTAACTTGGTGACCTTGAGCCTCATGTGTCTGTAAAATGACTCTAATAAAAGAAACTCCCTCCAGTATTATTGTAAAGGTTAATGATACAAGCCATGTCAAGTGGCTAACACAGTATACATGGCAATAAATGATCAATGAATGCTAGCTATTATCTTCACAATGATCTCACTATCCCAGGCAATCTCCCATTTGCAGGCAGCTCTTGAGCTATTGAAGGATGGGTAGAGTTTCCATGGAAGGAGAACCTATTCCCTTTGTTAAATTCCCTTTGCCTCGATTGCCTCAGACCACGTGGGTTCTCCCCAAATATCCATAGTCAGGAGTCAGTTTTTCCTTGTAATTGAATTGGGCTTAACTTGATTATTTGCAAAATCACATTTTCAGGCCTTAGAAATAAAGCTGTGTAGTCCTAGTCTTTACTTTGTGAATTTTACAAGTAAAATATTCTTTGATCATCATGAGGGGGTGTTTATCTCGGTCTCCTGGCTACCAGATGTTTTTGATGTAATTAGAAGTAGATTTATTTGGTTGTGTTTGAATGTAGGGCAAAATCAGAAAGTTAATTTCTCTGTGATAATAAGCAAAAAATTGAGCTGTTCTCTGTGCCCTTCATTTAGCATAAATATTTTACTCAGTTTATTTCTTTATAGAGCAGTGTTACTCCTTGGATATTGACTAGAGGCAATATTTAATATGCGTGATTATTTCTTATCAGATTTCCCCCCCAAAATCACTTATCTGTGGAATGTCTTCATAGGCATGGGCATATCATAAGATCAAATAAAAACAAAGCTGTTTGAGGTAATAGCGTTTGTTTTAATTCCAGCTACATTCCATTATACCCGTGTTTTGTCTCACTCCCCATCACTATCATGCATACTTAATAATGTGCTTAATGCATATTTAGATAACAAGTACATTTTGTTTTATAGTATCATCGAGAAAGGAGAAGAACACTGTGGACATCTAATTGAGGCCCACAAGGAATGCATGAGAGCCCTAGGATTTAAAATATGAAATGGTAAGCTTCTTGCTTCAAAGTTGTGTATTGCTTTACAGATTTAGCAACAATTGGGCTACATTCTCTCTGAAAGGTAGTTCACCTGGTTAATCTAAAATGCTTAAGTATCAATTTGAAAAAACCATGATTTTTCAGTTCCCAATGAAGGGAGTAAATTATGTCAGTAAAGACAGTCATTTAGCGGATTGGGGAAGGGGAGAATTGAGCTTTTAAGAAAGGGTTTGACAAAAGCCTTTAGGTCCCATGGCTTTAGGAAAATTGACTGAGGGAACTAAAAGAAACATATTCTCTTTCTTGTTTCTAATAAATATTGTGGGACTTCAGTAAATGCTTTTTTTTTTTTTTTTTTGAGACAGGGTCTCACTCTGTTACCCAGGCTGGGGTGAAGTGGCCCAATCACAGCTCATTGCAGCCTCAACCTGGGAGGTTCAGGTGATCCTCCCCTCAGCCTCCTAAGTAACTGGGACTACAGGTGTGGGCCACCGTGCCTGGCTAATTTTTTGTGTTGTTTTTTAGAGATGGGGTTTCACCATCTTGCCCAGGCTGGTCTCAACCTCTTGGACTCAGGCAATCCTCCTGCCTTGGTCTCCCAAAGTGCTGGGATTAAGAGGTGTGAGCCACTATGCCTGGCCAAGAAATGCTTTTAAGTAGGGAGTGGGTATCCCACGGAAGTATTGCTTTCTGAAAAATGAAAATGGAATTGTAGCATGCTTTATTCGAATAAAACTAAAGCCTCAGGCCATTTTTTTTTTAATTAAAAAGTAAACTTTAATGTCAAAAATGCAAACTTGGGGAAGACAGAAAAGATCACACACAAGGCTGTCACTTCACACTTGGAAGGTTGCACAGCGGCCGGGCAGAGGTGCTCCTCACTTCCCAGACGTGGGGCAGCCGGGCAGTGGTGCTCTTCACTTCCCAGACAGGGCAGAAGCCGGGCCGAGGCACTCCTCACTTCCCAGACAGTGGGCAGCTGGGCAGAGACGCTCCACACTTCCCAGACGGTGGGGCGGCCAGGCAGAGGCGCTCCTCACATCCCAGACAGGGCGGCAGCTGGGCAGAGGCGCTCCTCACATCCCAGACGGGGCAGCAGCTGGGCAGAGGCGCTCCTCACTTC
The DNA here is from genome assembly GCF_000001405.40 of Homo sapiens. NCBI lineage: Eukaryota > Metazoa > Chordata > Mammalia > Primates > Hominidae > Homo > Homo sapiens. The sequence goes on along the minus strand of NC_000003.12, from coordinate 119,674,030 downwards.
CCAGACGGGGCAGCAGCCGGGCAGAGGGGCACCTCACTTCCCAGATGGGGTGGTGGCCAGGCGGAGAGGCACCTCACTTCCCAGACGGGGTGGCCGGACAGAGGTACTCCTCACTTCCCAGACAGTGGGCAGCCGGGCAGTGGCACTCCTGACATCCCAGACAGGGCGGTGGGCCTCAGGCCATTTTTAAAAGAACTTGGAACTCTTAACCCATTTTAAGTGCTGAAAGGGACCTTAAGTGGTATGTGTCCAACAATTCCACAAACAAATGATACTCTTTTGTTTGGAAGCTCTTTCTTCAGTTATCAACTTAGCTCACCCCCTCACCCCACTCCCTCTTTACTCAGGTCTCTTTCAAAAGTCTCCTTATTAGAGAGGCTTTCCCTCAACACCCCATGTAAATTACATCCCTTCCCCATCACTCTATCATGGTGCTGTCCTAAGACCTTTCTGTGAAGATGGAAATGCTCTGTATCTGCACTTGCCAGTCTGGTAGCCACTAGCCATATGTGGCTGTTGAGCACTTGAATTGTGGCTGGTGAGAGTGAGGTACTGAATTTTTAGTTTGTAAAAATTTTAATAGCTACATGTGGCTAGTGGCTACTCTATTCTATACACTGTCACCTGCATGATACATATATTTTTAATTACCTGTGTTGCTTCACGGCAGCTAGAATGTAAGCTCTGAGAAAGTAGGAATTTTCTATTTCATTTACTGTCATATCCCCACTACCTATAACAGTGCCTGGCTCATAGTAGGTGCTTAATGGAGGATTGTTAAATGAATGAATAAATAAGGAAATTAAAGCTTATAGTTATGAAATGGCCCCCAAGGTGGGTTGTGCAGTATCAGAACTGGAGCCTCAGTCTCCATGCCGATTCCCTCTGCTTTTTGCCCCTACCCTAACTTCCACACCACACTACCACTTTTAACTTAATAACAGCTGAGAGAGAATGCCAAAGCCATATGCCAATATATTAGTACTAGAGAGCCTGGCTTCTTTCCCTTGCACCTCTTTCCTGCCTCTTTGGAATTTCACATATGGCCAGTCTTCCTCACTGAGCTATAAAAAAGGAGGGATAAGGAACTTGTCGCAAGCTGATAAGAAGTTACTGTGTAATGGAAAACAGTCTAGGCTGAAAGTCCTGAGGCTTTGTTTTTATTCTCCTGATGTTTAGTTTATCATGTTTTTAAGTTTAGCTACATTTAGCTTCATCAAGACATTACTCCTCTGAATTTCACTTATTATTTATAAAAAGAGAACCATAATACATTTTGTGATTCTATATATAGTATGGTATATCTACTGTTGTGTAAATGATATACTTAAGTTGCTTTTAGAATAGATGGTTATTTAAAGAAATCCCATAATGAACTATTTTATAAAATAAGTAAATTTGAAGGGGAGTGTGTTCTTAAAAAGTATGTGTACTTTATTAACTATTTTTAAAGATGCAACCTTAACATTTGTACATGGTTTCCTTGTTCATGATCTAACTCCCTCGTCAGTTGTGTAAGCTGTAGGCTTGTGCTGAACTTGCCTTGATAAAAAGGGGTGATTAAATAAAAAGAAATGCTAATTTTAGGAATATCAAAAGCTTATCTTGGACTTCATCTGAACCACAAAGGTGGTACAATTGTTATAAGTGGCATATATTCAAAAGTATCATATGATATCATAGTTTTCTTTATGTTATCAGGGCAGAGAGTGAGAATTATGTTTGTGTACTTCATTTGTGTGTAAAAGAAAATGCAAAAGCTTTAGACTTAGAAAATCTACTGCTTAACTGATTGTGTGGTCTTGGGCAGGTCCTTAACTTTCTGTACCTTGGTTTCCTCATCCGTAAAATGGAGACAATAATACATGCCCAAACTACTTCATAGAGTTGTGATGATTCAATGTAAAATAAATCATCTGTAAAAACCAGAACAGAATAGCTCATACCTTTAGAGTTGTGGATAGCAGACATTCAGTTGAGGTCTGTTAAGTATATGACTTGATTATTATTGAATCCTGGTTACAAGAAGAACAATCTGAATCCATATAGGACCCTTCTGAGAATTCAAACTGCCATGTTTTTCATTTTCAGTGTAATAATATTTTGGGAAGAGGACTGGGTGTTGGATCCTTATTGGTCCCAGGTGTCCTATTTCCCCAACCTCCATGGGGAAATGGAAGCACAGTGAAGTCAAAAAAGACTTGCTCAAGTTAGGAGTGGATAGTGGTAGAATTAGATTAGAGTTAAGATTTTTATATTCTCTAAATCACAGGCACTTTACACTTCACGCCTTGTACTTAATGAGATTTTATTCCAACATATTCATTTTTAGGATTGCACATAATCTTGATCTTCAATCTTAAAACCTCATTATGAATGCTAATTAGAAAGACTTGTTGCGGAAATGTACAGTTGCATATAACCCAGTAAACAGGCCATTGGCTGGAGGGTGAAATCCAACACAACTGTCTGCATTGCTATAAGATAAACTTAACCTAAATCGGTATTTCTTAGACTGTTAGATCACATTTTTCTGAGAATAGCTTCAAAGGAAAAATATTTTGCAAACTTAGATCTCTCTGGCAACGATCATGAAAGTTCCTTAATTCAAAAACCTTTGTAGATTTTAATGTTATTCCTAAGTAGATCTTAATTGTACCTCAAGTGCAGTAGATTGGGAATAAATCTATTATACATTTTTTATACCTTACCTGAAAGTAGGCTACATTCACCCAGTGGTTCTTACCCAGAGGTGCACCTCAGAATCATCTGAAGAATGTTTTCCAGAATTCACAACTTGGGCCCTGGTCTGCACCTGTTGACTGAGAAACTCCTAGATGATTTTCAAGTGCACTCCTCTTTAACAACCACTGGCCTAAGTTGAAGATGAATAGCAGGGATAATGCTAGGCATAAAGTATCTGAAAATTTAGTAGTAGCAAAGGCAGAGACTTGAAAACTCAAGAAAAAATAGGTATGGTGGTGATTTTAGACAATTTTTTTCTATTTTATGACTGCTGCTTTTACTGAAAAGAGTAATTAGAAGAACCTAGAACCTCATTAGAAATATGAGGAAATAGATGGCTACTATCTTCCTGCCTTTAGGAGACAGAAGAAGCCTAAAGAACCTATTTTGGAGACTAAAGTCGTTGAAAGAAATTAAAGGACTAGTACTGAATAGTGGTGATACTCAATATTAAGTTTAACAACTTAACAGTTGGATGCTTAAAATATGCTGAATTGTACACACACACACACACACACACACACACACACACAAAACTGATCATGTATGAAAATATCCCAAGATAATCCAGAAAGAATAATTTCTGCCATTCAAACATTTGTTCATTCAGCAGATATTTATTAAGACCCTGGAAAATACTGAGGAGAGAAAGATTATCCCTCCAGTCAAAGACTTTACATCCAGAGATATAATCAAACAGGTTTAAATCCAGGGTCTTCCACCACACAGCCCCTTTTGTTATGTAGTCAGTCGCAAAAGTCGTAACAATGCTATGGGCTGCTATAATTGAAAGGTTGAATGGCTTCGTTTTTGGTTATCTTTCCAAACTTTTCTATAAATGTATTCTTCCTTTGAGTCTTTTAGAAAAGAGTTTAGATGTTTGTATCTTGATGTGGTTTATCTTTATTTAAACCAAATGAAGTGAACAGCTAAATGAAGGAAATATTTGCATTAGACTTGAAGAGTTAGCTACCCCAATTTAATTACCTTCCTAGCATTGTTCTCAATCTTCTGGGATAGGCACTGGGAGAGGTGTGAGAAGCCTGGTATTGACTTGACTGGATCAGCAACCCTATCTATGCTACTCTCCCTTTTTGATTTTTCCAAATGAATATTAAAGGGTTGCCCTTGTCTTGCCTTTGGGATTAAGTGAGTAACTTTCCACAGGAAGTGCCTTGGGTACTGAGCTGACCTTCTGCCTTCTACTTTGTGGATCTTCGCCAGGCATACTTGAATCAGCAAAGAGGGGTTTGCAGGTCTTGTTTCTTGAATATCTGTAAAAATAACTGCTTTAGCCTTTTTTGGAGGATATTTTTGAGAAATATGTATTTCTCAAACACACACATATGTATTATATATATATACACGCAGAGAGAGTTTTTACTTCAAAAACTTTTAAAGAGTAAATAATATCATGAATAATTTCACTAATGTTTTTAGTTAGGCAAACCTAGAATTTTAAAATGTTGATTTTGAATTTTATGACTGATTTGGAATAATTCTGGCAATTAGTTAATTACTCATCTGAGGCATTCATTTCTAGTGGTCTTAATTCCCTGACTCCATAGATCTGGCATGATGTTTGAAATCTGACTTTCTAAAATAAATATTTTTCTGTAGGTGGTCTGCTGTGTGAATAAATAATTCCTGAAGAATGAAGAAGATTAATTTTGGGAGTTCTTTGACGAACTTTGATATGTGGAAAAAGTATTTATAATTTATTGTAAGAAGAAAGTAAAATATTACTAGTGGAAGATCTTCAGTTGTGTTTCTTTTTTGTGTTCCTCATTTGCTCACGTGGCTTTTTCCCCCAAAGGATATATACCAACAAATCTTGTAACATAAGGTTCTTATGTTCTTATTACTATGTCATTCTGGGAACTCTGGATATCTGTTGTCAGGAGAAAGCAGATACTGACCTCAACCAATGAAATCTCCAGAATTAGGTGCATAGAAGTAAAATAACCCTTTACCAATTCAGAATCAGTGTGGTAGCCATATCATCTCATTCAACACTCTTTTTTTTTTTTTTTTTAACTTTCTTAAAGGTAAGAACAAGCCTTTAGTCTTATTATTTAAACCATTATTGTTATTCTTTACTAGCTGTCTTTTGGAAAAGTTAGTTTAGATTTTGGACCAGATTAGGGTAATTTGGCTTAGAAGATCTCAACTGTTTGGCATTATGAATCTGTACATGGGTAGTTACATTTTAAAATAGACTAGGATCTTAAGTTTCGTGCCTACAGGGTAGACAGTTGTCTCTTATTAATTAGAAACTAATTAGAAATTAGAATTAATTAGAAATTAATTAGGCTAGAGACTGAATTGGTATTAAATGTCACTAATCAAACAGCTCAGTGCTATGCCATGGTGATGCCTGGAGTTGAACAGAGTGTGATTTCCTTAGTATAGCAACCTTGTCATCCTCGTAGCTGCTGATGGGCTAATGAAGTATGATCATATTCTGCTTGTAAGTACATTGAGTCTAAAATCTCAAGAACAAAAGATACTGAGAACATAATTAAGAGGATGTATAATGTTCATGTATCATTGTGTGATGGGAAAAGTCCCTCCTTTATAAAATAAGGAGCTGAATCAGATGATTCCTTAAGATTCTTTCCTAATTCATTAAGAGCATGGCTTTGATGTATGACAGACTTAGGTTCAATAGCTGGCTATGTGACCTCAAGCAAGGCATAGCTTCTTTGGGTCTGTTTTTCTCAGCTGAAAAAAAAAAAAAGGTATAGAAGTAATACCTAACTTACGAGATTGTCAGTACTAATTAAAAATGATGTATACACAGTATTTAGCACTGTTATTAGCATTCTCTATTATTTTATTGTTTATATTTTTACTTGAATATTCATTTGGATATAATACTTTTAGTAAGCACTTCATGATTTACAGAGATAATCTAGGTGAAGAATAGAATCTTGGACAATTAAGACAGGTATGAACCAACTTCCCACCCAATACAGATCTTTGGCAGGTGGTTATCCAAACTCTGCTTGAATATGTCCTGGAACTGCAAAAAAGAAAACAAAAAAATCGATAACCTTATCACCCATTGTTAATTTCTGATATATACTAGTCTAGACTTTTCCTATGCCTTTATACATTTTTTAAAACAAAATAAAATTTTTTTTCTATGCTACATATTTTTAATGAGGTTATAACATTATCATGTTTTGCCCCTAAGGTATTTTACCATCAGTGAGTATAGGTCTGTGGTGTCATTTGTATTGACTATGTATAAATTCATCTGTGACTTAACCATAATTTAACCAATACCCTATTTTTTCTTTTTGCGCATTTGGACATTCATTCATTAAACAAATACTTCATATAGAGTGCCTTCTGTATGTCAGATGCCGTTCTAGGAATTGGGTCTCAGTCTGGAACAGGATATATGTCAGATAACCTAAATTCCGAATTTTTGTTTGTTTTATTTTGTTGGTTGGTTTAATGGAAACATAATAAGGAAGAAATCTGAAATCCCATCAGTCTACAATAGGACCTCTCTTCGATGACATTCTCACCTCTGTCTCTCTCTCTCTGTGTGTGTGTGTGTGTGTGTGTGTGTGTGTGTGTGTGTGTACACCTTTTACTTTCTTTTTTTTTTTTTGGCTACTCTGATAACACTGCAATAGAAGTCTCCTTATGGAAAGTCTTTACAAGTGTCCTTTACTAATCACTTCAGCTAAGGATGGGCCAGAGGCCATGCGTGTTTTCAAGGCTTTGAGTGAGGACTGCCCCCAAGTGATCTCTAGAAAAAATATATCCATTTACACCTTAGTGTCTGAGAGCACTGATTAATCTCTGAGCAACACAATTTTTTTAAACTTTTGCCAGTTTGGTATGCTTGCCTGATTTGTAAGGGAACTGAAAGCACCCTTTTTGGCCTCTGCAACACTTAAAAGTACATCTCACAAGACCCTCTGCCCACCCTTTCCTAGTGCTTAAGTCTTCCCAAAGATGAGGTACAGCATTTCGGTAATAATGAAAAGAGATATCACCACAGTCACTTGAAAAGTGAAGAACTTGGCCTCCTAGTGGGTAACAACCACATTCTAATGCACCTCTTTGCTAAGCCCTTGCTCTTCACAATAATGACAACTCAATACGGATATATTCACACTATTCTCTCTAGTCCCCCGTTTGTCTAACCTTGAAATGTTTGACTTGAAGGTTGATGAAAACAGGATCATATCCTTAAGTAAGGCCTATCTTGGGAATACTATGTCTTTCATAGGTCTAATATGACCTATGATGTGATGGAAAAACCATGGTCCTTATTTTACAGGTGAGTATAGGTGCTTGGAGAGGATAAGGAAATCACCCTGATCCAATAGCTGGTAACCTGCGAGGTAAGTTGAAGCCCGGTGTTCTTTGGTGTACTAGTTATCCAGTATAAACATCATGTATTTGTAGTTATAAATTCACTTAATGCATACTTAGTGAAGGTCTATTATTTGCAGGGAACAGCCCTAGTGTTGATAATTCATGTGTGAATCAGACACGTTTTTCAAGATGAGAGGCTATTTGATTCATCACTTACTGAGGACATACTATATGCCAACTATACAGAGTAGTAAAGAGTAGTAAGACATAGACTCTACCCTCAAAGAGCTTATAGTCTAGTGGATATATGTATATAAACCGTAGAAATATAAAGTTGAATGCTCAGTGGTATGGTGGATATTCCAAGATGCTTTCCTAAACAGTGCATGTGTGATTATGCCCAGCGTTTATTTCTTTAGGTATTAAAAACTGCTAGATATTCCATCTATGTCAATTATGGTGCTTTTGATAGCAAGTAATAGAAAATCCTCATAAGGAAAACTCACATAGCTGGAAGTCCAGTTAGAGTCAGCTCTAGATGTGATGATATCATAGGGTCACTGATTTCATCCAAGACTCAAGTTATTTTCATCTCAGCTTTCTCGTCCAGGACTGATGAAGCCCGTCATGTGCTTGCTTGTTAAAGTCCAGCGGAAGAGAGAGAAACCATTCCCTGGGCATGGACTCTTAGTCCCCTTTTTAAAGGTCTGATTGAGCCAAATTAGGTTATATGTATTTTTATGGACCAGTAATAGTTATCAACAGAATACCTTATGCTGATTGGCTTACACAAGATCCGCCCCCTTCATCCCACCCCTGCTTAGATCCATGTGCAGGTTTGATATCTGGACAAAACAAATTCCGTCACAATTGAGGAAGAGGTAAATGGATATTGAATAGACAACCAGATTTCCACTACACCATCTTGTTCACCTAACAGGTCACCCTGAACAGTCAAATTGAGTTTATGGAGGAATTCCTCTCATAGTTTGCTCAAACTTTAGAAAGAAAATTATTGGTAGAGCAAAATAATTCTGATGTTCAGTTTTTATAGAATGTGACAATTAGCAGATGTTCAGAGAACTGTTCCCTGAAGAGTTGTCCTTAGTGAGATCTGAATTAGGATGCTTTCAACTGGAAGCAGTAGAATACCCAACTACACTGACACAAGCAATACAGAAAAGTAATTTACCTCCCTGTTAGGAAGTTTGGAAATTAAAAGCTCCTGGTTTGAGATAGTGGCTCAGTGGTGCTTTCAAGAACTTAGTCTTGGCTGGGTGTGGTGGCTCATGCCTGTAATCCCAGCACTTTGGGAGACTGAGGCCAGAGGATTGCTTGAATCCTGGAGTTCAAGACTGGCCTGGGCAACATAGTGAGAACCTGTCTCTACAGAAAATAAAAACATTAGCTCGGCATGGTGGTACATGCCTGTAGTTCAGTTACTTGGGAGGCTGGGGTGAGAAGATCGCTTGAACCCAGAGGACTGAGGCTGCAGTGAGCCGTGATTGTGCCGCTGCATTCCAGCCTGGCTGACAGAGCAAGGCCCTGTCTTAAAAAAGCAAGCAAACAAAAAAACCTAGGCTTGTTCTATTTTTCTGCTCTTTACCCTTCTCATCCTTAGGCATATCCTATCTCATGACTATGGTAACTTCAAGCATTACATCGTCACGCAACTATTCAAGCCTGGATGAAAGGTAGGCCTGCTATCTACCAGGGAGTATACTTTTTCCCAGAAGCTCCCCCACGTACTTCCTCTTACATCTCATTGCTCACAGGTCTACTTTTGTGCCAGTCGCTATCAAGGGGAATGAGATATTGTGCTTGGCTTCAACCAATCTTAGTTCAGGCTCTGGCAACTTGGGGAAAAGCCCACCTTCCTTAACATATTACCCAAGCAAAATTAGATTTGCATAAACTGAAGAAAAAGGGGAAATGGCTATGGAAGACAACCAATAGTGTCTGCTTAAGTTCAACTTGACACTATGTGTCCAGAGCATAAAATTATGCCTCTGTTCTATTTTAGTATCTATACTAGGAAAGTGTTAACCCCAAGCTCAGTGTTTCTCAAACTGTATGTGGTGAAGAACCAGCTTTTTTCCCCTCAATTCATCACAGACCCAACACTAGGAAAATGAAATAAACCCATATAGATTTAAAAATATGCTATACAAACCCAGAATTTTTGTTAGTTCAAAGGCCATAGTTTCTCTGTGAAATTGCTATAAAAAATGTCTAAAGTCACAATTTCTGTCCTTACCCCAGCATGAACCAGCATGGACAAGTAACAAACAGTTTGAAGACCAGGCTGAGTTCATGACCACACTTGTTGACTCTGGTGACTTCATAAGATGGCCCCCGCCTGCCTCGCCTGCCTCTTGTCTGCTGCTCCTTTTGATTCACCTACAACAAGCTGTTCTCTGTTACCAGAATATGCCACGTATTTTGTTTTACTTCTGGGACTGACTTTACAATCTGTTCTTTCTTCCTGGAATGCCCTCCTCTAGCTGGGGAAAACCTACTCATCTTTTTAGACCAGATTAAAAGTCACCTTCCCTGTGATGTTTTCTCGTGGAAAAAAATATTTTTTTAAGAGACAGTGGTCTCACTATGTTGCCTAGGCTGGTCTCAAACTCCTGGGCACAAGTGATCCTCCCATCTCAGCCTCCCAGAATACTAGGATTATAGACATAAGCCATCACGCCCCCAACCTCATGAATTTTAGTTAGGTTATAGCAGTATAGTAAAAGTCCCTATGGATTGAATTATTTGCTCCCTCATAAGTGTTTTTTCTTTGAATCCTAAGTACACTTATTTTATTGGATTACAGTTTCTGAGTCAGTATCCGGGATAGACTGAAAGTTTCTTGAAGTGATAATTGTCTTATTCATCTTTATATCCCCTGTTCTTGGAACACATAGTCTGTCCTGAATAAATGCCTATTGAATTGAATCAGCTCAACAAATGAGAAAACTTATGTTTCTTTCCTTTTTTCTTTCCCAGTTGTTTTTTATTGTGTTCTGCCTTCATGTTTGTGTATTTCCTTATAAGAACATACCATTTTGACAGACAATACATTTTTTCTTTCCTTTTCTATCAAATCTGGACTTACACAAGACACAACTTTTCATTGTTGTGTTCTGATCACAGGTCCTATCCTGTGGGCATCAATGTCACTATTACTGCAGGCCACTATTACTGCAGTGTAATGTCACTATTACATGCACCCATGATTCTCTGACACGTATGCCACCCTGGCAATGTACTCAAATTTCCAGCAGCAATAGATGAGCTTGTATATGCACACATGTAAACTCCCAAAAGTACCTGGTAGGATGTTATTAATATACTGTAGAGAATATACAATTCAGAGACACACTGACCTAGGCTTTAATCCTTATTCACATACTGACTAGCTTTGTGACCTTGGGCAAGTTCCTTAGCCTCTCTGAGCCTGCTGCTTCTATTAAAACAAAAAATAGGTATAGTAAGATAACATAAAACAATAGCTGCTTGATAAATGTTAGTCCCCTCTGCTGAGATAGCACATATGTGGATTGACAGGAAAGCAGGCTGAGTGCAGTCTGGACAGCAGGACAAGTGAACCATAGAGTTAATGGGTCTGCCTGTCTCTTTAATGGGTCAGGGCCAACCTATTTGGCAGGTCTCCTAAGAAAGATGAGCTGCTTTGAAATTGTATCTTGGGCAGAGCTTTGGTTGCTTCTTCATTTCTATGCTTCTGACTTCCCTGCTTACAGCTGGCAGGGACAGCTACTCTGGAAGCTCAGGGGCTGCATGTCTGTGATAGAAGGATGAGCAGCTGCTGCTTGTTAAAGTAGGGGGGTTGTTTGGGAGGCAGGCAAGTGATGTAAAAACAGTATATGGAAATCCCCAAACCCCACTGTTAAAATGATGTCAGGGGTCCAAATCATGTCCATGGAGTGACCTCAGTGACATTTCTTCTCCAAATACTCTAGCTCTTTACTGATTTTTTTCCTCTTAACTTAGAAAGGAGGAAATAAGGTATATATTTGTTGGTCAGATGATTTTAATGAGGTTAAGAAAAAACTGGCTTCCTTCAACATGCCATGCATTTTCATGCCTCTGTGCCCGTGCTTCTGCTGTTCTCACCACTAGAAATGCTGTTCTCCCCACTAGAAATGCTATTCTCCCTCTACCTGCCTGGTGAATTCAACCCCTAAACCTCAAATTAGAGGCCAGCCCTTCTTTGCATCTTCCCTCCCTGATGCCACCCTTCCTTCTAGGCTGCCACCATCCTTCAAAGTTAACTTGGTTGTTGTGCTTCACATACTGAACTGCCTTTGTTTTTTGAGGTCTCTTTACCCTAACAGGGTGAAAGTTTCTCTTGAGGATCTTTGATGCCCAAGGGCTTAGCTCATAAAAGGCACTCAATAAATATTTGTTGAGTGAAAACATCTCCTTCTCACCATATTTGACAATTTTGAATTTCTCATAAATTTTCATCAAGTTATAGCAGTATAGTAAAAGTCCTTATGAATTGAGTCCTTGATTAGTTCTGGGAGGTTACTGAGCACCCCGCCTGTACTTCAGGGGCGATAGGAGTAATGGGAGTAAGTGCTAACCCAGCAGCAGGGAGGAAGAATCAAGGAGTCATTTGGAATCCAGAGAGTCACATTTCTTTTTCTTTCTTTCTTTCTTTCTTTCTTTCTTTCTTTCTTTCTTTCTTTCTTTCTTTCTTTCTTTCTTTCTTTCTTTCCTTCCTTCCTTCCTTCCTTCCTTCCTTCTTTCCTTCTTTCTTCTCCTTCCTTTTTTTTTTTTTTTTGACAGAATCTTGCTCTGTCACCCAGGCTAGAATGCAGTGGCACAATTTTGGCTCACCACAGCCTCTGACTCCCAGGTTCAAGAGATTCTTGTGCCTCAGCCTCCCCAGTAGCTGAGACTACAGGTGCCCGCCACCACGCCCAGCTAATTTTTATACTTTTAGTAGAGACAGGGTTTCCACCATGTTGGCCAGGCTGGTCTCGAACTCCAGCCTCACTCAGGTGATCCACCCGCCTCAGCCTCCCAAAGTGCTGCGATTATAGGCGTAAGCCACTGTGCCCAACTAACATTTCTTAGCCTAATGTTTGCATACTCCAGCTTTATCTCTTGGCAGCCCAAAGTAGATTCCTAGGTTCAACCAGAAGTTCCTTGAAAATTGTCAGACTTCATAGAAGTGTGGAGTTGGGAGTCATGGATCTAGTACTGTACTTCCACTTACTGGCAAACCCCTTGGGACAGAGTATTAAGTTTGACAGACTTGGGTTCAAATCCTGGCTCTGCCACTTAGACCATCTGTGGGAGCTTGTTACCTCTCTGAGCCTCAGTTTCTTCCAGATCTAGAAGGAGAATAATATTTATTTTGAAGGATTGTTGTCACAACTAACTTATAAGTGTATAAAATGCCTAATCTAGGTTTGGCACTTCATGGGTGTTTAATAGGTGGGAATTATAATTTGGAAGCACCGGAGTGGGTGGGATGATGATCTGGGCAATGTATTATTATTTGTTTACTATTACCAGATCCAGATATATGCAGGGGAAAGCCAGCTTAGAATTCAAAAAGCCACTTTACATAGCTACTTTTGTTAAATGGATGTCAAATAAATACATAATGATATTTGCAGTGTGACTTAATAAAGGCCTTCAGGGGGTTTTCCAGCTTTCACTGTTAGGATTTTTTCTGATAATAGTCCCATACTTTCCTACTCTGATGTGTCCTCACTCAGAAGCACTGTCTGGCTCTCCCCAAAGGGAGCTCGGGACAGTTTCCTGCCTGAGGTGTTCAGGTGAATTCTGTGCTCACTTTTCCTTTCTCTCTCCTTGTCTGTCTCTCTGACCCTGAGGTCTTATCTTGTCCTCTGGGAGGTATGTTAAGTGCTCTGCCAGGCTGCCTGTGCCTGGCCTGTTTTTTCTCACTGCCAGTACCTCTTGGATTCCAATTCCAAACATGGTATCCATCTGGGGTCACCCTTTCTTCCGGTGCCAAGAGAGAACACATTCCAAATGGAACACAAATGTGCCTCCCATGCTGGCTCTCCTCATTCTGCTTGGGAAAAACAGAGAGCAGGATGTGGCCGCATCATCCCACGCTGCTGGACTTTTCAGTCCTGTAGTGCTACTTTCCCTTGGGACTATTTAGGTTTTTCTGCTAAGAACCAAATTTGAAGACTCCCAAGAAACATGGAACCAAGGAAGCTTGCCAGAGCTCTGCAGGGAGAGCCAGAGCCTTGCTGAGACAGCGGGGGTGGTGGGGAGGAGAGAGGGGGGGAGAGGGGGAGAGAGAGAGAGAGAGAGAAAGAGGTTTTTAAATTCTCCATGAAGTGTACTATGTTCCATCATTCCTTCCCAAAGCCACCGGAAGCATTCCTTCTAGGAAAGGTGGAGTCGGTAGTGAGAAGCCGGAGGTGAGAAGACCCCTGAGCGGATGGATTCATTCATTTTCTGAATTTCCTATGTGAGGACAGTATTAGAGCCCAGTGAGGCTTTGAGAGGCCCCAAAGATGAGCGCCAACAGCAGCAGAGTGGGCCAGCTTCTCTTGCAGGGTTCAGCGTGCATTAGGTGGAAGCAGGATGTGGAAGGGGCTGTCTACCACCTAGCCAACTGCCTCTTACTCCTGGGCTTCATGGGGGGCAGTGGGGTGTATGGATGCTTCTATCTTTTTGGCTTCCTGAGTGCAGGTTACCTGTGCTGCGTGCTGTGGGGCTGGTTCAGTGCCTGTGGCCTGGACATTGTTCTTTGGAGCTTCCTGCTGGCTGTGGTCTGCCTGCTCCAGCTGGCACACCTGGTATACCGCCTGCGTGAGGACACCCTCCCTGAGGAGTTTGACCTCCTCTACAAGACGCTGTGCCTGCCCTTGCAGGTGCCCCTACAGACATACAAGGAGATTGTTCACTGCTGCGAGGAGCAGGTCTTAACTCTGGCCACTGAACAGACCTATGCTGTGGAGGGTGAGACACCCATCAACCGCCTGTCCCTGCTGCTCTCTGGCCGGTAAGCTACTCTATCCATTGCCCAGAATTTCTTTCCCCAGCCCACACTTCTCATTTCCTAGTGTGTCCCTTTCCATTTCATGTCCCTTTCCATTTCGTGTCCCCTTCCATTGAGGGAAGGATGTGACAAGTCAAACAAACCAAAATAGATTTTTCTAAGAGTGGGGTTGCTTCCTCTTTCTTGGCATTTTCCAAGAAGAAACCAGTTCATGAGGCATCTTGGTTGGCAAGAATGATTGTATGTGCACTTGCTGCTGGAAGGTGTGCAGTGCGTGTGTCTTGAGCCTGGGCCTTAAATAACCCCTCTACCATCACCACACACATATCAGTGTGTCATGCCTAAGCTGCAGCAATATCTCTGTAAGCTTTGAAAAACTAACATTTCAATAAGGTTAATCTGTTCCTTACTCAAATTCAACATTTGCTAAGCACCAACTGTATTCAGGGAACAATGCCAGAAATGGGAGGTCGGGATAGCGGGGTGGTTCTCATAACCCCTGTTCCCTGCCAAGGCATCAAGCAAACAGCCCCACTTGTGTTTGGGGTAGCTGTATGTAGCCAGGTAGGGAGAGTGAATACCCCTTGCCCACCTTTCCATTTCCAGTTGTTCTATTGAGGTTCTTGAAGACTAAGAAGTCAAGTACAGTACTGTAAATCTGAGGGCCCAACAATGGGAGAAGAGAAGTGATACACCTATCTCATCAAGGCTTTTGTGGAAGCACCGCCTCTTTTGGAGAAGGCTGACAGTCAGATATGGGCAGAAATGGTCTTAGTCAGGATCAGTGTATGCCCAGTCAACCTGGATGTGAATGTTGGGCATTGATTTCTTCTGAGAAAACATCACGGGGCTCTGTGCTACACACTTAGTAGGCAATTGTGGATTTTTTTATACTGCCCTAGTGGCTCTTGAGCCCCACAACCCCCACTCCACCAGCTTTCTTGAGACCAGGAGAATGTGATAGAAAAGGTAAGATGGCAATTAGAAGGCTCCAATTCCAAGAAAAAAAAAAAAAAAAAGCAAATCCAGATAATACTGCCAACCACACAATGGAGAAAAAAGTTTGACAATGATGCTAATGGTACTACAACTACCACTAATAGTAATAATACGTGTTTGTGTATTCATTTATAGAACCTGAAGTATCATGTATATATGTTTTGATTTTGTTTGAACTCAGAGGTCCTGGATAGAGTGAGCTAGGAGGGGAGACATTTTGTGAGGGTACATTTCATTTCATTTATTGGTGAACTGAAAGTGTAAACCAATGCGATTATTTGTAAACAGATATAGATGTAAATACAAATACATATAACTATTGTGAAAATGTTTGCACCTATAGTTCCATGCTTAAAGACAATTTAGGGAACTTGCTCATTCATGAGACCCATGATGTTATAGCTCGTCTGTTCAAAGGAGGAAATTGAGAGCAGCAGAAGTGCTCCCTCCAGTGTAGGGTGCCCATTTGCTGGAAGCATGTATGGTTACTGTATAGTTCAGTTAGGATAGATTTACTGTGAACTTGTATAAGATCACTTCCCAGTGAAGGGGAGAGGGGGGCTTGCCCTTGGTGTAGCTTTTCCTGGTATACTTAGCATCAAAAGGCTGAGTCAGAAATTAGACAATTTTGATTTTTTTTTTTCCTGCCTTTCAAGGTTTGGAGTAAGAGTTTTGTTATCTTTCAGTGTCACCCTGTCTCAGCTTTGCTGAGCTGGACATAGAGGAAAAGGCTTCTAGTCTATGACTGGGCTCTAGTTTTAAAGGAGAATCACTGAACCTTGGGCTGGTTACAGTAAGGGACCAAACATCTCAAAGCAGCAGACAAGAACTTTGTGCCAGGAAGTGGGGACTCTTGTGCAGACTTCCACATCTCACATGCACACTGTTCTCTAGAGTCCTTCACTCAAACCTCAGAAGTCTTTTTGTTTTGTTTTAATAAAGGAAACCAATCTCTTTCAAAACTCAGAGAGGGAAAGTGACTTTCTCAAAGTCTATCACCCTGTTAAGCAGCGCTTAACTTAGACGTTTCTCTCATATAAAATTCAAAACACAAACTTCCATATATACAACCCCCTGAGCAGGCAACTAACTATCTAAGCTATTCATTTAGGAGAAGATCATCCATCTTCCAGTAGATCAAGAAGGAAGAAGAAACAGATGATAAAGGGCACAGCATTCCGATTTAAATGGCTTCAGCGAGCCACGAAGATCATTAGACATTATCTACACTCTACGGTTGTCACTCTTTGGTGGCTTGCCTGGGTGGCCGAAATCCTCGCCTAAGGAGCTGACATATGCTGCAGCAGCGCCATTCTCTTCTGCTGTCTTCCTTTGCTATGGAAGCTTTTCAGTGAGGTTTTGATCCCCTTTTATGGTGACACAAGTGAGTTTGTTCCTTGGTTTCCTTTGTTCATTTATTCATCCTTACTTTCTTGCTTCCTTCTTTCCTTCTTTTCCCCCTTCCATACATATTTATTCAGAGTCTTGAATAAAGCTCCTGTCTTCCAGCTTTAGGTTGTCAGATAATAGGTGCAATTGTTTTTTTAATTGGTGCTGGTCTTTGGTAATTTGTATACACGCATGTATACCTAGGCATTCATTAAGAGCAAGGCTCAGGAGTGCTGATATCCCATTGGCCAGGACTTATCACTTGCCTATGCCTAGCAGCCAGGGAAGTAGAGAAATGTTGATTTTTTTCTCTGCAGTCATGTGTCCAGTTAAAATCTAGCACCATTAAGGAAGAGAAGAAAGCAGATACTGGAGAACAGACTGCCACACTGGATTTCCCAGGTCTTTGTTCATTCTCATCTTTATCTGCTTCTCAATACCCTTTGCATCCCTCAAAATTCAGCTCAAATGTCATCTCCTTCGAGAGGTCTGCTGCCCAAAGAGAACCAATCTTTCTCTCTCCTCTGTTACTGTTCCACAATAGCACCTATCACATTGACTTGCAGCCAGTTATTTATGTGCCTGTGACTTCCACTAAATTGTGAAATCCTCAAAGACAAAGACCAGATTGTGCCCATCTCTGCATTCCCAGATCTCCAGAAACATGAGAGATGCTCCAGAAATATTTGTTTAGCCAATAAACCTCCAGAAATAATGGAAGGATATCTCCCCCAAATGAACAAGGTGTACCTTAGAGATCTTTTTCATCTTCCCCCTTTGCCTAATAGAGGCACCCCTATTGCCTGATATAACTCACTTTAGAAGAGAGGTTAAAGATGAAACTCTGAGTTTTCTGGGCAGGGGTCGGGTTGGGGGAAGGATAAAGCCCATACTGGATTCTAATCTTCTTCCAGATGTGGCCTCACATCTGAAATACACTCCCTGTCCTCAGGCATCATCAATGACATGCCATCAGTTCTAACAAGTTC
Organism: Homo sapiens; assembly: GCF_000001405.40. Classification (NCBI taxonomy): domain Eukaryota; kingdom Metazoa; phylum Chordata; class Mammalia; order Primates; family Hominidae; genus Homo; species Homo sapiens. The sequence continues at coordinate 119,656,558 of NC_000003.12, read as the reverse complement.
TCATGGAATGCAGTCTTTTTACCCTGCAGGGGCAGAGCACTAGGCTAGGTACAGCCACAAGGGTACAAAGGCACCAAGCAGCAATAGTAAGGCTCCTAACCCCTTAAGTTGTGAAACCAAGCCTGTGGTCATGGGCAAGTCAAGAGCAGTTAATGACTTAAGACTTAAGACTTAAGAATATTCATAAAATTAAAGCAAATAATTCGGATTTCTGGCTGCAGCCACAGTAACCCACTCTAGCCAACAGAAGGGGGAAAAAAGGTCTTTATTTAAAAAAATACAAGGATTTCTTATGAAACTCAAGGAAAGACATGCACCTAAGCCTCAGGTAGTGCTAGAAACAAGAACATGTCCTACTAGGACATTTTATGTGATTTCAAGTTTATTTTCTCTATAGCCAATTGGGACCCATGCTTTTCAAAGTCTGAGTTACGTGATAAAAAAAAATTTTTTTTAGTTCCTTCAGGGAGGAGTGTGTTAGTTTTGTTAATAATGCCTGATAATTGTCCCCATCCAAGGCATGATTTACACGCAATTCCATTTCCAAATTCCCAGGGAAGGAGTTTGATTGGCTCAGCTTGAGTCAGGTGTTCACTCTAGGACCATCAGCTGGATAGGGTGCATGGGATCTCATTGTCTAAAGAAACAAGCTGTTATTGTCACCTACGGTTAGAGAGGTCCGGGAAAGGGTCATGCTAGGAGAGTCCACTACCATCTACCCAAAGCTGTAGTAATAGGGTGGCAACATGGTGTTGTGCTAAGAACATAGAATTTTAGTTCCGCCACTTGATCGCTATGTAGCCTTAAGCTCGCCACTCAACCCTTCTGAGCACCAGTTTCCTTAGCTATAAAATACAGAAAAGAATAATCTACCTTGTGGTGTTGTGAACATTATATAAGAGAACACTGGTAAAGTGTCTAGCAGAGTCTGGCATATGGTAGACTTGCCACTTCCTTCAAAGTCTACAAAGTGGTTAAATGTAAGCATGAATCTTCATGTAGCTAATGGGAAGGGAGAAAGGAGAATCTGTGGAGCAGCGGATCCAACAGAACTTTCTGTGATGACAGAAACGTTCTAGATCTATGTTGTACAACATGGTAGTCACAGGCCATATGTGGCTATTGAACACCCATATTGTAATTAGGTAAGGAACTGAATTTTTAATTTTATTTAATTTTAATTAATGTAAATGTAAACTTAAATAGGCAGCAGCATTCTTTTCTCTTTTTTTGAGACAGAATCTTGCTCTTTTGCCCAGGCTGGAGTGCAGTGGTGTGATCTCGGCTCACTGCAACCTCCACCCCCGAGTTCAAGTGATTCTCTTGCCTCAGCCTCCCAAGTAGCTGGGATTACAGGCACCCGCCACCATACCTGGCTAATTTTTGTATTTTTAGTAGAGATGGGGGTTTCACTCTCTTGGCCAGGCTGGTCTCGAACTCCTGACCTTAGGTGATCCACCTGCCTCAGCCTCCCAAAGTGCTGGGATTACAGGTGTGAGCCACTGCGCCGGGCCAGCAGCAGAGTTCTTAAGCAGTAGTTTCTATCTTGGCTACACATTAGAATCACTGGGGAGATGTAAATACTAATAATATCCAGTTCCTACCTAGAGAGATTCTTGTTTAATTGCTCTGGGATAAGGCCCAAGCCTAGGTGCTTTTTTTTAAAAGCTTCCCTGGGACTTCTACTCTGCAGCCTGAAATTGAGAACCACCAGTAAGGAGAAGGAGGAGGAAAAATGAGGGTTCTGGAAGTCTCAATGGGTTCCTTTTCTGAACTACTTGCATGCAGTAATTAGGCTGGCTAGTCTAGCTTTGGGTTTTACCATGCTTTAGGCAAAGTATTTCTACAGGAAGATTCATGTTAATCAGCGACACCTAACTTCAGCATAGGTGGCTTGGAGAGCCATTTTCCTTTTCCCACATGATCTCTTCTCTTCCCTTGCCAGGGTTCGTGTGAGCCAGGATGGGCAGTTTCTGCACTACATCTTTCCATACCAGTTCATGGACTCTCCTGAGTGGGAATCACTACAGCCTTCTGAGGAGGGGGTGTTCCAGGTAACAGGGAGCCTGGTGGCAGCACCGCCTCACCCCATCCCACTGTAGCCCAGCAATATCCGTGCCTCCATGTTTCCCCTCTTACATCTGTCCTTCGCACCCCTGCCAGTGTGAAGCTACAGGCGGGGGCACTCTTCCTCTGAAAAGAGTTCCTGGGCTCCTAGCCATAGGTGAGGTAGGGTAGGAAGATGCTGGCCCCTGGGTAGACCATGTTACTTGTATGCTTAAACTCTTCTGGAAGACCCTAGTGCCACAACATAAAAACCCACACTTGTTATAGGGTAACTTAAACCTTTTAGTGCTCTCTAGTCGCATTTCCAGCTCTCCCTCCTTCATATTTTTTGCTCATACTAGCCATGCTGAACCACTAGTACTTCCCTAAACACACCACATTGTTTTGCAGCTCTATGCCTTGGCCCCTACTCTCCCCTCTGAAATGCATTTCCCCTTCTAGATGAGACCACGGAACCTCACTTCCACTGTGAAGCCTGCTTCCACCCCACAGCCTCACCAGCTTCCACCCCACAGCCTAGCACTCCTGTGTGCCTGTTCTAGTCCTTTTACTTATGCTAACTGGTGCACATCTTGCTGTCTGTTCTAATAATCTGGTCTCCTTTCTGTCTTCTGCACAGTGAACTCTGAAGTACAAATCTAGGCTTTTCCCTCTCTGTTCCCAGACTCTAAAGGAAAGTACCTGGAGCACAGCAGCTGTTCAGTAAAGAATTGCTTGCCGGGCGCGGTGGCTCACGCCTGTAATCCCAGCACTTTGGGAGGCTGAGGTGGGTGGATCCTGAGGTCAGGAGATCGAGACCATCCTGGCTAACACGATGAAATCCCGTCTCTACTAAAAATACAAAAAATTAGCCGGGCATGGTGGCGGGCACCTGTAGTCCCAACTACTTGGGAGGCTGAGGCAGGAGAATGGCGTGAACCCGGGAGGCGGAGCTTGCAGTGAGCCGAGATTGCGCCACTGCACTCCAGCCTGGGCGACAGAGTGAGACTCCGTCTCAAAAAAAAAAAAAAAAGAATTGCTGAACTGGTTTGCCACTGGGCAGCTGGTGTCCCAGAGGACTCCATGGGGCATTCACATACATGCTCCAATGCAGGTTCCTGGCTGCCTGGCCCCTACTCTTCTTATCTCTGCCAATCCCTCAGGCTTTGGTCACTTTCTTTGTAGCTCTCACTTATTGAATGGCTAGCATGTGGCAGGCACTACGTATCATATTGCCTCATTGATTCTCATAACAACTCTATGGGTTGAATATGATTATTACTCCATTTAACAACTGAGGAAACTAAGGCCCAAAAACATCAAGTAATTTGCCCAGGGTCTTCAGCTAGAAAGTGACAAAGCCAAGTTGCCTGGATCTACCATTTCTGTTCTTTATTAAAATGGGAAGGTCACCAGAAGAGTAGAGTTTACACACACACATACACACACACACATGCACACGCATGCACACACGCGCACACACACTCACTCACCCTTTTAAGGACTCCCCTGCCTGGATAGTTTGCTGGACCTGGAAACACTGGATTCCATGTGTCTCCTACTACTTTTATCAGGGAGTCCCTCAAGCCAACATATGAGCCAACCCCGGAACAGACACACACCGGGCAGTGCTACCTGGCAGGGCCTGCTTCTGCCCCCACCCTGACACTTGGCTCTGTGATGATGGAGCCTGAGAGGCAGTCCTGATCCCACTGCCAGGGTCACCAGCCACAGATCCACTTCCATCATGTTCCTACCCTGACCTCCGTCCACACACCCTCCCTAACTAGTCCAGAAACCTTCTTCAGGAACTCTCTCAGGCACATGAGAACCTCCAGGAGGGCTCAGTCAGGACCTGAGCCAGCTGGACCAGGCCTCTTTCTGACACTGACACGGAGGAACAGGTGGTGGGTAAGCCGGGTGTCCTCCCCTAAGTTACGCTCAAGAGGAAGGGCTGTAACCTCACATGGCCTCTCAGCCTGGAATGTAGGTATGGTCATGTTCCTCCCATTTATATTTTTAGCGTGTACCTCCTTTGGGAGTAATGAGAGCCACACATTTGCTATTGGCTGTGTAAAGTCCCATTTCCTCTTTGCAAATGTCAAGTGTTATCTTAAGTTAGAGTTCATCCTGTCCTTGCCTTTTGCAATTACATAGTCTTTGTTGACTGAGAGCAATCCACAGTGACAGCCTAAATTATAATTCACATTGTACCTAATATAAATCAATCAGCATTCCAGCACACCTCTCGACAATTCAATTAAGTCAGAATTCATTGTGTGTTCGGCACTGTGACACTCATTAGTCACCAAGAACACAGCACAGGAGGGATCACACAGAAATCATCACTGTTTTTCTAATTTGCATCCTATCTTACTGGACCTAAGTCCTATTTACATAGGTTATCTCATTTAATTCATTCAACCAACATCTGAGATGAGTATTAAAAAAAAAGCTAAATACTTGTCAAAACGTTACAACAGATATGTCTATATATATGGGAGAACCAATCAAGAAGCAGATTTCAGGAGGACCTTTGGGGAAGGATTTTATACAGGACATGAGAAAGCAACATTAGAGGCTGGGCGCGGTGGCTCACACCTATAACCCCAGCACTTTGGGAGGCCGAGGCAGTTGGATTATGAGGTCAGGAGTTTGAGACCAGCCTGGCCAACATGGTGAAACCCCATCTCTATTAGAAAATACAAAAATTAGCCAGGGTGGTGGCAGGTGCCTATAATCCCAGCTACTCGGGAGGCTGAGGAAGGATAATTGCTTGAACCCGGGAGGTGGACATTGCAGTGAGCTGAGATCACACCGCTGTACTCCAGCCTGGGTGACAGAGCAAGACTTCGTCTCAGGGGGGCGGTGGGGTGGGGGAAGAAAGTGACATTAGGTTGTTTTGCAATATACAAGATTGGCTGTCTTCCCTTGATTCATTTATTCACTTCAATAATATTTATTGAAAACTTAGTATATACCAGGCACTGTTAAAAGGATTTGAAATATATCAGTGAACAGAACAGATGAAGGTCCCTCCCCTCATGCAATTTACATTCTAATGGGGGAGACAAAAAGCCATAGGCATAATGAATAAGTAAATTATATAATTTGTTAGAGGATAATCACTGCTAGTTTAAAAAAAAAAACCTAGAGTAGTGCAAGGGAGAAATGGTGGCAATTTTAAATAGGGTGGTCATGGAAATCCTTGTTAAGCAGATAACATTTGAGCAAAAACCTGAGAGAGATGACAGGTGAGGTCTGTGAATATCTGGGAAAAGCATATCAGACAGAGGAAAGAGCCAGTGCAAAGGCCCTGAGGTGGGGCCAGTGTGTTTGATGCACAGAAAGGAGGACAGTGGACCTGGAATGGAGAGAGGAAGGGGAGGGAATAGCAGGAGAGAAAGTTGGAGAGGTGACGAGGTAGCAAGATCATGTAGGGCCATAGCATATATTGTCTAGATACAGCCAAAAGGATTTTCTAAAGGGTTGGATATAGTATGTGAGAGAAAGAGAAGATCAAGGAAGACTCTAAGGCTTTTGGCCTGAGCAACTGGACAGGTGGTGCTGCTGTCAACTGAGACAAAGAAAGCTGCAGGTAGAGCTGCTTTCGGGGGACTAGGAAGTTCAGTGTTTGATGTTAGGTTTGCATCATCTGTGGACATTTGAATGGAGATGCTGCATAGGCAACTGGATATTTAAGTCTGAAATTCAGGAATGAGATCTGGGCCTGAGACATAAATTTGGGAGTTGGTTGTATGCAGATGATATTTAAAGCCATTGGATAGGATGAGCTCACCAAGTGAGTGAGTGTGGATGGAAGAGGGAATGGTTCAAGAGCGGAGCCCTGGGATACTTTAGTGGTGAGGAGTTGGAGAGGAAAGGAGGAAGCAGCAAAGGAGCTTGAAAAGGAACAATCATGAGATTGGGCAAGGAGTGTATGGCATCCTGGGAACCAAGTGAAGAAGATATATCAAAGAGGAAGGGGAAATTGATGGATGCCATGAAAACTGACCATCAGACTCAGCAGCTTAGAGGTCATTGGTGACCTTAACAGGAACAGTCTTTGTGGACTGCTAGGGACAAAGTCTTATTGGTTTAAGAGAGTGAGAAGAGAGGAATTGGAGACAGTTAAGTATAAACAGGTTTTTTTTTCTTCATGAGTTTTGCTAAAAAGGGAAGCAAATTAGTGGAGTGATAGCTAGCCAGGGAAGTGAATTCGAGAAAAAGAATTTTTATTTGTAAAATTTTGTTTTATTTTAAGATGGAAGAAGTACAGCATATTTCTAAGAAGGTTCACAGTCTTTGTGTTTGGCTTTAAGACATTATTTACATTCGGCGTAGTTCTTGCTCAAACACATGTGCTTCATATTTGGTACTCTGATTTCTTGTTTGGGAATTGTTCATAAGTACATCTAAGGTACAGGCCATGGCAGATGTGACAACTACTTGCTGAACTATTAGTAATGGACAGATTGTATTATTTTCAGAATTCTTTCTCATGAGGCAAGAGAGATTAAGTAATTTATCTGACATCATACAACTGATAGAGGTAAAGCTGAAACATGAAACCACTTCTGGCCTCGATAACGTAGTTTAGGTCCTGATTGCAGTGCTAGCAATTAGTGGAGAAAAGTTGAGAGGAGGAAATGAATAAAGGACGTGGGGGAGGGGTATAGCAGAAAGGAAAGAAGAGAAGAGGAGGGTAATGGGAGATCCAGTAGGCAATACAGGAATGAAAAGGATTATATATAATCTCTAATAAAGAATGTTTGGAAAGCTACCCTACTTTAAATTTGACAATTCATATAAAGTGCTTAACACAACGCCTGGCACCTCTTGACAAATATTAGCTGCTAACATCATTATCATCATCATTTCCACTGTCTCCATCCACAAAAATATATCATGAACTCTGCCAGCCCAAAGTATTAGGGTCAATTAGATTATTAAAAATTGTGTGATTCTGCACCCTTTTCCTGCACTGTCCTAAGCATGTTTCCATTTTAACCCCAGCTTTACCACTTATCATTATTTTAACAAGGATTTATCAAACACCTGCTGCATGCTAGGCACACGTTATTGCTTATTTCCCATGCAAGCGTAATTTAGCTTTGCATCATGGGCACATAGTGAGTACTCAGAAATTCCTAGATGAATAAACAAATGGAGAATGGGGTGCCCTTTGATTTTCTACCCTTTAGAGTTTGTCTTCCGCTATGCCCTTTTTCTGATTTCAGTCATCAGATCCTTTTGGTTACTTGAAATGGCCAAGTTACGAGCAATTTCGTAACTTGCTCGTATCCCAACCTGAATCCCAGGCTTGGGATCCTGATGTAGCTTGGCATACCTCATCAGAAGCTTTTTCTCAAACTCAACTTTCCAACTCTTTTTATGTCCCTACCCCAATATCTTACCCTTCCTCATTCTTAAAATGAATAGTTGTCAGCATTTCAACCACTCTTCAGAGCACAAGAAGGCCCCTTCTTTCTCTATCTTAAAATCATAAGACTCAGAACTTTCTGCAGTCATTAGTGGCATTAGCCACGGAACCACAGAATTACAGTTGAGGAAAGTGGATGTGGAAACTGAGGCTTCAGGAGGTGATGGGTGAGTGAGTGAATGGCTGATCCCAGGGCTCCTGACACAGGACCCCCCCATATCAGTGCACACAAGTGAAAGTCATCCACTAGACCTCCTCCAGGCAAGGCCATAGAGGGGTACTCCCACACAGCTTCTTCAGTAAAAGTACAGCTGTTTGCCAAGTGACTGAATGATCTCTGTGCTCAGCATGGACAAATTTTCTAGTTTAAACTTTTATTGTCTGCTTCTGACCCCTCTCAGGTCACTCTGACTGCTGAGACCTCATGTAGCTACATTTCCTGGCCCCGGAAAAGTCTCCATCTTCTTCTGACCAAAGAGCGATACATCTCCTGCCTCTTCTCGGCTCTGCTGGGATATGACATCTCAGAGAAGCTCTACACTCTCAATGACAAGCTCTTTGCTAAGTTTGGGCTGCGCTTTGACATCCGCCTTCCCAGCCTCTACCATGTCCTGGGTCCCACTGCTGCAGATGCTGGACCAGAGTCCGAGAAGGGTGATGAGGAAGTCTGTGAGCCAGCTGTGTCCCCTCCTCAGGCCACACCCACCTCTCTCCAGCAAACACCCCCTTGTTCTACCCCTCCAGCTACCACCAACTTTCCTGCACCTCCTACCCGGGCCAGGTTGTCCAGGCCAGACAGTGGCATACTGGGTGAGGACTCCACCAGTCTGGTGCTGGAGGATTTTGAGGAGGTGTCAGGATCAGAATCGTTTATGGATTATAGGAGTGATGGGGAGTACATGAGGTGAAGGGAGAACTAACATGGGCACAGCCACCGGCTCAGGATCCTATGTAAGTACTCAGAAGGCAGCCGCTGCACATTCCTGTCAATGGCTGGCCTTAACTCAGCTTGTTAGGGCAAAAAAAATCATTCGTGGAACATTTCCTCTTAGAGGACTCACAGAAAGTGGCATTAACCCAACTTTGAAGATAGCAACTCACTCCGGGTGCATGCAAGGCATGAAGGGATTTTAAAAACTCATTCGTTATTAACTTGATTGCATTTTAGAAAGTGGGCTGGTTGATACGTTGAGCAGGAAGGTAGATTGCTGTTTTTTTGCAAGTTTATTCTAATAGCTGAGGCCACAGCTGGGGCTTAAGGGGCTTTTATTTGTGGCATGCATTTTAAAAGAAAAAGAATGTGGCAGGGTTCTAATTCTGATTGCTTGTCTTTCCTGATACAGAGCCCGTCCTGGAAAGCAGTTGTTATTTAGCCTAGACTGGGCAGGCATCTCTGTTAAAACTGCATATTTTAAAGAGGATTGTGATTATGAGCTAATAGCTCGGGGAGGAAAATGTCCTCATCTTGCTTTCCTCTCACCCAGTGGAGAATGTGTTTGTTGATCACACAGACAGAGGACTAGATACTGCTATGATTAAATGTTACTATGATCAGATAGGTATATGGCAGCCTGGCTTTCCCCAGTCACCCACACCTGTGGGAGGTAGGATGTGCATAAATCCTGGAGGGCCTAACAGTGCGTGCAGGATTTCCCTCACAGAATTTCCCTCCCAGAGAGTCTACAAGAAAGGCTGTGCCCAGTGGTTCTGGGAAATTGCTCTCATGTTTCCCTGGCTGCCCTCATAATACTGTGATGTTTTTCTCTGTAACTCCACCCAACCATGATGTAGGCCTGAATTTCCTGAGGAAAATCCCATTGTTCCCAATTTGGAAGGCGCCTCCCATGGTTCTTCAGAAAGCACCAATAAATTACCTGAGAAACTAGCCCAGTGAGGAAGGCCTCCAGAGTACATGAAATGAATGAGTGAATGTTTGTCTATTTTGAAAAACAGGTTATATAAATGATGAAAGAGGCCATAGAGATGACTGATGAAAGGTTAGAGATTTAGTTTTGTAGATATGGAATTTACAATCTCCTGTGTTACCAGCATCCTTAGAACCATAGTTCAGCTCATTCTGAGGTAATTCCAAGGATCAATCTAACACCCCAGATCACTTTGTTGAGTTCCCCGAAGTGTGCATTGACAACTCTGATCACTCCTTTCCCTCTGTGCAGCTGTTCGCCTTCCTACTCGTTCATCCTGCATCCACGCATGCTCCTTATGTCCTATGGATCCCTCTTGGTCCAACTTGCCCATCCACCTATACACTCTCTCTTCGACTCACAGCAGCTCTCTGTTTTCTCATGTTGTTCTTCCTGGTTTTCTTCTCTTTTCTTGGTTCTATTTTTCTCTTCTTTCTTCTCCAATTTCTTCTCAGTCCTTGATTGCCTCAGTTTGATGTTCTGTTCTTTTTTCCTTTTCTTTCTTGAGACAGGGTCTCACTCTGTCACTCAGGATGGAGTGCAGTGGCATGATGTCGGCTCACTGCAATCTCTACCTCCAAAAGCTCAAGCGATCCTCCCATCCCAGCCTCCCAAGTAACAGGGATTACAGGCACATGTCGCTGTGCCTGGATAATGTTTAATTTTTAAATTTTTTTGTAGAGACAAACTCTCCCCATGTTGCCCAGGTTGTTCTCGAACTCCTGGGCTCAAATAATCCTCCTGCCTTGGTCTCCCGAAGTGTTAGGATTACAGGCATGAGCCACCATGCCTGGCCAGTTTGCTGCTCTTAAGTGTCCATTTTCTATGTCTTCTCAGTTCATTTCTCCCTCTTCACTTGTCTCTTGTTTTCTTCCATTTTATTGTTCATATATTTATCTCTCCTATTACCTCCTTTTTTCTTTTTCCCACCTTTTTTGCCTTGCTGTATCTATTCTTCCTCCTAAACACCCTGTACCCCCATCTTATTAGTTTTTAATCCTAACTCTTCCAAAGATCAGTACTTTTCCCTCTGCCTATAAAGAAAACCATTCAAGTGAAGGTGTAAAATCCCCAGCTTTAGGAATGTTTTCCAAACATCAGGAGGCAGGCAGCATGGTAAATGAGAAAGAGGCCAGGACTGGGAGTCCAAAGTCCTGGCTTCTATGTCTGGCTTTGCTACTAATCAAATATGTGACTTTTTGCAAACCATACCTCACTAAACCTTACTTTCTTCATTTGAGCGTGTTGGACCAGCTGTCCCCAGGAACCCCCTTGGATTGATCTGAGAAGGCAAGGATAAGTTTTTCAAAGGAAGAAAAGAGGAGTAGTCAGTCCGCAGTACAGTAGACACAAGCCCCAGGACATCTGAGTGTCTTTCAGCAAGAACTCTCTGTGATATTTCACTACAATTTCTCTGGCACCTTGGGACTCTCCTCAGCCCTTGTGGTGGTGGGTCTTGTTTAACTAGCAGTTCCCTCCATTCTATGCCTGTGAAGAATCTATCACCTACCATGTGATTACAGTGCAGATTTTTTTTTCCTTTTCCTTTTCTTTTTCTTTCTTTTTTTTTTTTTTTTTGTTTGAGACGGAGTCTCGCTTTGTCACCCAGGCTGCAGCGCAGTGGCGCGATCTCGGCTCACTGCAAGCTCCGCCTCCCGGGTTCACCGCCATTCTCCTGCCTCAGCCTCCCGAGTAGCTGGGACTATAGGCGCCCGCCACCGTGCCTGGCTAATTTTTTCTATTTTTAGTAGAGACAGGGTTTCACCGTGTTAGCCAGGATGGTCTCCATCTCCTGACGTGGTGATCCGCCCGCCTCGGGCTCCCAAAGTGCTGGGATTACGGGCGTGAGCCACTGCGCCCGGCCTACAGTGCGGATATTTTATGAGAGAGGAGATCACAACTCAGTCCCCAAGCCCTCAACCCTTAATACATACTATCGTATGAAATGCCTCTTTCCAAATTCAGCCTTTTCTAAAACTCAAGATGAGAAAACTGCTGATGAGGCTCACTTTCTAAAATACCGGAATTTGCAATATAGGGAGAATAGTTTTTCATGTTTCTTTGTTTAAGCAATAGAGAGAAAGGAAACTTATGTCGTTTACTTTTCAGGCCATAGAGGTTTTCAGAACAACTTGAAAACATGATCAAATTAGCCAAACTTCTGATAGTTTTCAATGTAGTCTGTGATCATGGGATAATTTAGCCTCAGTTCTTTTTCTGAAATTGTGTTTTGAATGTTTGATTTGACTTATTTACCATCAAACTTGCTATAAGGTTATTACTCTAATGAATAAGCATATTCCCTTAATTGGGAGCAATTTACTATTATTTCTTTCATAAAGTAGGGCACCATTCACCATCTATTTCCTGGCTCTTTAGTTATCAAAATGTTAAGCTCATTGCTATTCATCCCGGCACAGCACTTATATGAGAGGCATGAAGCTGGCTGAATTCTGCATCATTAGGAATGACACAGCCTCATCACATTGACACCAGTGCTTGTCTCTCACACCAATCCAAATTAAGACCAACTGAAAATAGTCAGAGTTTCCTCTGGAGCTCCTTTTTGAAGAGACATATGTTTTTTAGTCTGGTGGTACCCAAAATTGAACAAAAAATGGGTGCTGCTTCTCTTAATAGGCAAAACTATGCTGCAGGATAATGTATTCATGCAGGGTCTTCCAGCCAGACCCCAAATCATCCCTCCCTTCACTAGAATTTTTCTGTTTAATTCGATGGCCACTCTCCACAGGGATCCATTCTGTGTCTTATTACAGGAGATGCTCAATGAATGAGGGACTTATCTTCTAGAAATGCAGCTCCGAGGTAGTCTGTTGAGTGAAATAATGAATCCATTATCACAAAATAAATTGAAAGCTGTCTGACATTTGGACAATTTTTATTTTGTTTCACATTGTTCTGAAAACTATACTGTTTCTTTTCTCCCTATTATTTAAATAAGCAAATGATGAACAGATTACAAAATTGAGGACACTCGAGGTAAGGGAAGGAGCCCCTCGACAGGAGGATCAGGACATAGTACCAAGGGCAAGAGAAACGATTCAATAAACACTATTTACTATATATTTTAGGCATGGTTCTAGGTAATCACATGATAAGTAGTTGAAAGAACTGAAAATGTTTTATCTGCAAGAAAAGGGCAAGTGTAATATCTTCAAATTTTAGAAAGAATGTAAATTAGAATTTGACTTAATTTGGTGTAGTTCTTGTGGGCAGAAATTGAATTGAATAGGCTGAAAGTTATAAGAAGGATTTTAGCTCAGTATTGATACTGGATTGCTCATGGGTGGTGAGAGTTACTCATCACTGGAAGAGTTCAAGCAGGGGCCATAAGAAATCTCAGGGATTTTATAAGGTGATTCATGCTCTGGGAAAAGGATGCCTTGGATTATTGTGTCAGGGTAACTTCTAACTCTAGGATTCTGTGTTTCTAAGATCTGGACTCTAGTCTTGCCACTCACCTGCCATCAAGAACATGTTCCTCATCTGCAGGACAGGACCAAGATGGCTCTGTCTACCTTACCGGGTTGCTGTGAGGCGTGATTGTGATAAAATACATAAAGGCAGTTTTTAAGCTCTGAAGCACTAGTTAAATGTGTAGCGTATTTTAAGATTCTGTTGTATGTACAATTGTTTAGCAGTCTCTCTCTCTTTCTTTCTCTTTCTTTTATCAGAGATAGATGATTTTCCCTCTTATTTCCACCAGTTTGGCTTTTCAGGGAAGGTGGCAGCTGGCAGAATCCCCTGACAACAAAAGGTACAGCAAAAAGTGGAGGCCTAAAGAAAACATGTGCTAGCTCTTTAGCCCCTGAATAGCTAAGTCACATGTCAGCCTGCTCTCCTTCATCTGTTTGGGAGGAGGCAGATTAGAGTCACACTGTCATCATGCTCTTCCCCTCAGAAGCAGCTGTAAGGTTTTTGGTAGCTGTCAGTGCTAGCAAACAGTGCTTTTCTCACAGAACTACTGGAAAGAGTCCTGGCTCGGAAAACTTGCTCTTGAAAGTGGCACGGCCAGAGCAGGGGTCTCTAGAGGGTCGTGCCACCTCTACCTGCCACAGGTTCCATTGTCGGTCAGGTAAGTTAGAGGCAGCAGTTCCCCACCTGCCCTCTGGATAACAGCAGCCTGGGGCTGCTCCTGAGTCATGTTTCCACTTCTGTCTTACAGGCCTCATTTTCCTACCCATCTTTCTGTAAAAATGAAAGTCAGGAGTCTTATGAAACTTACCATTATTCAATACAGGCTTTTGGTTTTTTTCTTTAAATTAGATAGGGTTAGGTAAGAAGTAGAGTTCTATAGAACGTTCATAGGAAGCAACAAAAGTTGATCTCTTGGTCTCTACAATAGGAGAGGATTGGGCTAGATACCTTCAAAGCTGACTTGCCCTAATATTCTAGTATGAAATGATTCGAAGGTACACCTGCCCCTATCATGTCAGGCAGTGAGTACAGTTAAAACATTGGGAATTGGTAAAGGAAAGAAAAAAACTGAAAAGAACCCTTTGAAGTTAGACAAACTGTCCAGAGACATAGTGCTAAAATCCTCCCTCTTTTTCTTTCCACAGCTTCTAGAATTCCTCTCCAGAGCTACTCTCAAGTTATATCCAGGGGACAGGCCCCTTTGGCTCCAACCCACACGCCTGAACTTTAAGGATCATTGGACTATCTTCTCTGTGGCCAGCGCAGCTCTCTTCTGTGTTCACAGAATGGCCACTGATAGGCATGCCTCTTTTCCCACCCACTGGAAGGCTCACAGGCAAGGTGAGAGAGGACACAGAAGGTGCCAACACTGTCGCTACAGTAAGGACCTGAAGTGACTTTGAGAAATTCACCCTCACAAACCTTCCTTCAGGAGCAGGCATTGGTAGTGCAGAGGCACAGATTCCGTCCTTTACCAGCTGCAGAATCTTGGGCAAGTTACATAGCCTCTGTGAGCCTCATCGGTAAACAGTGGGGGTTATGAAACCCACCTCACAGGGTTGTTGTGAGGATCCAATGAGTTGATTTAGGTAAGCACCTAGCACATGCCGTGGCACCAAGTAAGCACTCAATAAATCACTCAACTCCTTTCCCTATGTTGTTTCTTTGCATTGTCTGAAAGGATCAATGGAGTCAAAGATCCAGCTTTTCACTGGTGGTTATTTTTTATTTTTCAATTAAGATTCAAATTTATGGAAGTGGAAATTTAAAAACCTCGTTTTCCCTTAGGCTGTGACATTCAACTTACAAATCTCTTTTTCTGTTGATGAACCTAGTATTAAACAATAGTTTTTAGAGGGACTTTTACAAACTTAGTTAATTAGATTTTCTTAAACATCTTAAAGTAGATTTATAAATGTAATATATTCTATTTTCCTTTTTCTTTAAATACTTCAACATATATTTCAGTTATCTATTGCTGTGTAATATCAATCCCTAAAATAGTGACTTAAAATTGTCCTAATAATATGTGGTGCTCATGAGTGCGGGACCTGACTGGGCTCAGCTAGGCGGTTCTCACTCAGGGTTTCTCATGTTGTTTCAGTCAGATAGTGGCTCAGTCTAGAATCATCTGTAAGGCTTCTTTACTCACCTGTCTGGGAAGACTCAAACAGATGAGGGCTGAAACAGCTGGGAATCCTTGGGCATCTCTCCCTCTCAATAGTTTTTTCATTTTTGTTGTTGTGTGCTCTTTGTATGACTATACCACAATTTATTTATCCAATCTACAATTGATGGGCATTTGGATAGTTTCCACCTTGGGGCAATTACAAATAGTGCTGCTATAAACACTCTTGTACCTGTCTTTTGGTATACATATGTATACTTTTCTTGGATATATACCTAGGAATGGAATTACTCAGGCATTGGGTATGTAAATACGACCAATTTTTCTAAGTGATTGTACCAATTTACATCTCCACAAGCACTGTATGAGAGTTCCAGATGCTTCTCATCCTCAGCAATAGTTGGCATTATCTTTTTTTTTTTAATTTTAGTTATTTGGGCATGTTTAGCAGCATTTTTATTTTCCTGATGGGTTGAGTAGCTTTTCTTTCTTTTCTTCTTCTTCAATTTTTTTTTTTTTTTGGCCATATGGATATCTTCTATTGTGAAGTATCTATTCTTGTTTCTTTTTTTTTGTCCATTGCTCTTTCTTTTTTTTTTTTTTTTTTTTTTTTTTTAGACAGAGTCTGGCTCTGTCCTGAGGCTGGATGGAGTGCAGTGGTGCGATCTTGGCTCACCTCTGCCTACCTGGTTCAAGTGATTCTCATGCCTCAGCCACCCAAGTAGCTGGGATTACAGGTGTGCATCACCATGCCCAGCTAATCTTTGTATTTTTAGTAGAGATGGGATTTTGCTATGTTGGCCAGGCTGGTCTCGAACTCCTGGCCTCAAGTGATCCACCTGCCTTGGCCTCCCAAAGTGCTGGGATTACAGGCATGAGCCACTGTGCCCAGCCTGTATGCTTTTTCTTATTGACTTAAAGGAGTTATTCAAATAATCAGGTTAAAAGTCCTTCTGTTACTTATTGAGATTTTATATATATATGTATATATTCTCCTACTTTTGTGGGTATTGTTTTTCTCTAAATAGTATCTTTTGATGAACATAGTTTTTAATTTCAATGTAATGGTTTATCAATCTTTCTGTCTCTGATTTGTGCTTTCTGTGTCGTGTTTAAGAAATCTTTTCCTCCCCTGAAGGTACTCTCCCAATAACCTTCTAGATTTCTTATTGTTTTACATTTCAAAGTTAGACCTACAATCAACCTGGATTTGGTTTTTGTATATATGACTAAGGGCCAAGATTCATTATTTTCCATGTGGCTATCCAATTGACTGAGCACTCCCTATTGAAATGATTATCCTATCCCTACTAGTGTTCAGCTTATCCTTTGTGACAAATCAAATTTTCCTATAGATGTAGGTCTGTTTCTGAATTTTCTGTTGTCTGATGGTTCTATTTTTCTACCCTTTGGCAGTACCATCTGGTTGTAATTATTGTAGCTTTACAGTAAGTTTTGATATCTGGTAGTCTTCAAACTTTCTTCTTCAGCTCCATTATAATCTTATGGGACCACCATATGTGGTCCATTGTTTACCAAAATGTCATTATATGGTGCATGCCTGTATATTCTGAATTCGACTCACAATCTCTACTGCCACCGCTAATTTCAAGCCACCACTACTTCATTCTAAATTAACTTCAATGGACTTACAACCAGTCCTTCTGCCTCATAACCTACACACAGTAAAGAGGTCATTTAAACATATACAAGATCTTATCACTCTCTGGCTCAAAATTTGAAATGACTTCCTATCCCACTTAGAATAAAATCCAGACTTCTTACCATGTGATATTAGTCAGGATTGACTTATTATTACTTAAAAGCACAAAGTTTTATTTCTCTCTTACTCAAAATCTGAGTCTCCATGACTCATAATGGGCACTCCAGCCTGGGCAACAGAGCAAGACTCCATCTTAAAAAAAAAAAAAGTACACTATACATTGTAAATTGAGATTCAACATAACCTGGATGTGGTGCCACTCCCCAACCTGGAGGATCACCAAGGCAGGGCTGTCATTACACACCTGTGGTGTATAGCAGTGGTTTCTCAAGATGAGGACCTCTTTTAATCCCTTTTCCCCACCAAAGAATCAGACCTTACGTAGTGGAAGTTGTGCTTTTATTATCTAATGGTGTATGTAAGGCAAAAGACATTTGGATTTCAATAGGATTTTTAGATAAATTTATAGGTTTTAAAAATTAGCCACAACAGTCTCTTTATATGTTTGAAAAATAGCATTACATATATGTATAAAGCAAAAACCCGTGAGAGATCCTGGGGAGAAGAATTGCCTGGAGGGGGAAATTGAGTCCATCTCCAATGTTCAGCACCTCTTCTCTTTCTATTTTTGACCCCCTGGTTTCCTGTAGACATCCACACAAATCTTGAGGTAGAAGTGAAAACAATGCTGTCAGCAGTTTCACGTCTGTCACCATTGAATTCATGCCCTGACATGTGCCTCCTACTCAGAAAGTTATCTGGTGATTATATCACTTCTGTGATATCATCCTTCCTGAAAGTGTCCTTACCCAGCACATGACCACCAACTGTCACATGATTGCATCACTGCCACAGGGGAGCCCAGGACACAGCACACAAATCGGATTAGTCCAGCCTGTAAACTAAGCCTTTGCTTAATAGCCTGGAATTGCCCTCCACCCCTCAGCCCTCAGGCCTGAAATCCTATTCAGCCCTCAAACCTAGTACACATGTCCTCTCCCTACGCACACTCTCCTGGCCTTCACCTCGCCCTCAGCATTGAACAATCCCCTTCAGGACTCGCAGAGCCCTCTGGGATCGCCCCCCTCAGCTCTCATCCCTCGCTAGGCACTTGAGGGCTGGGGAAGTCTTACTTATTGCTGTGGCCCCAGCACCCCACACAAGGCCACATGTGTGACATTTAGTTGGTAATTCTTTTTTTTTTTTTTTTTTTTTTGAGACGGAGTCTCGCTCTGTCGCCCAGGCTGGAGTGCAGTGGCACGGTCTTGGCTCACTCTGCCTCCCGGGTTCACACCATTCTCCCGCGTCAGCGTCTCGAGTAGCTGGGACTACAAGGCGCCCGCCACTACGCCCGACTAATTTTTTGTATTTTTAGTAGAGACAGGATTTCACCATGTTAGCCAGGATGTAGTTGGTAATTCTTAAATGTTGGTTAAACTCAGCTGTTACCTGCTAGTAGGACAATTCATGTGCCCCATTCTGGCAAGGGTAAGGTTAACACTTGTGGTTTTAGAGACTTCTAGTTCCACTTTCCAGTTTACTTTTGCTTCTCTCCCTATTCAAACCAGCAGGAAAAGAGAGTAGTAGTTCAGGAGTTGTTGCCAAAATCCAGAGCCTTATCGGGGGAATACACAGGAAGGGACAGACCTCAGATGCATTTTAAGATATTGAGAGACAGAGTCTGAGTATAAATCATATACTGGGGGAAGGAGGCAAATGGCTTAAAATACTTTTTTTTTTTTTTTTAGCACTGTGATGTTCTGAGTCAAAGATGACTCAGGCTTCAAGCCTGGATGATTGGATCATGGTGGCAGCTATTACCGTAAAAAGAGGAGGAACAACTTTGGGGAAGATGTTGATTTGCTTTTGGATGGATTGAGTTTAGACTGTTGTCAGGACACTAAGTGGACACATAATGCAAACAGTTGCTTTCATAGATGAGGGTGAATGCTAAGGATCAGAGAGGATTCCAAGGCCTTCCTGGGGCCTAGGAAGACTCAGGCACTGGGATACTCTCATCACCCCCATACTCTTCTTAAGGGGAAGAAACCTACCTCCTCTGAGATGGTGGGGCAGAGGGGAGTTGTGATGGTCATCCCAGGGCTTGGGGTGTGCCCAAGAGTGAGATCAGAGATGTGTTTGAGGCTGTGGGGAGCAGCGTATGTCACTTTCAGAATGTCAGACTTGGGACCACTCAACAAGGAGATCAAGGGCTGGGTGAGAATTCAGCAATTATGGAAGATTTATGTTTCAATATAATATCCTTTTTCCTATAGAGATTTAAAACTTTTAAAATGTAATATTGACACATAAAATTTTAAAACAAGATGAGTATGTGAAGGCCATTCCTGACACTTATGAAAAGACATTAAGCTCTCCTTTAAAGTTAAGCCTCTCTGTGCCTGACCTTCTCTCCCTGCCTTTGTCTATGCCACTAAGATTACTGCCTTTAGTTCAATTCAAGGAGCTTTTATTGCATGCTTACAATGAATTATAGTGTTTTGGGGACACAGCGAAAGAGAAAATATAGCCCCTGCTTTTAAAGACCTTACAATCTCATCATAGAGGCCTGACATACATGCAGTAAGCTATTAACCACCATTGCAAGGCAGCATAGTTACTGACTGATAGAACATACGGGTGACCAGTTTCCCTGGGGAAGATAGAACTGGAAGTGGACCCTGAATCATTGGTAGAATATAAAAGTGGGGGTGGGTGGGAAGGAGAAGGAGCAAAAAGGCATGGAGGTGACATTGACCATAGTATGTTTTAGGGGAATGCTGGCTTCAGCACACTGGGGAAAATGGCAGATAATTTTTGTTAGGCAGAGTAGGGCCAGACTGAGGAGCCCTATTTAGCTAATACGTCTTAGTTGCAAGTGCTAAGAACCAACGTGAGCAGGCTAAACTGTATAACATGGTGGTTAGAGCTCAGATTCTGAAGTCAGATGGCCTTGGTGTGAATCCTGATTTTATCTATTGCTGACTGTAGTGGACAAGTTACTTAATTTCTTTGTCCCTGTTTCCTCATATGTAAAATGAAGTAATACATGGATTCACTGGGAGGATTAAATAAGATAATTTGTGTAAGCTAATTGGAACTTTACTTGGCACATAGTAAATGTTCAGGAAGTTTTATCTTTTTTGTTGATAATGTTGACAATGTTGATAATTATGATGACAAAGCAAAGGAGAATTTATAAGGACACAGGGGTGTCTTATGGAATTCAAAGTCAGAAATGCCACTAGATTTTAATATGGGACTAGATCAGAAAGCCATCAGGGAAAGCAGGAAGCTGTCAGGGACCCAGTCACCATCTTCTGTTTCTGTTTCTCTTAGGAGAACTGCAACATGTTTCTGTTTTCCAACAGAGCAGTCTTCCCTGTTTCTCTGTTCTCATGGTGGAATATGTTTGCCCTCAGCTCCTGAGTTCACATGGAACAATTCCAACAACCAGAAGACAAGTACGGCTGCCTCTTAGTCATAATTTCAGACTTTCAGGAAGGAAATCTACCTTGTCCAGATTCAGTCAGCTGTCTACTTCTGGTCCATTAAGCTGGGTCTGAGGACAGGGTCATGCAGTACAATTGGGGCTGCCCATCTTCTAGATGGGGGTCAGTTCTTAGAGAAAGGGATGACTCTTAAGTTCAAAAGATATCTCAAGCTCTTTCCCTTTCGTGTGCCACTGAAGATTCTGGTGTCACCATGGGCCGCTGCCCCACCCAGTGTTACCATTATTGTAAGAACAACACAAAGCCTCTCTTCTGGCGAGGTGTTGCTGATGCCGAGATTCCCATCTTTGACCTGGGGTGGAAGAAGGTAAAAGTGGATGAGTTTCCACTCTGTGGCCACATGGTGTCAGATGAATATGAGCAGCTCTCCTCTGAAGCCCTGGAGGCTGCCTGAATTTGTGCCAATAAGTACATGATGAAAAGTTGCGGCGAGGATGGCTTTCATATCCAAGTGCGGCTCCACCCCTTCCACGTTATGCACATCAACAAGACGTCCTGTGCTGGGCTGACAGGCTCCAAACAGGTATATGAGGTGCCTTTGAAAAGCCCCAGGGCACTGTGGCCAGGGTTCACATTGGTCACGTCATCGTGTCCATCGGCACCAAGCTGCAGAACAAGGAGCATGTGATTGAGGCCCTGCACAGGGCCAAGGCCAAGTTCCCTGGCCACCAGAAGATCCACATCTCAAAGAAGTGGGGCATTACCAAGTTCAATGTGAAGACATGGTGGCTGAGAAACGGCTCATTCCAGATGACTGCGGGGTCAAGTACATCCCCAGTCGTGGCCCTCTGGACAAGTGGTGGGCCCTGCACTCATGAGGGCTTCCACTGTGCTGCCCCTCCTAAGGCCCAACAATAAATCCTACTTTCTGTCCACCTGAAAAAAAAAAAGACACCTCAAACTGACTAGGAATCTACTACAGCAGTGGTCCCCAACATTTTTGGCACCAGGGACTGGTTTTGTGGAAGACAATTTTTCCACAGACCAGTACAGTGCTGGGACAGTGGTGAGGGGGATGATTTTCAGGATGAAACTGTTCCACCTCACATCATCAGGCGTTAGTTAGGTTCTCATAAGGAGAGCACAGTCTGGATCCCTTGCATGCACGGTTCACAATAGGGTTCACACTCCTGGAATCCAGTGCCACAGCTGACCTGACAGGAGATGGAGCTCAGGTTTAATGTTCACTCACCCAGGGGTTGAGGACTCCTGTACTAGAGCACTCTAGCCTTCTGACCTGAGGAATATGATTTTTAAGGCAATGGTATTCATTTAGGAATTCCAACGTCTGGTAAACGACCACTGAGGTCTCAGGATATGAGTGAGAAAATGAGTGTATTCTATACTTTAGGCTCTATTGAGGATAATGTTAAGGAAAATTCCACTCCAAATTTGTCTCTGAAATAGATCTTTGTGGTCCAAGAGTGAAGATAAGTTATGCATATGTAGCAGAATATCATTTTGATATATTCACCAATGTAAATTTTTCCAAGAATTGTCTGTGACCCTGTGACTCTATCCTTTTTGGGCAATAGGTCATGAAAGATCTGCTGCCTCAAGGAAGATCGACAGAGCAGAAGCAAAAACAAAAGGGTCAAGGCAGATTTGTGGCTTTAGCTGTTTTTAAAAATGATGTAGAATAATATCTGATCGAGAAAGACAATAAAGATTAGAGTAGCAATTATCACACTAGAGACTGGAAAACCAAAGTTGGTTCCTCAAAAAGATCAATGAAATTGCCAAATCTTTATCTAGACTTACCAAGAAAAAAAGAGAGAAGACTTAAATTACTAAAATCAGGAATAAGAGAGGAGGCATCATTACTGACCTTATAGAAATAAAAAGAATTATAAGAGAATACTGCAAACAATTGTGTACCAACAAATTAGATAAATAAAATGGACAGCTCTTAGAAAGGTACAAATTACTGAAATAGATTCAAGAGAAAAAGAAAATCTGAATATATCTATAACAAGTGAAGAGATTAAATTAGTGAAAAACTACTCGCAAAGAAAAGCCAACACTGAGATGGCTTCAGTGGTTAATTCTGCCAATAATTAAGCCTTAGAAGTGAAAATACTTCCTGGGACCATTTATTTATTCATTTTCTAACAAATATTCGAGAACCTACTGTGTGCTAGGGACTTGGAGTACAACAGCAGACAAGACAAAGTCCCTGTTGGTCAAGGGCTTGATTTGTCATGAGATTTGTAATCAAGGCACAGTTTTGTGAGCTGCTGGCAAGGGAAACTATTGTGAACTCACAGAGTCCACATAGGACTTTATGGAACGCTGGGTTTGTGTGCCAAACAACTGTTTATCTGACTGCAGTCACCTCCATCCATGCTTCCATCTCCTCTCCTCTCCCCTGTCCTTCTACTCCCACCTTTTTCTCGC
Organism: Homo sapiens; assembly: GCF_000001405.40. NCBI lineage: Eukaryota > Metazoa > Chordata > Mammalia > Primates > Hominidae > Homo > Homo sapiens. Next base: position 119,633,946 of record NC_000003.12, on the reverse strand, counting down.
TCTATTGAAGCAGCCAGCCCTGCTATTCAGAAGTGGGTACGCATGTCCTCTTTGCTGTTAACCACTCTGCAGTTGCTAGAGAATCTCACACCTGTAGGACACAGGAGTAGAAGGTCTTTCCTACGTCTATTCTCAAAGTGTGGATCATCAGACCTCGAAAGAGGCTAGGAAGTCATCTTCTCCCTTATCAACCCATCCCAGTCTCTCTCTGACATCTTGTGCTCCAGATGTTGGGGACAGCATTCCAAAATGCTGCTGGAGTTGGGCTCTCTCCTACCTGTCACCAAGCTGTGCAGTGGGAACCAAGCTCCCATAGCCTCTAGTGTAGAGGAACCTTCAACAACATTCATCTGAAAATCTAGTGATGGTTAATACAGGCATGTCCCCTGGGGTCTGAATATTTTCATTTCTTTTTTTTTTCTTTTCTTTTCTTTTTTTTTTTTTCCTTCGAGACGGAGTTTTGCTCTTGTTGCCCAGGCTGGAGTGCAATGGCACAGTCTTGTCTCACTGCAACCTCCACCTCCCAGGTTCAAGCAATTCTCCTGCCTCAGCCTCCCAAGTAGCTAGGATTACAGGTGCCCGCCACCATGCCTGGCTAATTTTTGTATTTTTAGTAGACAAGGTTTCACCATGTTGGCCAGGCTGGTCTCAAACTCCAGACCTCAGGTGATCCACCCGCCTCAGTCTCCCAAAGTACTGGGATTACAGGCGTGAGCCACCGCACCTGGCTGGGTCTGAATATTTTCTGTAAGAAACACTAGCATCCCTCTCAAAGGCCCTATGACCTTTTTTTCATCCTTCACAACTTTCTTCCTTAGCCAACTGAGGTTTGTCTGGGTTCACAGTCAGCTGCACTACACAAGCTCGGCTGGAATGCCCGGCTCTGGGAATTGACAGCTGGCTCACCTGGCTGCAAGGCCAGTTTCCTGGGCATGCGACCTGTACACCTGGGCACAGGGCTCCACTCAGGCCCCACACTTGGTTTCATGCTCTGCTGTCACCATCTTGAAATTCTCAACTTTTTAAATAAGGAGCCTGCATTTTTATTTTGCACTGAACCCTGTAAATTATGTATCCAGTCCCACAGGGTTGCATTGTGGACCTTTAGGGGCTACTTCTGTGTCATGTTTCTGAGTCTGGTTAGAGTGGTGATTAATCACCTGGCTCTGGGGCGGACAGCTGGCATTTGAATCCTGGCTCCTTTACTTACTAGACCTGTGATCTTGAAGGTTCCTCAGCCTCTTGATTTCTTTATCTATAAAGTGGGATAATAATAGCATGTATCTCATAGGCTTGCTGAGAGGATAAAATATGTTAATACATATGAAACACTCAGAATGGTGCCTGGAACATAGTAAAAAGCTGTGCAATGTTGGATGTTTTTGTTGCGTGCCTATTCCAAGGTCACATTGTTCTGTATCTTACGGCAGTGTATCTTGCACTTGGTGGTGAATCTGCCTGTTGAATTTAATTAGTTCTGTAATAGTCTCTGTTCATGAAAAGACTGCAGCAGAGTGAGCAAAGTGGGTGTGGAAGGGAGACCCAAGTTCTGCTTTTGTTCTGCCATGGAGCAGAGTTCCGTGTTAGCTCTCCCTTTCCCTGACCCCACAGACATCCCATCTACTTAAAGCCATGTTTCCCAAAGTGTGGGCCACGTGCCCCTGGACAGGATGATTTTAGGTACCACATAGACCCAGCATTAAACAACATTCCATCTCATAGACAGTTATGCATTTTTTTATATCCTTTCCATCCAGTGATTACATATAGAAAAATGTTTCCATTCAGTGTTAATAATTTTTTTTTTTTGAGACAGAGTTTTGCTCTTGTTTCCCAGGCTGGAGTGCAGTGGCTCGATCTCGGCTCACTGCAACCTCCACCCCTCCGGGTTCAAGCGATTCTCCTGCCTCAACCTCCCGAGTAGCTGGGATTACAGGCGCCTGCCACCACGCTCGGCTAATGTTTTGTATTTTTAGTAGAGACAGGGTTTCACCATGTTGGCCAGGCTTGTCTTGAACTCCAGACCACAGGTGATCTGCCTGCCTTGGCCTCCCAAAGTGCTGGACAACACCGTGCCTGGCCAGTGCTGATAAATTTTTAACATCTCTCACATACTTGCAAATTTCCCCTTTGTAGTAAAGAAAAAATTTTGCCTCCTGAACATGAAAGGAAAAAAAAAAAAAAAAGGAAAAAACAGGCCCAGGACTTAAGCCTGCATCAGACCACAGTATCTAGTTGGAATGTTAAACATTATAATGTTCTCATTGTATTTGTTTCTAGGATTAATTTATGAGTAGAGAAACTGGTTTTTCCATGTAAGGTAATAATCCAAAATTTCTGACGGAGCAAAGTAACATGTGAGAAAGTCTAACAGTGTTTAAAAATAAGAAAATATTCGCAAAGAAACCCAGGGCTATGGCCAAAAGCAGAATGGAATTTGAGGCCACTGAAAAACAGATTGAGTGAGTTTAACACCAGTTAGCATCAACATCACAAAACATGATTTCTTGTTGTTGTTGTTTTTGAGATGGGGTCTCACTGTGTCTCTTAGGCTGGAGTACAGTGGCATGATCTCAGCTCACTGCAACCTCTGCCTCCTGGGTTCAAGCAATTCTTGTGCCTCAGCCTCCTGAGTAGCTGGGATTACAGGCATGTGCCGCCACACTGACTAATTTCCAGCTAATTTTTTTTTTTTTTTTGCATGTTTAGTAGAGATGGAGTTTCATCATGTTGGCCAGGCTGGTCTTGAACTCCTGACCTCAAGTGATCCACCCAGCTTGGCCTCCCAAAGTGCTGGGATTACAAGTGTGAACCACCGCGCCCGGCCGACAATATGATTTTCATCACAGAAATGTGATACACATTTGGAAAAAAAAGCAACGAGCAGTGGGGAAAACTAAGGAAGAAGTATGTGCTAAGCAGTGTCTCCCAAGATGGCAAATGGAAGTGCAGCGTAATACAGCTCAGGGTAAGACTGTCTCTAGGGAGGAACCTGGGTGGAGTAAAGAGAAGGAAAAGGAAAGGAGGGTTTTTGGTTTGAGGCAAAATAGAAAATTGCAAGCCTACATAGCAGGGAACATGTGTATTCTTTAGACATGACTGTGATCATGCAGACAGTTAAACATCTTCGTGAGCCTCACCTGTCCTTTTGGTTGCATTTCCAAGGCCTGGACAAAGGCCGAAGCTCTCTCAGTGCCCTGGCTGACTTGGCCCAGATGAAGTAATTGCAGCCTGTTGCTTACATCATTCTCCCTGTCTTCATTGTGGAGAGTGAATCAGCAAGTCAGCAGTTTCCTTTTAAAGCTCATTTATTTATGTTTTTTAAAAAGTGAATTTAAAGAATAAAAGAATCCGAGGCAACCTGGATTTGGGAAAGTGGTGAAGGCGTGTGCCATATCTGTTAGTTCCGCACCCCCTTCCCATCCACTCTCCAACCTTCTCTGTCCTGCTGTATGCCCCGGGCCTGGTTAGGCCATGTCAATGTGTTATTTGTCCTCTGGCTTCTGTTGGGGGTCCTTAATGGGGAGCACTAGCAGGAAAATGGGAGAGGAAGAAGAGTGAAGTCAGAGAACCTGTGCTTCTGCTCCCTCCCTGCGGGGTTGCTGCTGGCTGGCTGTGTCCCTGCACTGCAGGTCTGCAGCCTTCTGGTGCTTCCCCTCCTTCTCTGGCCTCTTCACAGGTAGGGTAGTAGCAGCTTCTACTGCCAGTAGCTTCAGGGAACTGCATTATCCCTGTGGTTGCCCCACAAAAGACTATGGCAAATTGTCCTTTTCTTAAATTCTCCTCAAATAACCCAGATTGAGCGCACCATCTGTTTTTTGCTGGGCTGCGGCTGATACAAGGTTATTTACAAAGATCAAAGTTTGGGAAACACTAACCCAGAGGAAATCTACCTGTATTCCCCAAGATCTCTCTGATCCCTCAAACCTTCCAGATATCCAGAGGAGGTAATGGTAAGGGTTGGTAAATGGTGCCATCTTCCTCCCTACCCTTCATCCCCTCTCTTTTTCCAAGTACTTCTTTTAGTTGCTATTTTAATACCGATAATGCAATACTGTTTTCTCCAATCCCACAGAGTATAAATCTCAACTTTTTGTAGGTAACAGAATTCCATTCAAGTAAAACAATTAAATGATTCAGATACTCCATGAAGTTTTATTTTTAAAAAATTGTTTACCCTGTACATGTTTCTATTGAATCCTAAGTACGAATGCCCAAGGAGATAAAGCAAGTGCAGTTAAGTATGCATGGGAAAGCTAAAATGGGTATGTACATAAGATCGGCAAAGGAAACCAAGTTCTGTAAAATGAGTTCTCCCTCCCCTCCAGGGTAGCTGATTATGAGGAAAATAAGAAAGAGCTTTGCTTTTCTCCTTAGTAGTAATGGTCTACAATAAGCTGCACACACACATCCCTCATCACACCTCTCTCTCAAAAAAAAAAAAAAAATGCAGGGAGATGTGTCCTGCCCAGGTTAAACTACACACAGGCTATCTTCAGGTCACAGGAAACAGTCACACTTGCTTGTAAGTTCACTGGTTCAGGTAAGCAGACCATCTTTTCTCTGGAAGAGAAGAGCAATAAGAGAGCAGTGGCTGGTGAGGAGACAGGGCTTGGCATTGTGTGGCTTTTGAATTCCCATGATGTCTGGTGAAAGAAATCTGCAATCACCTACAATTAAGAGCCAGTTCCTGTGGTCCAAGTGCCCAGGGGTGGTAAGGTTAATGACATAAATGCCTTTAGAGGAAGGGAAAGGGGATGTGGATTCTGGATCCACACCCATGAATGTGACCCATGACACAGTTGGAGTGGAGGCCACAGAGGAGAAAATATGCAATGAGAAAACTTTGTTCTAATAAAATCTTACATAGAAACCAAATATGCAGAACAAATACAGTGGAATTTCCCCAACCCAAGATGGTCCCACAGGAGGTTCTGGAAAACACCGGGTGTCTGTCATCTCTGCTTCTAAGATGATAATCACTATGATGAGATTGAACCTCAATAGGCAGCACATCTAATGCCAAGACTGGTCTTTGATGTGTGAGTGCATCTGGTGCAGAGGTGAATACTGGGGCTTACCTGTCATTGACAGGCAAAAGGGCAGTGCAGAACTTCCCAATAATGGTAGTCCGGTCTTTTTTCCAAACTCGGTTGGAAGACTGAAACTTGAATTTCACTTGGTTTATCTGGCATTGTGGGGTGGCATGGGCTATGATTCCTTTCCCATAGCGTTGCTGCTTAGGTCTGCAAGAAAAGGGTAAAGGGAAAGTAAATGACTGTAGCCCTTACCACCTGTACTTCCCCTTTGGCTCCGATCGGGCTCTGCTGGTGGCACTGGTTGGCTGTCATGCACCAAGGGGTTAGCTCCTTACCACAGTCCTTTGTGTCACCTTCACCAGCCCCTCTGCCCACACCTACAGCTTTGAATATGACCAAGAAAGTAGTTGTTGATTTTTTAGAATAAACAAGTGGACACTGCAACAAAATAGTAGCTCCTGGATTTTCATATCTGGAAAAACTGTTCCTCGTTCTTGGATTCCTAGCTGGAGGAGATCTTCACCTTCAGATCTAATTACCCAGAAGTAGAAACCCTCTTTTAGGACATTCCTTTTCAAAGAATTCTGTGTAAGGACTTTTCTGTTTTAGGCTAAGTATGAATGTGTGGGTGGAAACAGCAACAAGAAAACATCATGAAGCGCAGACAGAGTTGGGTGGAACCCAGGTTTGTCTTCCCAGCTGTATGGCTTTGGACAAGTTACCTAAGCTGGCAAGGTGGCTGTGGAGTCACATAGCAACTAGGTGTAAGTTCCAGCTTCCCTACATGCTGCTATGAACTTGAACCGTAGGGTTTGGTTCATACTGACTTCAGCTGAGGAGACTCAGAGTGAAAATGGCATCCAGTTCTGTCTTAACCCAGCCTCTTGGCTTTGCCCCCCCAGATTCCCTTTATGTTTAAAGATTCAGGCACCACTTTGGACTGAGACAAAGATGAGGGAGGAGTATGAAGTGATCAACCTAGCAGGGTGCTTCCAAAAGGGCTGTGGTACCCCCTAGGTACTAGGTACTGGAGACAAAAGCAAAAAATCGTGAGATTCAATGAGGAAAGTCTTCACGCTGAGTGCAAGGCACAGCCCAGCCAGCAGATCCTGAGGGTGGTGAGTGGGGGATCAAGGAGGGCGCCCAGCAGAGCTGCACCACCCAGCTAGGGAAGGAATTTGACTTGTGGGGCCCTTTGTGATCCTCCCTGGAATCCAAGTGGGACTCTGAAAAAGAGGAAAGAAGGAGGGCGCTGCGTTCCTCTCGGCGGGGGCAGGGGTGGTGTGGGGAACCACCCTTGCCAACTGGGTTTCCTGTTCCTTTCTGGCCTTCGCAGAGTGGTGATAGGGCCTCTTTGTGTTCTTTTTAGTCCAGTGTTAGTCATATCACTTGTTTTTTCCTTCTGAGGGAAGATCATGTATAATTTTGTTTAAAAACCATTCCCTCTTTTTTTAAATTCACAAGTCTTTTGAAATATTACAGAGGGAATAAATAAGATTGTTTCCTTTAAGCTTAGACTGAAGAGTTTGTAAAATACAAGGAATATGAAAAATCTTTTAAGTGAGTGGTTTGGGGAGTTGGCCCAGGTTAATTCTCCAATTAGAAGGAAATCTTAGCGTCGCATAAAGCTATAGAAATTTGGAAAAAGACCACACATAACCTCCCCGTTTTTCCCCCAATTTCTGATCTGCAAGAAGTGAATCATGTTCTGGTGCCTTCTTCAAAAGAGTTATGTGAACCTCTTCATGGAGGAGGAAGCGCTAATCTGTGGATGTTGACTGGAATTACTCGGGGAGCTTTTAAAATGTAGCTGTGGAGCCTATGCCCAGAGACCCTGATGTGATTGGTCTGGGTTGGGGGGCTTGGCGTCAGTATTTTTTAAAGCTCTCCAGGTGATTCTAACGTGCAGTCAGGGTTGTGGGTCATTTTCATGACTCCTGCCAGTGTTGCTGGACCTACCAATGGGCTAGAAGATGATGAAAACACCCTTCTAGAAGTAGCACAACCTTGAGCGGGTCTAATGAAAGGTACTTGGCTTACTGATATCCAGCCACAATCTGCAAGGCTCTGTGGGCACCTGCAGGCCTGTGCTGGAATCCTGATGGCTGTACCTAGCTGTGTGACTTTGGGTGAGCCAGAAGGAACACCAGCTAGTGGCCACGGTTTTGGGAGTGAAATGCACTCCTTCCAGCAGAAACTTGTAGTGCCTCACAGCAGAGTTCATGTCCAACATCCCAACCCGAGAAATATCTCCAAACTCACATCTGATCTCATCACTGTCCTGTTTAAAACTCCCAGTGGCTCTCCAAACTACTCTCAGGATAAAAACCTGTCCTTCAAGGCCTGGCAGGGTCTGGCTCTGACTTGCCTCTCCAGCCTCACAGCATCCCCACAACCCCAAATCTGTGCTCCAGACACACCAGAGGTGTCACATTCTCTCTAAGCCTGGCCTGGGTAGCTCCTGGAAAGCCTGCTCATCATTTCCTTGGACTCAGTCAGACTCTGTCTTCTATGCTGTCACTCTCAGGGCATTGCTCACTCATTTAAGTGTGTGTGCACTGGTCATTTCCCTGTTTGCTCTGGACTGATCTATTCCCCTGCAGGTTCCCCCACCAACAGGTTCCAGTGAGGTCTAACCCAGTGGAAGCATGCTCAGGTGGGTGGCTGCTTTGGGCAGGGGTTCCAGAGGGGCCGCACTTCCCATGGGTTCAGCTCCTGCCAAGCAGCCTTCCCTGTGGACCCAGCTTTGCCAACTCCACTCCTGCTTTGTCCCTCTAGCCTAGGGTTGTATTGGCTCCTGTTGTGATTAATCTCTGCATTGTGTCCCCATCTCTGTTTTCCAGCTCATCCAACACACTTGTAATGAGTTCACTGTGCTAAATTCCTTCTCTTGGACCTCCTCTGTTTTCCTGACCGGACTCTCACTGAGACAGTGACATTATCTGACAATCTGTCTCCCGCTGGCTTGTGAATAACTAACCGGTTGCTTTTTAAAGAAGCATGCACCATGGCTGCTGACTTCCTATCCCCTGCAGGCTGTGGCTCCCTACAGTTGGGGTTCCTTGCCCTCTCACTTCAAGCGTAGTCCCACCAGCCCCCAAGCCCAAGTCTGCCCCAACAAAGGAAGGGAATGACTACCCCCAGTTTCAGGAATCACCCAGCACCAAGCCCTCCTGGCCGCTAGTCTGGCCCTCAGCTCGCACTCCGTTGCTGACTGACCCTGTGCCTCAGATTCCATTCTGGTAACTGACCCAGAACTGCTCTCCTTTCCCAGGAGTGGGTGCTCTCCAGGCTCTGGCTAGCCCTTCCTGGGCTGGTGACTGAGGCCCTCCTCCCTACTGACATCCCTGATACCCGCACTGTCTGGATTCCAGAGTACTGTTTCCTCTCAGGGACCTGATTCCTATGTCCTCTCCATCTGTTGGGACATGCCATCCCTGCTGCCTGCTTGCCCTGCCTACTCTCATCTGAATCTGCTATACTTGGACCCACTACTGAACAGCTCCTCAGCATGTGTCTGTGGCTGGATCTATAGTAGGTGCTGCCCCCAGCCAAGCCGGCTGGGCCCATGCATCAGCAATCACACAGTCCCTGACCTGGGATGTCCATGTGTGTAAAATGAAAAAGTAACCAACTCCTAAGGGGAGGAGTCAACCAGGTGGGACACTTACGTACATGGTGATCTTAGATGAAGAGGTGATGTTACTGCTAAGGAAGGTAACCTCGATGTTGGTGTCCTTGTTTCTCAGTTCCTTCAAGTGAAACTCCACGAGGCTGTGATGCACTAGGAAACCAAAGCACAACAGAGACTGGCCAGAGGGCAGAAGGTGCAATGGGCAAAAACCCCAGAGAGCAGCAGTGTGGTTGGGAATCTTGGCTCTATCTCTTAGTGGCTGTGTGCCCAGGAGCAGATCACCTATAATCTCAGGTCCTCAGTTTCCTCAAGTGCAAATTGAGGATAATAAAAATAGACACTTGGCTGGGCGCAGTGGTTCACGCCTGTAATCCCAGCACTTTGGGAGGCCGAGGCGAGTGGATCACCTGAGGTCAGGAGTTTGAGACCAGTCTGACCAACATGGTGAAACCCCATCTCTACTAAAAATATAAAAATTAGCCAGGTGTGGTGGCGGGTGCCTGTAATCCCAGCTACTCAGGAGGCTGAGACAGGAGAATCGCTTGAACTCAGGAGGCAGAGTTTGCAGTGAGCAGAAATTGCACCACTGCACTCCAGCCTGGGCGGCAGAGCAAGACTCCGTCTAAAAAAAAAAAAAAATAGATACCCTAGGTCTGAAATAAGTGGGTTAATATGTATGAACTTCTCAGGACAGTGCCTGTGCCTAGGAAGCATTCAGTAATGTTAGTTTTTGTTATTTTGTAATACTAATGTTTTACTTCCCCTTGTTTGCTGACATATTCATGGTGGGATGATCTTGAATGAGCCAAAATGCATCTATCATATACGGCTATCTTTTGTTTGTGTCCCCTCCGAGTTCATGTTTAAACTGAATGCTCTGTGCAACAGTACTGAGAGGTGGGGCCTTTGAGGGAAGGGATTAAGTCATGAAGGCTCTACTATCATGAATGAAATAGTGCCTTATAGAAGGGCTCAAGGGAATTGGCAGGGCCCTTATTTGACCTCCTGCGTTCTGCTGTGTGTGAACACGGTATCTGTCCCCTCTGGAGAATGCAACAGCAAAGCACCTTCTTGGGAGCAGAAAGTGCAACCCTTATAGACATGGAGTGCCGGCGCCTTGATCTGGGACTTCCCAGCCTCTAGAGCTGTGGGAAAATAAATTTCTGAGCTTTGTAAGTTACCCAGTCTCAGGTACTGTGTCATAGTAGCACAAGTAGACTAAGACATAAACTAAAGGTTTAACTCATAAGGTCAGGCGTGGTGGCTCACTCCTGTAATCGCAGCACTTTGGGAGGCCAAGGCGGGTGGATCACCTGAGGTCAGGAGTTTGAGACCAGCCTAGCCAATATGGTGAAACCCTGTCTCTACTAAAAATATAAAAATTAGCCAGGCATGGTGGCAGGCACCTGTAACCCCAGCTACTAAGGAGGCTGAGGCAGGAGAAGCATTTGAACCCGGGAGGCAGAGGTTGCAGTGAGCCGAGATGGTGCCGTTGCATTACAGCCTGGGTGACAAGAGTGAAACTCTGTCTCAAAAAAAAAAAAAAAAAAAAAAAAGAAAGAGAGAATTAACTCATTAAATACAGCAACGGCCCTGCTCCCTCTCCACACACCCAGCGTCAGGGAAGCAGGCTGTGTGTGTAGGAGACTGCTCCTCTCCCTGCAGCCGCTGGTTACCTATGTGGCATCCAGACTCTCCCTTGAGCAGCATGGACACTGGAGCTCTCAAAGTGAGTGTCGCCAACATAGACTGGGTGTACAGCCTGGGCCATGGTGATACCCCTGGGACCTGCTGTCCCTCTGGCAAGAGAAGGTAAGAAAGATTACAGGCCAGGCATAGTGGCTCATGCCTGAAATCCTAGTACTTTGGGAGGCCAAGGTGGGCAGATCACTTGAGCCCAGGAGTTCAAGACCAGCCTGGGCCACATGGCAAGACCCAGTCTCTACAAAAAAACAAAAACAAAAAATTAGTTGGGCATGTGGTGTGTACCTGTAGTCCCAGCTATTTGGGAGGCTGAGGTGGGAGGATCACCTGAGCATGGGAGGTTGTAGCTGCAGTGAACCGTGACTGTGCCACCACACTCCAGCCTGGGTGACAGTGGGAGACCCTGTCTCAAAAAAAATCAAAATTAAAAATTTTAAGAAAAGCCAGGCGCAGTGGCTCATGCCTGTAATCCCAGCACTTTGGGAGGCTAAGGCAGGCAGATCATCTGAGGTCAGGAGTTCGAGACCAGCCTGGCCAACATGGTGAAACACCGTCTCTACTAAAAATACAAAAAAATTAGCAGGGTGTGGTGGTGGATGCCTGTAGTCCCAGCTACTCGGGAGGCTGAGGCAGAAGAATTGCTTGAACCCAAGAGGCGGAGGTTGCAGTGAGTCAAGATCGTGCCACTGCACTCCAGCCTAGGTGACAGAGCGAGACTCTGTCTCTAAATAAATAAATAAATAAGAAAAGAAAGATTACAGTTTCCCTAACACACTGTCCTTTTTTTTTTTACTAAGGGGTAGGTGCAACCTGGTGGCATTTTGCAATCACTTTAGTCTCGGAATTTTCCCAGGCTCCTTTGGTGATGGGAACATAGCTAGAGATGCAATCCTTCGCCTCTACTCTACCTGTACTTTCTCATTTGCCACATTTTATGGGCTAACATTGGGGAAGGGAACATAAACTGGATGCAGGTGAACTCAGCACTAAGTTGAAGGAGTGCTATGGCCCATCTGAGCTCCCTGGGGTTAGGAACAGGGCTCACCAAAAGGTGCCAAGATGCCAAGAACCCACAAGAAGAAAGGGGCCTTGAATGCTTCCCCTCCACAGAGGAGGACATCTTATACCACACCCTGTCTGTCTCTCCTTCTCAGATGTTACTATGGGATATCAATTGTTATGGGGACGGGCAAGGGCTGAACTGGAAAGGATGATATTTGCAATGTGGAAAAAATAGCTAACTTACAGAAGCTTTAGGAATTTAATTCTCAGGGCTGAGTTTGCTATATTATATTATTAATACTTCTTCCTTTGCTAGCAAGTATCATTGATTAAGAAAGTTTTCTAAGATTCTGTCTCCTTCTTCTTCTTCTTCTTCTTCTTCTTCTTCTTCTTCTTCTTCTTCTTCTTCTTCTTCTTCCTCCTCCTCCTCCTCTTCCTCTTCTTCTCCTTCTCCTTCTCCTTCTTCTTCTTCTTCTTCTTTCTTCAGAAACAGGTTCTTGCTCTCTTGCCCAGGCTGGAATGCACTGGCACAATCAGCTCACTGCAGTCTCGAACTCCTCTCCTCAAGCAACCCTCCCACCTCAGCCTCCCGAAGTGCTGGGATTAGAGACGTGAGCCACTGCACCTGGCCTACTTCTTTCTTCACTTACCCTGGAGGCCCCAAGGGAGCTAGGCCTAATGTTGGGTGGGTGGGAATTAGTGGAATCAAATCTGCACAGGAACATGTCTCATGTCGTACAACACAGAGTCCTGAGTGGTTGGTCAGGAGGCCTGGATCCAAGGCCCAACCCTGCTGCTTACAAGCCATGCTGCCTTGCCTAAGACACTGAGCCTCTCCATGCCTCAGTTCCCTCATCTGCAAGCCATAGCCCTCAACTTATCACACAGGACATGGTAAGGATGGAGTGAAGTAATGGAGAAAAGGTACACTATGTGAAAAACTGTTCTATGAGGGAATATATTGTTTAAAAATTATTATTTGGTAGAAGATCCTCTGCCCATGCTGGCGCATGCCTGGCACAGGTCAACATTGCTGAAGTCAAAGCAGACCAAGAGTGCTAGGCATGGGAGCCCAGTGCCATGATGGCCTGAGAGTGGCTGGAGAGCTGCTGGTCCCTACCCCCTCCCTACCCATATCTGTCCAGGGAGAGCAGGGAGGACTCCGCTTCCATCCCTAGAAGTGACAGCTCAAGGCAGAGCATGCCTGTTTATGTGCCCCTCTGTGGTTTTGGAACCAACAGGGCTACGCTTCTGAAGGTGTGGGGAGGTGGTCTCACAATAAATACAAAAGAGTCAGAAAAAACATGGCCCTGTGAACCCCCTCAGCAGGGACCTTAACATGCTGTTAGTCTCCAGGCATTCCCCACACTTTCCTGCTGGGTATATTCTTAGCTGCACAGACACAGAGGCACCAGCTCAGGTTGCTGTGAATCTGCCCAGCAGCTGGAATTAGAAGTCAGGACATCTGGTCCTGGCAACACCACCTCCACCACCAGACAAAACATCCTCCCGCATGCCAACTCAGATGGGGTGGCGCTGACAGAAGGGGAGCTGAGACGTACGGCCTGCGGACAGCAGGTTCTCAGAAGATGGAAGCATGGTGGTGGTGAGGAAGGAGTATAGAGTTTACAGTCAGGAGACCTGGAGTTGAGTTCTGACCTTTTCATCCAGCTGTGGAGACTTGGGCATGCCACTTGGTCTCTCAGAGCTTCCCTTTCCTTAAGTCTCCCAGTTGGGTTGTTGAAAGAGCTGATAAGGACATGAAAAGCCCACAGTTGACTCTGTAGTCCACTTTGCTCCTAAGAGGTAGCCAAAAATTTTCTCTGGCATGAAGATACAAACACCCTAACTATTCTTCTCCCAAATTCTCTGATTGACTAAGGGAAGGAAATTATTACTGATTGGGTTCCAGTCCCTGTGCTAGTGATCTCCTGTGCACCATTTTATTTTATACTCACAATTGGTTCTTTAAAGTAGGTACTGTTATGGTTCCCATTTTCACATAAGGATATAGAGTTCAGAGAGTTTAAATAACTTGTTCCTGATCACACAGCTGGTAAGTGGAGAAGCTGAGATTTGAATCCAGGTCCAGGTGAACACAGAGTCTGAGCTCTAGGCTCCATGTCATATGGCACCAGGCCTTCTGGTACCAGGAAGATATTTTCACAAAGATCCCTGCACTGACTTGACACAAGCTGATCAGAAAATCAGTTAAAATTGGGTGGCATGTTGTTTATCATCCAAGCCGGCATACTTTATCCTGTACACATGATAAAGCAAACAGGACCCCAGGATAACCAGCATAAACCAGGAAGTATAGTCACCCTAGTTAAGATGCACATAGCATAGGGAAGGATGACGGTTTAGCTTGTAATGTATTTCATGGATTCTGGACACATTTTTACTTCACATTTAACATCGTTACAATCACCAGCATCCTAGCTTCAAGGAAATGCCATGGTTAGGAGCAACAGTGAGAAGCTGGAATGCATCTGTGAAGGGGAAGGAGACCAGAGGGAAAGGTTCAGTATTCCCCAGGGACCCCAACCTTGGAGGCTGCCAGGGTGAGAACCACATAGGGTGGGCGCCAAGAAGTGGGAAATGAGAGTGCAGAAAGGAGGCAGCCGGAGGACACTCCTAAACATCACTCGAGAGAGAAGACCCACTAGAGGGTAAATTTTGAGGGTAAGAGGAAATACGATCAGTAGATAGACAGTAAGAAGCCCCCAAGTCCTCATCTGAAGAGCAATCGGTTGGACTCACTCTGAAAGTTTTGGTTCAGACCAGGGGCTGTTGCCACACCTCCGGTGATGCCTTTGCTCTTATCATTCACTCCCACCCAGGCTACCACACTGGGCTGGACTCCTCTGGTGGTGCCCTGGCAGAGCTGAGCTCATGCATTTCCCCCTACTCACTGCAGTACGGAGCACTGGAAGTAGTCAGGAGGTAGACTTTCACTTCCTTGGGGAGCGGCTCTATCTTGACACCACCTTGTTCCACCAGTCCTGGAAATAAAGAAGCAAAGACAGCAGAGTCCTGAGAAGGCTATCTTAGGGTCCCACAGCACCCAGCCACGTGTTTATTAATTCATGCACCCATTTATTCCACGGACATCTACACCATACACGCACTATGTGCTGTATTCTAAGGTGAGTCCTGGGATCCCAGCAACTCGGTCCAGTGGGCAGTAAACACACACATAAACGGAAATATGCTTTTCAGATCATCTGACTCATTCTTGGCAGGTTATTATAAGAAATCTGACACTAATCTGTCTCTAACTTGCAAAACCAATCTCCTATAGTAGTTGTTTTCATGACATTTATATCCCGTGCAGTGGGAGCATGGTGAAGCAGGAAGTGTTTGACCTGAAGACTAGTGGATGACAGGTGGAGAGAGGGCATTCTGGGAAGAGAGTATGGTTAGGACCAAGGCACACAGGTGAGGAAGCCCGATGTACACTTGGAAGTACAAGTAGTTAGCACCACCAGGTGTTCAGTGCAAGAGAAAGTGTAGTGAGAGATGAGGCTGGGCAGACAGTGTGAGGTGGCTGTTATGTCTGTGGGTCCATGGCATCTAGGGGAAACTGACATATGCACAATGAATAGGAAATAATGATGACTGGTTCTATCATTGGAAGCTACCCTACTTTACTATTTTGTCAAGCTGGTACCCATTTCACTCATATAAGCAGTGACAGGCTGCTGCAGTTGAGTGGCAGCCAGGGGTAGCGGGAAGTGAGAGAGTGCGGGAGGGAGAGAAACCATTTCCACTGCCCAGGAGTTTTTCCTGGAGCTCTTCATCCTGGATAACCACGGGATATGCATAGCAATGATCTACACAAGTGAGTTAGAGGCCAGATCCTGCAGCCTTCCTGGCATCCTTTCCCCAGACTGGCCTGGATCATCCAGGAAGGTGCCCAAGTCCTCCAGCAACTAGGCATCCCCCCAGCTCTCACGAGGCCACCAGAATATCCGACCTGTAATGTAGGTCTTGTGTTCCACTCTTAGGGATTCCCCACCATAGATTTAGGGTCTATGAAGGGTCATAGATTTAGGGTCTATGAAGAACTGGAGAATGGCCAGAAGTGAGAAAGACCTATAGGCAGCATCTGGTCTGAGAGTGGAGGAACCTGTATGTGGGAAGGGTGTGTGTGGGGCAAGGATGGCCATAGGGAACACTATAGAGAGTGAGGGGTGGGGCACGAGAACCAACCGTCCACCTCCAAGTAAGAACAGGCTGAGCACCTCATTGCTTAATTTTCTTTTCCCAAATTGGATAGAATTCTTGACCATAGGACATCAGGACATTAAGAGGGGACAACTAGCAGGGCTTGAACTTCCCCACATTGTCAAAGGAAGTCAAAGGGGTAGCACTTTACCTATCCTTGGGCAGGAAAGCAGAAAAGGGTTAAAGCAATCCAGACAGCGTCCAGCAAGGAAGGCCTTGTAGCTGGCACAGGGAAAGGCCATCAGTGGACAGGAATTCTCCAGGGCGCTGATGTAGAGGTGCACAGCCCTCATGTGATCACAGATCAGATAACTATAACCTGAACAGAGAAAAAACACAACCAAGGTTTCAGTCAAGACAAATGGAAATCTATGCTGTTTAGTGAAACTCTATTGAATTTTATATTCCAGCAAGCTGTAAATACATGCATGGGAGTCCCCTCAAATCACTTTTTCAGAATATTAGTGTACATGGTTACTACATTCTACTTTTTTCATTTTACTTTTCCTGAGATACATAAGCATAATCCATCAAGAAAATTGCTTGATTTGAGATGCATTCTTTTTTTTCTTTTCTTTTCTTTTCTTTTTTTTTTGAGACGGAATCTCACTCTGTCACCCAGGCTGGAGTGTAATGGCATGATCTTGGGCCACTGCAACCTCTGCCTCCTGGGTTTAAGCAATTTTCCTGCCTCAGTCTCCTGAGTAGCTGGGATTACAGGCGCACACCACCATGCCTCACAAATTTTTGTATTTTTCATAGAAACAGGGTTTTGCCATATTGGCCAGGCTGGTCTCAAACTCCTGACCTCAGGTGATCCACCTGCCTCAACCTCCGAGAGTGCTGAGATTACAGGTGTGAGCCACCGTACCTGGCCTTGAGATGGATTATATGATCATGCAAACTCTCCTTCATAAAATGGGAATATATAGAGAGTTGATGATGCTGCCCCATTTCTCAAAATGGGTATTTGTGCATATTTTTACCTCCATTATCATCAGCCATACAACCAATTTTTTACAACCTCATTATACCCTACCCAGCAGTGAGACTGCTGCATCAGCCGCCGTTTGTGGTCACTCTCTACACCCAATGTGCTGAGGCTCACCGGGCCAAATGACTGATATGCCGAATTTGTCAAATATCCCAGTTTACCAAAACTTATTTCACTGTTATTTACTATTTAAGTTTGCAGCATTCAACATTGGATAAATTGGCTGGAACTAAGAAGTATGTGGTGAGCTGTATACAACTCCAGGGTCCTGGGGTCTTTAAACTCTCCCTGCACCTTGAGACCTCGTTGCTGAGACCTGCAACCAAGGCCAAGCAATATTTTGACTTTCCTTTCCCCTGTGGTTGGGACACTCTGTATGGCCAAGCTCTCTCCAGTTGCAACAGGGAGCTGGGGCAGAGACAAACTAAACCCTTCTCAAGTTGTGTTATGAAGAAAAAATGAAAAGTGGTCAATTGAAATGCCACCAAATCTTCAAAAGCCATTGAAACCAAACTATCCTATTTTATCAGAATTGCTGAGAAATTCGCAAATTGCGAAAAGAAGCATGTTTTTGGAAAACTAGTAAATTTGGTAAAATAGATCAGTAGTTATTCAATAAGATTGTCAAAGGAATCCTTAAAATGTTAGAAATTTGGTAAAGCAAGAAAAGACTAAAAACATAGTAAACAGAAATCAGCATTTTAAATTTTTATATGAAATTCTGATATATTGGCTATATTCATAAGATATAAGAAAACCAAATAATTATTGACCTTAGATTTTGACAAATTTAGTCTGCTAAGAATATATCAATAAATATATTTTTAAAAATTCCAGAAGGCTGTATTTAAAGAGAGGAAATGTACAGTCATTGAATGTGTTCAAAAAGATCATCTTGAAAACAATTTTAGAGGACTGTTTGAGTTGGTAAATATGGTGAAATGGCTGGGCAGTGAATTGATCCTTCTGCTCACCAGCTTTGGGCACAATGGCTTGCCTCTGCCACAGCAAGGCTCTGTAGAGGATGCAGTTGGTGTGGACTGTGCCACACCCTCCCCTCAAATGCCTGGGCTCTGAAGACATCCATCCTTGAATACATTCTGAGTAAAGCGTTATGGGACATAGCAAAGGACACTGTCAAGTAGACCCTCTATGGCCCACTCTGGCTGACTCAACACAAAAGCTGTTGGTGAATTTCAATCTCCGGGGTTGCCAAATACCAGATTGTACTGGCTTTCTGACCTGCGTAAAAGAAGGTGGGGCAGCCAGGTTGGTCTTGGCCTCCGTTGACGAAGTAGTCCACATGTCCAACGGGAATCCGAATACCCAAATCTGAAAGGAGGCACAACTCCATTAACTTCCTTACTTCAGGGGGTCGGCTCACAGCGGACCTCAAACTCTGACCTTGGGAGCCCACCCACTCTCTGCCACGTCACTTCTAAGTGCTGTGAGACTTCACAGGATGAGCCCTCAGACAGATTTCTTTTCTTTTCTTTTCTTTTCTTTTTCTTTTTTTTTTCTGAGGCTTTCTTTTTTCGCTCTCTCGCTCTTGTCACCCAGGCTGGAGTGCAGTGGCGCCATCTTCTCTCACTGCAACCTCCGCCTCCCGGATTCAAGCGATTCTCCTGCCTCAGCAGGAGTAGCTGGGATTACAGGCGGATGCCACCACACCCGGCTAGTTTTTGTGTTTTTTTAGTAGAGACAGGGTTTCACCATGTTAGCCAGGCTGGTCTTGAACTCTTGACCTCAGGTGATCCACCCGCCTCAGCCTCCCAGTTTTCTAAAGGGATTTTTCATGCTAAAAGGAACCAAAGAGATTCTGTTGGTAAGATGCTCATATTTGCCTAAGAAAATCAAGAACAATATCCTGTAACACAAGTTTTTGTAACTCAGTAAATGTTATAAACTTGGTAAGTTTCCTCATTGAGTAGTTTTGGTTTTCCTTTGAGTAATAGTTCAGATAAATGTGTATGGGGTCACATTTCCACAGTCTCCCCAAAAACATATCTTTTGTGCTCTCCTGACTGAGTGGAAATAGAACATGGCTCCAGAGCGGAGATAAGAGAGCATCCTCTGCCCTCTTTCTGTCCCTGTGACCAATTCCTGGACCCTCTGCTGTGGCAGACTTGAGCCCTCAGACTGGCTCAGGCCCAGCTGCTGAAGACCCCGACTTTCTCCTTCTGTCATCTGTCAGTATTGGAAGAAATTGATTGTGTATTATTTGCTTACTGCCATCGACCTGGAGGTTAAGCAATGACCTATAAGCCATCCTTGAGTCTTGCCTTTCCCTCATACCCCACATGCAGCCCATCATGAGTCTAGTCAGCTCTACCTCCAAAACATATTTTGAATCTGTCTACTTCTCTCTGTCTTTACTGCCACCACCTTTGCCCAAGCCACCATCATCTCTCACCCGGACCCCTACTGCAGACACTCTCTAATGGGCATCCGGGCT
Source organism: Homo sapiens (assembly GCF_000001405.40). NCBI lineage: Eukaryota > Metazoa > Chordata > Mammalia > Primates > Hominidae > Homo > Homo sapiens. The sequence goes on along the minus strand of NC_000003.12, from coordinate 119,614,888 downwards.
TCCCTTCATGACTCCTACAGTCCACGTAGCCTGTAAGCTCCATGTAGGCAGGGACCTCATTCAATGTGTTGATTGCTGCCATATTCTCAGTACCTGCCACGTAGCTTAATAAATATTGATTGAATAAATAGAATGTTTTTTTTTTTAAGTCACATCAGGGAGAGGCTCCAACTTTGAAGGGGCCTGAGAGGCCTTGCTTAGGTAAATGGGTACCTAATAAGTCACATATTTAGCAAATTTAAGGATAGAAAGGATTCACTTTTTTTTTTTTTTTTTTTTTTTTGAGACGAAGTCTCACTCTGTCACCCAGGCTGGAGTGCAGTGGCAAGATCTCCGCTCACTGCAAGCTCTGCCTCCTGGGTTCAGGGCATTCTCCTGCCTCAGCCTCCAGAGTAGCTGGGACTACAGGTGCCTACCACCACGCCTCACTAAATTTTTGTATTTTTTTTAGTAGAGACGGGGTTTCACTTTGTTAGCCCAGATGGTCTCGATCTCCTGACCTTGTGATCCACCCGCCTTGGCCTCCCAAAGTGCTGGGATTACAGGTGTGAGCCACCACGCCCGACCAGGATTCACTTTTTAAATGAACAAGCTTAACTCACCTAACATAGCTAGGAAGAGGCCTGTGGGCTTTGGTTTCCTATCTGTGAAATAAAGGTGGGAAGAAGGGTTGGACAATACAACTGCATGTGTTTCTTTCAGAATCATGAGTCTTAAATGCTAAAAAGAGGCTTCTGACCACAGGAAATGAGATGTGGACATCTCTAACTTGAGCTGCAAGCTTGTCTGGTCAGGGACAGATGTTATTTCTCCCTGCACCCACCACACTAAGCACAGACCCCACAGGCATTTGCCGTGGAGCAGACATGAAGAGGAATGCCCCCGCCTTTCCCAACTGGTCAGAAGGACTTAATTTGGTCATAACGGGTTGAGAGATGGGGAGTCTTTCCTGTGCCTGTCACTATTGGAAAAGGGATTCTTTTTTTCTTTTTTTTGGAGACAGAGTCTCGCTCTGTCGCTCAGGCTGGCGTGCAGTAGCGCGATGTCGGCTCCCTGCAAACTCTGCCTCCCGGGTTCACGCCATTCTCTTGCCTCAGCCTCCAGAGTAGCTGGGACTACAGGCGCCCGCCACCACGCCCGGCTAATTTTTTGTATTTTTAGTAGAGACGGGGTTTCACCGTGTTAGCCAGGATGGTCTCGATCTCCTGACCTCCTGATCCACCTGCCTTGGCCTCCCAGAGTGCTGGGATTACTGGCGTGAGCCACCGTGCCCGGCCCGGAAGAGAGATTCTTATTCTCCACTGGACTGAAGGGCCAAGCTTGTCATCTGGGGAGGAGGGAAGTTGTGACAGGCCTGCCTGCCTGGGGAGTGGAATGGCCCAGTACCTTGGGACCAGGCACACCCATCCTAAAAAATCTTCATGACTTTCCCGTAAGTCAGCCAGGCAGCAATGCCCTACCCAGTACTGCTCAGCACACTGTTATTACTGCATTCATTTGAATCAGAAAGTGAGGCTCATAACCAAATACTTTTGGTCTATAAATGAGAATCCTCTTGCCTACAGTAGCTAAAAATACAACCATTCACCTCAGTGGTCAGAGACAGAGCTGGAAGAGACTTTCAATAGCATTTTGGTAAACTCTTCACTGTGCAACAGAAGCTCAGAGAGGGTCAGGGCATCTCTGCCCAGGGCCACAGAGCTAGATGCCAGCCTCCTAGGCGCTGCCTTGAGCTCATTCCCTCATCCCAGGAAGGTCACCCCAGCTCACTGTCGGTGTCTGTGTGGATGGCTTCCACGAAGAGGGCATCTCCAGCATCCAAGCGCTCTTCCACACTGGCCCTGGTGTACTCAGGTCCAGCGGGGTCCAGGCCTGTGAGAAGAGACTGATATGAGGGACCTCTTTCCTCTCAGCTGCAGGAACATTCATGGACCCACCACACACCCACCCTTCCAGTGCAGATCATAGACCCTCCCAGAAAAGACCCAAGGGTTGGGAGAATTAGCTGAGGACCACCTTCCTCAGGAAACCCCACTCTCTGTTGTCTCTCTAGAGGTAACCTCTCAATGACCCAGTTTCTCTGGCTCTAAGATGAGCTTGAGGCTGGGCGCGGTGACTCACGCCTGTAATCCCAGCACTTTGGGAGGCCGAGGCAGGCGGATCACGAGGTCAGGAGATCGAGATCATCCTGGCTAACATGGTGCAACCCCGTCTCTACTAAAAACACAAAAAATCAGCTGGGCGTAGTGGCGGGCGCCTGTAGTTCCAGCGACTCGGGAGGCTGAGGCAGAAGAATGGCGTGAACCCGGGAGACAGAGGTTGCAGTAAGCCAAGATCGCGCCACTGCACTCCAGCCTGGGCAACAGGGCGAAACTCCATCTCAAAAAAAAAAAGATGACCTTGATAACACCAATTATTTGATAGAAGTTAATGTAATGTAAAGCTTGTTACTACCTTCATGTAGTAATAACAATAGCTAAATTTCTTCGAGCAGTTACTATGTACCAGGCCTTATGCCGGGCAGTTTTACACACTCTAGTCCTCATCATAACACAGTGATTACTGTGAATACTACTATTCCCATCTCTCAGTTTGGATCCCTTCCCTTCCCCCTACAAAAAGCAGACCCTGCCACAAGAGTTCAAAGTAGATTTGGGAAAAAGTCTCAGAAAGCATGGTGAGGGAGTAGGAAAATAGGTCAGAGAATAAAGGAAAATAGTAGTGAGTAGGTTATCCCCATGGGCTCTCACCCCAATGGGGCACCTCTTTGAGATTCTGTAAAACAAGACCCAAAATTATCCCACCAAAAGGCTAGGAAGCTGAGGGTTTTTGCTACACAACTCCAGTCCCTTATTAACTGAGAGTGGCTCTGGAAGCATAAAGTCCTCCACACTTTTACATGTATATAACAAAACTGTCTAAAGTTTATTTCCACAGTGGGCCAAGGAGATGTGGGCTGTTACAACCATTTTACAGATGTAGAAAGTGAGGCTGAGAAAGAAATAAAAGGGGAAGTGCTTGCCAGAGCAATCAGGCAAGAGAAAGAAATAAAAGGCATCTAAATAGGAAAAGCGGAAGTCAAATTGTCTCTCTTCATCAATGATATGATTCTAGAGCACCCTAAAGGTTTGACCAAAGACTTCTAGACCTGATAAACAACTCCAGCAAAGTCTCAGGACACAAAATCAATGTACAAAAGTCAGTTGCATTTCTATGTACCAATAACATTCAAGCTGAGAGCCAAATCAGGAATGCAATCTCATTTATGATAGTCACACACAAAAATAAAGTACCTAGGAACACACCTAACCAAAACAGCAAAAGATCTGTACAAGGATAACTCTAAAACCCTGCTAAAAAAAAAATCATAGGTGACACAAACAAATGGAAAGGTATTCTATGCTTTTTGCATAGTATTTGCCAAAGTATTCAGTATTCTATGCAGGGTTAGAAGAATAAATATCATTAAAATATCCATTTTGCCCAAAGCAATCTACAGATTCAGTGCTATCCCTACCAAATTACCAATGTCATTTTTCACAGAATTATAAAAATCTATTCTAAAATTCATATGGCACAAAAAAAGAACCCAAATAGCCAAGGTAATCCTAAGCAAAAAGAATAAAGCTGGGCATATCACACTACCCAATTTCAAACTATACTACAAGCCTACAGTAACCAAAACAGTATGGTACTGGTACAAAAATAGATACATAGGCCAATGGAACAGAATAGGGACCCCTGAAATAAAGAAGCACTCCTACAGCCGTCAGACCTTTGACAAAGTTGACAAAAATTAACACTTTTTTTAGAGGAAAAGATACCCTATTCGATAAATGGTGTGGGAAAACTGGCTGACCATATGCAAGAGAATGAAACTGGACCCCTACCTCTCACCATATACAAAAATTACTCAAGAAGGACTAAAGACTTAAATGTAAGACCTCGAACTGTAAAAATCCTAGAAGAAAATCTGGGAAATACTCTCCTGAATATTAGCCTAGGCAAAGCATTTATGACCAAGTCCTCAAAAGCAAATGAAACAAAAACAAAAATTGACAAGTGAGACTTAATTAAACTAAAGACCTTCTGTACAGCAAAAGAAACAACCAATGGAGTAAACAGACAACCTACAGAATGGGGGAAAATATTCACAAACTATGCATCTGACAAAGGACTAATATCCAGAATCTATAAGGAACTTGAACAAATCAACAAGAAAAAAACAAATAACCCCATTAAAATGAGGGTGAAGGACATGAAAAGAGACTTCTTGAAAGAAGACATACAAGTGGCTAACAAACATTTGAAAAAATGCTCAACATCACTAATCATCACACCATGATATACCATCTCACACCACTCAGAATTGCTATTATAAAAAAGTGAAAAATAAATAAATAGATGTTGGCAAGGCTGCAGAGAAAAGGGAATACTTATACACTGTTGGTGGGAATGTAAATAAGTTCAGCCACTATGGAAAGCGATCTGAAGATTCCTCAAAGAACTAAAAATAAAATCACCACTTGACTCAGCAATCCCATTACTAGATATATACCCAAAGGAAAAGAAATTCTTCTACCAAAAGGATACCTGCACTAGTATATTCATTGCAACACTATTCACAATAGCAAAGACTTGGAATCAACCCAGGTGCCAACCAATGGTAGACTGGATAAAGAAACTGTGGTACATATACCCTATGGAATTCTACACAGCTATAAAAAAGAATGAAATTATGTTCTCTGCAGCAACATGAATGTAGCTGGAGGTGATTTTCCTAAGCCAATTAATGCAGAAACAAAAAACCAAATACCGCATGTTTTCACTTATAAGTGGGAGCTAAACATTGGGTGCACATGGACACAAAGATGGGAACAATTGACACTGGGGATTTCAAAAGGGGGAGGAAAAGCAAGGGACAAGGGTTGCAAAACTACCTATCAAGTACTGATTGCTACTTGGGCAATGAGATCATTAGAAACCTGAACCTCAGCATCACATGCTACACCCATGTAATAAACCTGCACACGTAAATCCTGAATCTAAAAGTTTTTTTAAATAAGAAACTTAAAAATAAAAAGTAAAAGAAGAAATACATGGCCTCTCACATTGATATTAGAAATCATGCAATAATAACACAATACCATTTTATGCAAAAGAACCACAATAAATAAATTTTAGTGGTAATAGGTGACTTGATCGTGAGAACAAAGGCTCTGTACTCCCCTCTGCTTGCTTTAGAAGAGATATTTTCAGGGCAAGCTTTCTCTATCTCTAAAGCCTGGAGGATGGGCAGGGAGGAATGTTACCTGTGATCTGTCCCAGCTGGCCTCCGAAGAGCTGTCCCACCATGCCCCCAACGTGGGCCCCCAGGCTAACACCAATGATGTGGATTGAGGATTCCGACACACCCAGCACCTAGAAGAGCAGGAACAGTGAGTTCCCCGTGGGCCACAGAGTCTGCTGGCTTCACAGTGGCAGGCTTTCCCCCAAAGCTTCAGAAGCCGAGGCCCTGGGCATGACACACCCACCACACTTACTTTGGAGGGAAAAAGGACAGCACTCTCATTGTTAATCACTTTTTCTCTTCCTGGGCTCCCCACCCTGACAACCCCCTTACTCTCCTTTTGGTGCCCAAAGTATGTGAGTAACGACCATGGCCATTCTCTCTTGAGGGACAACTAAGTGCCAGGCCATCTGCATTCGCTGTCTAAAGTGCCACGACACATTTTACAGAGGAGCAGTGGGAAGCTCAGAATATTCAATAAGCTGCCCGAGGTCAGTGCTGTGAGTGGCAAAGTCAAGATTTGAACCCAAGACCACCGAGCTACCTGGTGACTCTGCTTCCACCCTAAGCCTCCTCAGGCAGTGCTTTTGTCTTTCTGACCCTCTCTCCTCATACGCAGCCCAAACTCACCCTAAGCTCTTCTGCACCTACCAGGAGTTTATTGAGGAAAAGGGAGATCTCGAGGCTCAACTTAATCACATTTTTCACAGCTGAGAAGTAGACTCCTGTAGACCCATAAATCCAGTCCACGGCAATCACATTAGCATTCGTTGCACGCAGAAGGGTTCTAATAAATGTGTCAATCCAGGAAGGCTTTGTTCCTAAAACCCTAGACAGGGGGCCAAAAAAGAATGGAAAAATTACCTGCCAAGTGGATATTCATTGTCATGGAAACCTCTATTAATCTCAAACCCAGAAAAGAAATCAAAACTAGAGAAGGGCTCATATGAGGAGTTTATTACACAGTACTTGGAGCATAGGGAGGACACAATTCCAAAGTTGCCAGCCCTTCCGCCAGCACATATGCAGTCTTTGTGTAAATTATAAAACTTTGCCTTTTGTTCCAGGCAGATGCAGCCTCATGCTAGGGTTCAGAACTTAGCTTGGATGTCAGCCTCATCAGCCTTTTGTCAGGCACCTTTGCACAAGGCATAAACCACATAAACTGTATACATTGCATTGCTCCATTTGTGTTATTTGTGGAAAAGAAATATGCCCTAGAGTTATGCCCTAGAGTTAAGATTTGCGATCTTAATTCTCATTCTAAAATATAGGCTCTTTCTTTGTGGACATTTTCTTTTTCTTTCTTTCTTTCTTTCTTTCTTTCTTTCTTTCTTTCTTTCTTTCTTTCTTTCTCTCTTTCTTTCTCTCTCTTTCTTTCTTTCTTTCTTTCTTTTCTTTCCTTTCTTCCTTTCTCTTTCTTTTTCCTTCCTTCTCCCTTTCTTTCTCTCATTCACCCACTGATTTATTCAGCAAGCATTTATTGAGTACCTATGGGCCAGGCAGTATGCTAGGTGCTTTCCAAAAAATAAAGACAAATAAGATATAGTCCCTGTCCTTCTGGAACTTACTGTATAGTGGGACTTTTCCAGGAAAAGGAAAATGATAGAAAAATGTTTAGAAATCTTTCCCAACAGATTGGGATCAGGAAATAAGTTTTTTGATGACTCCCAGTATAGAAGCAAAGAGAGCACACTCGTGTGGACAGAGGAGCGCGGACTGGGTGTGTGCCAGGGAATGGGGTTGTGGGATTTAAGAGCAGACAGAGTGCCTTGCCTGATGAGCTCTCCACCTCTATTAGCTACCCCTGGGTTGGAGGTACACACTCAGCCTTGGAAAGTGGTGGAATATGAGATGTGCTAGAGGAGAGGGTTTGGCACAAGAGCAAGGAGAGATGCCTAAGGAAACATGTAGCTGAGTCTCTGGAGTCCAGGGACCTGAGAGGCGGAGACAGGCCAGAGATCAGGAAATGGTGGTCCTTTGTGCACAGCCTTTGTGTCTACCTTTTCATTGGGTGCCCCAACTCTACTTGCTCCATAGTGCTATTACTTTACCATATTCTCTCCCTCTTTCCTCCCAGAAACCTTTCTCTGTTTCTAGCCCTATAGATGGGCTTTGGAGAAAAGCTGTTCAAAGAAAGGATGGTGATTGGAATTGAGACTCAGTGACTATATATTACAACAAATTGTGGACTGGAGAGTATCAGAGAAATTGAAGAAGAGACGTGCATAGCTCCATCACACCCATAACCTCTGGGTATGACGGAAGTAGCACCCATAAATGGAAGTTTCTTAGGTCATAAAACCAAGGAAGAAGTGAAGAAGGGAAATACAATCCTGGGTAATAAAGGTTCTGTGTACGGAGATTTGTCCAGTCACAGACATGTACTGTTCGTGAGTGTGTAGACAAGACTGGGTGGAGAAGTAACATATATGACCAATAAGAATGAACACCATGTGTGCATGTTGACATGAGACCCCATCAAAGACAGCAGGATATGAGGGATGGAACATGTGGCCATTGGTAAATTCATTCCTCCCCTTGTTGCCCACTAACTTCTTATGGTATTATGGTTACTTGATCATTCTTAGTTGAGAAGTCCTGTTGGTTATTTAACTCCCACCTGAATCCATGGATAATTAGTTTGGTTCCCAGAGTGGCATTGAACCCAGAGTTTTGGAGGTCACTGCTTCCTTCTACTAGCTGCCCACAGCTAGGATTCGAAGGGACAAAGAGGAGAAACTGGACTTTGAGATCGGTGCCTTCAAAAAGGTTGGCGCTCTGGAAGTCAGCGCACTTTGGCTGTGGGGTAGGAGGTGCATCCCCTGGAGGAAAACAAAACAAAACAAGCAACATCCAAGGTGAGGTCATCTGTTCTTAGAAGGAAGAAAGATGACCTTGGAAGGAAGCAAGAAACAGGGGCCTGCAGGCATGGGGTTTATTATACATCAGCTAGTGCAATAATCACTCATTTATTACAGCCTTCATCACTTCTGTAATGAAGCTGTGTGAATATTTTTCATGCCTAAGGACAAAATAGCAGAGAAGGAATATTGCTCAACTAGATGAGATTAAAGGCCATGGTGAAATGGCTGTTGTTCCGGGCTGAACTGAGTCTCATCCCCCAAAATTCATATGTTGAAATCTTAACCCCCAATACTTCAGAATGTGACTGTATTTGGAGATGGGGTCTTCACAAAGGTTAAAAAGAGGCCAACAGAGTGGGTCTAAATCAATATGACTATTATCTTTATATAAAGAGGAAATTTGGACACAGACAGAGGGAGGATGTTGTAAAGACATAGGGAGACAGTGGCCATCTACAAGCCAAGGACAGTGTCCTGGAACAGATCCTTTGCTCATTGCCCTGAAGGAACTAACACTGCCAACATCTTGATCTCAGACTTCCAGCCTCCAGAATTGTGAGGCAATACATTTCCATTGTTCTAGCCACCCAGTCCATGGCACTTCCTTATGGTATCCCTAGCAAACTAGTAGAGAATTCTAAATAGAACCCTGGGCAGCCAAATGAACAGTTGCCCTGCGGACTAGCCTCAGTCTAGTCTGAACACTCCCTCCTGGAAGGATTTTCAACTCTTTAGCCCCACCTAATCACTTCTTGTCCTTATGAGCAGTCAAGAGCCCTGCCATAGCCTTCCAGTGCCCAGCCCATAGCCTAGATAGATGACAGAGAAGAGCCTTGACAAGTCTCACCTACTTCACAGCACCTTGCAATAGATACCTTTACAATGGAAATTCTCTGGCAAAGGTAACTGCAGGCCTTTAAAAAACACTGAACAGAAAAGGCAACATGAAACTCCTGCTTCCCAGGGAGCTGAAAATCTGGCCCATTTTCAGCACCCAGCATCACACCCCGATCCCCACTTCTGTGATGCAGAGGTGTGGTCCCTGACTTCCATGCATCCCAAAGGGAGACTGGCAGGAGCAGCAGGGTACATGCTGACCCGCAGAACACAGTCCCACACAGCATTGCTGCCACCAGACAAAGTGATTCACAGAATCAGAGGTTCAGAGGAGACATCCAGATTGCAGACTTCGGTTTGTGTGAGCCCCTTTGTTGAGGAAGACAGTAACTTTAGATTTCTGGAGTGATTATCTTCTATCAGAGGTAACTGGGAGCTCATATACAACAGGAGTGTGGATCTGGGATGCTCTGGGATATGGTGCTATGAGTGAATTGTGGGAACCCCACCTGTGGAGAATACCTCAAGCCATGAGGCCTTCTGGAGCATCGCTGTGGTAGACTAGAGGTTTCCCCATCACTGCTTCTGAGCCCCAGACTTTGTCCTCAATCCCCTTGCAGAGGCAGACCAAGCAGGCAGGTTTGGAGGCTCCTGGGATGAAGCCCACTCTGAGAGTGCCGGCCCTAAGCTCTTCAGCCTGTGGCTTGAACTCCCACAGCACATGAGAGAGCTAATGCCTGACTCCATCATTTTATCAGCCTCCCCCAGCATTTGGCTCTTTAAAGAAAAGATGAAAAGACTGTGTTTCAGCATGAGATGCAAACCACATTAATGAGTCACTCTGCTCTATTGTTCATATAGGGCAGCCTGCATCCATCAGAGAGTTTGAGTCCTTTTAAATGAGCATAATATGTCACAAAGCAGGCCCAAATAATCACCAAAGAATCAATATCATCTAAATAAAATGTAATAAAACTAGAAATCAATAACAAAAATTATTTTAATATACATTTGGACATGTAAAAACACCCCCTCCATTTTTTTACAATAGGACAAGCCCATCCCATGTGCCTGTGGTATTTTTACCAGCCCATTACAAAGAGAAACTCCTTGGCACAATTCCTCATGGACACATATTGCTGAAGCTTGTTCAAGATTTTTAAAAATTTTTTATATTCAGGTAAAAGAATATAAATTATCATCTTTACCTTTTTTAAGTGTACAGTTCAGTGGTAATAAATACATGTATATTCTTTTCTCCCCTTCATTCCCAACTCCTTCCCCCTTCTCAGCCTCTGAGAGCCACAATCTACTACTCTCTATCATCATGAATCCACTTTTTTAGCTCCTACATATGTGTGAAAATGTGATATTTGTCTTCCTGTGCTTGGCTTATTTCACTTAACATAATGGCCTCCAGTTCCATCCATGTTGCTGCAAATGGCAGGATTTCCTTCTTTTTAAAGGCTGAATAGTATTCCTTTGTGTATGTATACCACATCTTCTTTTTTTTTATTCATTCATTAGTTGATGGGCTCTTAGGTTGGTTCTATATCTTGGCTATTGTGAACAGTGCTGAAATAAACGTGAGAGTGCAGATATCTCTTTGATATACTGACTTCCTTTCCTTTCTTTTGGATATATACCCAGTAGTGGAATTGCTGGATCATATGGAAGTTCTATCTTTAGTTTTCTGAGGAGCCTCCATCGTATTCTCCATAGTGGCTATACTAATTTACACTCCTACCAACAGAAAAACACCCTTTTAACCTTTTAAGGAATGTATGGGTTAAAGAATAATCACAATGAAAAGTACAGAATATTAAAAACTAAACGACAATAAAACCAGCACATATCAAAACTTGCAAAGAGTGGCTAAAACAGCACTTGGGTTGTTAAAATAATTCTTTGGGAAGCCATTAGACTGAGGAAGCTCTAGTGGTTGAGTTCCTACAGAAGCTCACCACACCCCAACTCATAGTGAAGAGCTGTGTCCTAGGAAACTGAGGCTTAAGCTTTACCACTCAGAAGCTTCCAACTAACCTCTGACTAGGGACCTTAAGGTACTGCTCCACTTTAATCAATCAAATATTTTCTTTGCCTTGCTTCATTCATAGGCACCTTATAAAATTTATTCTTCACATCCCTTTGGTGGAGCCCTGAGCCACTTGCAGTGTGAAGCAGCCCAAACCATAAATCACTGTTTGTTCAAATAAACTATTTAAAATTTTAATGTGCCTAAGTTTACCTTTTAATAGGGAAAAATGTGTAACTTACATGCAAATGTTGGTGGGGGAGGGGAGAAGGGAAAGACTTAGATTAGATAAGCTAATATTTTAACTCAGAAAAGAATACCACAGTAATTCCAAATAAAATATAGGGAAAGAAATATAAAGGTAATAGTTGAAATTGAAGAAATAGAAAATAAGGAAATATGAGCAACATTGGTAGCAACTTAGTCATTACAATTTCTCAGGCTTTGCAAAGTTGCCTGGGATATCTTTGACTCTTTCCTATCTCTCACATCCCACATACAATTGGTAAGTTCTGTTGGCTTGACCATCAGAATGAAATATTCAGAATCTAACCCTTCTCACCACCTTGGCCTAAGCCACCATCATCTCTCACAGCCACTGCCATAGCCTGCAACTGCATTTCTTGCCCTCTCTTTTGGCCCCTTCAGTCTATTTGCAACACAGCAGTCACGATTTTTTTTTTTAAGTCAGTCAAGTCATGTTACATCTCTGTGCAAAAGTCTCCAAGCCTTTTCTCTCAGATTGAAACCTGAAGTCCTAACAATGGACTGTAAGGCCCTAACTGAGCTAATCCACCCCACTCCAAGAGTCCTTTGCCTTATGCTACAATCACTCACTATTGCAGCCAGTAGTTCTCCTTGCCCTTCCTCACTCTAGATGGCTTCCTGCCTGAGGGTCTTTGCCCGGCTGTTCCTTCTGCCTGGAATGCATTTCCCTTATGTATCTACATGGCAGTTCCTTCCCCTCCTTCAAGTCTTTGCTTGTCAAGTGCTCTCTTGTCTACTCTCACATCCTATTTCAGTTGTAACCTGCTTGTGTTCCTCACTTCATTTCTCTCAATCATCCTTACCCTGGTCTATTTATTTGTTAGCAATCATCACCTTCTAATCTACTATGGAATTTGCCAAGTTATTATACTTATTTTCTATTAGTGGTCAGTCCACATTAGAATGTACTTTTGAACAAAGCAGGGATTTTTAAAATCCATTTTGTTCACTCTACTGCCTAAAATAGTACCTGTCACACACAAAGAGCCAGTACCCAAAACTGGCTCTTTGAAAAGAATAATGAGCTAGATGTACTTTTGATAAGACAGAGTAACAGAACAAAGGGAAGTTAAAAGTAAACAATATCAGGAATAAAAAAGGTATATAAATACAGACAGTAGATTTCCTTACACCATAAAAAAGTTTATATCCACCCCAAAACTGAAAATACTGATATTTTGCTAGAAAATGGATCATTTCCTAGAAAAACGTAACTTACCAAAACTTAGTCAAGAAAGGAAAAACAGAAAATCAAATGTAAAACTATAGCATAAAGGAATTGAAACACTAGTTTCAAAACTATCCCTCAGAAAAGTCTAAGAGGCCTGAGAGTTTCACAGAGGAATTCTATTGATCCCTAGCTTACACATGCTGTTCCAGGAATAGAAAATGGGAGACAGGATTCCAGTTCATTCTATGAGAATATCCGAAGTACCAAAAGTGCAAAGGACAGGGGAGAAGGAAAAACTAAAGGCTACTTTCATTTATAAACATAAACAGAAATCTAAGATAAAATATCAGCAAATCTAAATCCATCCAGGATAACAAGACCACAAAGTACATCATGGCCCAGCAAGGTTTGCTGGGCCAATTCTTTGCAAAGAATTAAAGGCTGTTTTAACATTAAAAAAAGTATTAATATAATTCACGTATGAACAAACTAAAGAAGAAAAACCATATGCTCATCTCAACGGATGAGCAGAAAAAAAGAACACTTGACAAAATTCAACCCTCTTTAACATAAGAAAGGATATCTCCTAAAAGCCTACAGTAAGGATTAGATTTACTGGGAAATATTAGAAGTATTCCATTTAGAACAGGGAACAGATAAGAAATGTCTGCTATCACTGCTTCTATTAAATATTGTGCTAGAGGACCTAGTCCTAACCACTGAAACAAGACAATGCAATGGGATAAAAGTTATAAAGTTTGAAAAGGGAGAGAAGAAAATTGCCAGTATTTGAAGCTGATAAATAGGGAAGCATATTCAGATACTGCCTCTACCTAGCCACCACTCCAACCAAAGAACAGTGACACATGAGTATCTGGCCAGGCTGACCAGAGATTTATAAACAATAGAAATGAGGGGTGCAGAATGAAATACTGGCTTGTCTGAGTCTGAAAATAGCCTATAGTTTTCTATTCTTGAGTCTTTGACACTGAAGAAGTGTTAGAGAAGGGTGAGTAAGGCCTGGTAACACCCATGTTTCCATAATGGAAAGTGACTCTCAGGCATATATGACAGAGCTCCCTTCACCCGCCTGGGCTGCTCATGGTTCCCATGGGTGGCCTCTGTGATCTGCAAATGCTGGAAATGTGCTACTCTGCACTCCCACCTGCACCTGTCTCAGGTGTGTTCTGTAGATCGGTATCCCCCATGGGCTTTTGTTTCGTAGAAGTGTTATTTTGCTAAAACAGTTTTGATTCTGTGGCCTGGACCAAGAAGGGAAGGGTGTTCTGGCAGTGACAGAGTTGGCACAAAACCACATCAGACACTTTGTTATCAAATGTGGAGATGACAGAGGAGCCATCGGTGCATGTGTCGGGAAGCAGGCACCCTCCTCCAGGCTCCTCGGGAAGACACTGCAGGAGGGGAGGAGGGCGGAGGCCCCCTCCCAATAGCTGACTTGAGGGTGGCTCTGCCACGCATGCAGGGTGCAGCACCACCTTCAGGCCCAGGCTGGCCTTACAGAGGCTGGTGTCACAGGCTGCTTCTGCCACCAGCTCAGCACTATGGGCCACTGAACTTCCTGCCACCCCCTTGAGCCCTGGGCTCCCCACAGACAGAGCTGTGCTATCAGATGACCTGTGGATTGAGGCATCAGCAGCCAGGAGTGTCTCTGAAATGGGCCACCCTCTGGAACCCTTCTTTGGCTGAATTGTTTCAGGATGAGTGTCATTTAATCAATCTGCCTAACGTCAGGAAGTAGAGATGAGGACTGCAGCCCGCTCAATTTCTTTCTTCTCAGTTACCAAGGCTTTTGGCTTATTGAATGTGTCCTGTGTGCCTGGGCCTGGGTGAGGCTCTGGGGATTCAAGGATGAAGAAGACGCCAGCCATAACTGCCCTTTGGGAGCTCAAAGTCTAGCGGAGAAAGGGAAAATAAGCAGGCCCCACAGCAAATAGGGATGTAAGATCTGTGACCAGGAAACATAGGTACTGAGAGAACACAAAGAAAGACCACCTACCCCAGATGGAGGAAGACTTGTGCATCCACCTGGAGGAGAGGACGCCTGAGCCAGCCTGGAAGCTCAAGGGCCAGGTTGATCAAGGAGCTCAACAATCTAAAGCTCCACAGTCCAAGGAAAAACTAGGTGTGACTGGGGTTGTCATGAAAGATTGTGTGGGTACACAGCCAGGAAAGTGAGTGGAGGCTGAACTTCCAAGAGGCCCATGTGGGTCAGCTACTGCCCTTGTGTGACAGCAGGCACCTGGATACCTCCTGAACCTCCTCCCTCCCGATCATTTGAGCTCTTCCTTTCCTTTACCTTGAGCTCTCTGCATCCGGCATCTTCTTTCTGTCCACCTACTTCATCTAGGCTGTCTGAAGTCAATTACATCCTTTTTCCTTTTCCCTTTGGCATATTTCTATCCCTCCCAGCCACACACACACACACACGCACACACACTTCTATCTCTGCCTATCCATCAACTCACTTAATTTCTGAGACAGCACTACTAAAAGTAAGAATAAGGAACATTAACTTAATAAATATTGTTGCTGTTGACAGTGAAACACTCAGTTAAGGTGGGAAAGGAAGAGAAGCGGATGGGAAATAGAGAATGCCTCACTGGGTAAGTGTGAAAAGAAAGACACCAGAGACAAACAAAGGCAAGAAGACCAGGCAAGGAAATACCCAGGCCCTGCTAACATGTTATTATAAGCCCACTTCCTGCCCAGAGCATCTAGAATGATTCCCACATATGTGGCTGGAACCTGATCAGCTTCTGCGCTGACCCTAACCCTGCTATCTGGTTCAGAATTTCTGAGCTTCTCTTATCTGTGTGACAGAGGCCCCAGGCTTACCGACAGATGAGCTTCCAAAAAGAGTTTGATGCCAATTTGCTATAGTCCTCCCACTCCTCAACCTTCAAATCAGGACAACTAGCAAATGCCTTCCAGCCCCTAAGGAGGCCTGGGGCTCCTGAGCAGGGACAAAGTGGGCCTGCCAAGCCCACTTCTCAGAACGGGACCCACAGCTCTCCTAGGTGATACCTCCCACCTTCTCTCCAAGGTGGCTCATGACAGCCCTGTTCCCTCCACTTCCATCAGCCTAGACAACAATTTGCTAATAATAAAATCACAAAGGAATAAGCAACTGCAAAAGTCAGGCCCTGTGCACAGATGATCCCATTCAGTCCTTACAGCATTCCTATCTGGTAAGGATCATCTCTAGCTACAGGTAAAGAAAGCCACTTCCTCAAGGTCACATAGCTACAAAGAAACAGAGCCAGGATTCCAGTCTGGGTTAGCCCGACCCAGACAGAGCCTATTCCCCATCAGCTCAGCCCATTGCCTCCTCTAAGCATCAATGTCTGCAATATTCACTGGACATCTGCTCTATACAGAGCACAGCACTAACTATGCTAAAAGAGACAGAAGCCTCAAATCCTCACCTTTTAGGGACAACTAATTGAGGTAGGAGAAAGCACATACAGAGCTCAACAGCACCTCTGAAAAACCACCCATGAGTGCAAGGAGAGCATGCAGTCACCCAGTGGAACTTTGTAGCAGGGAGGGGTGCTGAGCAGAAAAAGAATGAGTACAAGGGAGATAGGAATACAGAAGCCCCCTTGAAAGATGCAAAGAACAGAAATCAATCCAAAGGTGATGTGAGCAACCCCAGGCAGAAGCAATGACATATTCTAGAGCCAGGGAATGAGAATTAAATGTCCAGCGGAGAAGACAGAAAAGCAGCCTGCTATTGTGAGTAGAGGGAGGGGATTTTTCTAAGGGTGACCTCACCATAGTGAGAAGGAGTCTTCTGAGAACTTCTGAGAACCCAAAGTAGAGCAGGTTAATTTTCTGTTAGGCAAGAGGGATCAGTGGGTCAGTTCTTTACTGGGGGAAAGGTAAATGCAAATTGGCATCTGAGGGAAGTTTTCCCAGGGGCATCTGAGGTTAGCAGGGACTAGTTCCCATCACCCAGCCAGGATGACAAACCACTTGAGTTAGGTTGCTGGATTAGAAAGGACATCTAACAATCTCAGTGACAAAATCATTATTAGTTTGGAAAACCTAAATTTTAAAATTAAATATATCTTGGAATGGTGGATATTTATGGGGTGAAAAATGAATATCTTAGAATTAACCAAATTTTATTTTCTTACAGTTGGTCCTGGCTTGTGCAAGGTGAGAAAGGGTTTTTTTATGTGGGCTTTAGAAAAATGAGTCGGATAACCAGGGAAAGTTCAGGTTTTGTGACCTGTTTACCATCATTCCGATTATGATAAAAGGGGTTTTTTTCCCCTACTGTTTTAAATTCACCTCAGAAGAGGCAAAAGGCTTTTAGGGGATCTTCCAAAAGTTAGTACTGCATAAGTAGTTGGAGAAATATGATCACTGACTGAAATAAGTTCCTCCCAAGGCCTGAGCCCTGGCTTACCTGAACTTCCAACGCTGAGCCACAAAATGAGGCCCCCCACCCAGAAGCAGCTCTCCCAGGGACCTGGGGGCATCGCTGAGCTGGAAATCTCAGAGCTGGTATGGAGTAATTCCCTAAAGCCAAAGAGATCATATAACCCAGCCTCTCAGAAAACACCCACGTGGATTTCACTAATCATTAACTAGCCTCATGACCTGAAAAGGAAAAATAAATTCTTCTTTATTTATTTAAATGCCAGAGTTTTCGGTTTCTTCTTCTCAATGAAAATAAATACACTTTCTTTTTTGTTAACCAGAGTGCATTGAAACACACTGTCCCTCTTTGAGCCAAACATGATCAGGAAACTATTTCCTGCACCTCTCCCACTTCCCGTGATAGGATGTTAGTAATAACCAAGGCAGAAGTCCTGCATCTCTGGGTGGCCAGAAACCCCTCATTGTGTTGGAATTATCTGTGGACATGTGTGTCTCCCTAGAAGATTCTGAGTGACTTGAGAGCAAAGGCTTTCTCTTTTCATTTTTGAATACCCAGTGCCTAGCACAAGACTGAGATAATACTATATATTAAGTGTCCATTTAAAGGGAAGAAGGGAAGAAAAAGTTTCCTCTGGAGAGTACTATCATTTTGTAGAATCTTGGGGCTAGGAGTCAAGTCCAACTTTGGAGATGTTCAACTTCCTGAATTCACAAAGAAACTGCATATTAGAAAAAGAAAATGACCTGTAGAGATCCCGTTGGTGGAAGTGGCAGAGCCGGGCCTGGAACCAAGATGGTTCCAGCACCATATGGCCTCTCCACCCCAAAGAGTGGCAGAAACCACAAAGAGCTATTTCTAGGCAAGTCAATGGGGCAGAGGCAGAGGGCAGGGCACTTGCCCCCCACTCCCTAAATCATAACACATTGCTGTGAGGTAGACAGCCCACTGGCAGGGCCAGGATCATCTTTTCCAAACAATAACTCTCTGAGGTGAGTATTATCACAGAGAAGTTAAGTAATTTGTACAACAAATTACTTATTTGTATTATAATTGTATACAAATTACTTAACTGTGACAATTACACAGTTAGTAAGCACAGATAAGTACAAATTACTTCTCTGTGATAGAAGTAATTTGTATTAAATACAAACATTTGTGTTTTACACAGCTGGTAGGGCACAGAGAATTTAAGTCATTTGCCTGAGGTCATGCAGAGCTGGGATTTAAAGCGGGATGAGCCAGCCCCAGAATCCATGCTCTGAGCAACGATACTCTACAGCAACAACTCCTGAAGAGGCTCTGGGACCATGTCATCATGGCTGAACGCAGGATACAATTATTTTGGAGGGGCTAGCCCTTACATCCCCTTGTGCACATGATCTCACTGCTCAAGTGCTGCTGCAACCAGGAAGGGGTGTGGCAATAAGTAGTGCACAGCAGAGGTCACTACTGAAAGCTGTCTTGATATTAGAGACCAAGCCAAGTGTATGAGTTCAGGTCCTCGGAGAAGAAGATGCCAAGGTAAGACAAGATATGCAAGAGATTTATCGAGCTAACACCTGTAAAGAATAAGAGGTACTAGAGAAGCCAGGAAGCGCCTTTAGATGGTGGTGAACATCTGATACCTGTGAAAGAGAATGGGCAGGAAAGAGAGGATTACATAGGAAGAGTCTCAGGCTGCAGCACAGTTTCTAGAATATTCTGACCAGGCCAATGGGGACTCCTCAGGCCAAAGTCTTTTGTGACAGCAGATGTGTTTTGTAGAAATGAGCCTGCATTAGCAGCCACATCTTGCTTAGTCATTAGCTGAGGTCAGCCTCAGCACAAAGACAGAGGTAGATTCAGAAGACAGCAGCTGGAGCCATCAGTCAATCATTTTCCCTACAGCAGGAGAACTGAGGGCTGTTTTCCTAGCCACCCACACCGTGGCCAGAGATAGTTAATCCAGGGTGCCCTTGTGCATGGCATGAATACAGCTGACATTGAGAGAGCACTTTCACTTTCTTTCACATCCAACATCTAGCACAGAGCTCTCCAAGCGGGGTCAGAGTGGTCCCTTCCAGAACCCCCTGCCTCACAACCATCCAATTGACTTGGGACAGATTGCTGGATCCACCCCAGACACACAGAATGAGAATCTTTGGAACTGGGCCCAGGACTCTGCAGTTCCAGCAGGCTCCTCGGGTGATCGTACGCATGCTAGAACCACTAGTCTTCTGTTAATACTTACAATAGCCATGTCCATTTCACCAGTGGAGAAACTGAAGCTCAGATAGGCCAGGGGCTAGGGACACTGCTTGAGAGGGCCAAGGCGAAACAAGATATGCAAGAGTTTTATTGGACTAAACCTCGTCCTTCTGAAAAGTGAGATTACATATTTTAGAAGGTGAGGATGAGACCCTCCTACCTGGAGACACTGAGAGAGCCACAATTCATATTCAGTGTATGCTGTCCATCTCCCCCAAGGAGAATGTCAGCCTCAGAAGGGCAGAGTCCTGGCCTGTTTTGCTCACTGAGATATCCCAGTATGTAACACAGTACTTGCTACACAGCCAGTGGTCAATAAGTATTTGCCAGGGGAAGGCATTGTTCAACTGGTAGGGTGTGCTGGTTAGTTCCCACCCCTCTTTTAGAAAGGGGGTCCTACTCACCCATTGTAAGGTGGAGACAGATGGTTTTATTTGCCTAGGATCTGGGTACACAATGAGCAAGGGACCAGGGCATCAATGTTCAAAATTCTGAAATGCAGTGGTGTAATAATGGCTCACCACAGCCTCACTTCTTGAGCTCAAGCAATCCTCCTGCCTCAACCTCCTGAGTAGCTGAGACTATAGGTGCACACTACCACACCCAGCTAATTTTATTTATTTATTTATTTATTTATTTATTTATTTATTTATTTATTTATTTTTGAGACAGGGTCTTGCTCTATCAACCAGGCTGGAGTGTAGTGGTGTAATCTTGGCTCACTGCAGCCTCGACCTCCTGGCCTCAAGTGATCCTCCCACCTCAGTCTCTCAAATAGCTTGGAGTACAGGCACCTGCCACCATGCCTGGCTAATTTTTTAAAATTATTTTGTAGAGATAGAGGTCTCGCTGTATTGCCCACGCTGATCTCAAACTTCTGGTCTCAAGCAATCTTCCCATCTCAACCTCAAAGCATTGAGATTAGAGGTGTGAGCCACCATATCTGGCCTAACATGTATTTTGTAATAGGTCTACACATATATGCTTTTTTAAAAAATACAAAAACATGGTTAAAAATAAATCTCCATCCCTTTCCCCCAAGTTTCCCAATCCTATAGAAATCAGGCATTGTCATGGTTTTCTTGCTTATCCTCCTAAAGATATTCTATCTCATGCTTTTTAGATTTTTACACCCTTCTTTTGACCTACTACTTTTTTTTTTTTTTTTTTTTTTGACAGTGTCTTGCTCTGTCACCCAGGCTGAAGTGCAGCAGTGCAATCATGGCTCACTGCAGTCTTGGCCTCCTGGGCTCAAGTGATTCTCCCACCTTGGCCTCCCAAGTGGCTGGTACAGGCACACACCACCATGGCCATCTAATTTTTCTTTCTTTCTTTCTCTCTTTCTTTCTTTTCTTTTTTTTTTTTTTAAGAGACAGGGTTTCGCCATGTTGCCCAGGCTGGTCTTGAACTCCTGGGCTGAAGTCATCTTCCCACTTTTGCCTCCCAAAGTGCTCAGATTCTACGTGTGAGCCACCACGCCCAGGCTTACGCAAACTCTTTTGAACCTTGAGTTTCACATTAAACAAAATACTTTGGAGCTGCCTCATTCTTCTTTTAAGGTTGCATAGAATTCCATCAGATAGAATGTGTCATGAAATTTTAGTGCTCAACCCAAAATGGCTTGAAGCCCTTATCCTACCTGATTTTCAGAAAGTCCAATCTTGCCAGATTCCAATTTGAGGTGAAGAGCACGATTATGGAGTCTCTCCACTCCTGCTGTCCTGTATGTCCTGCATGTGAACATGGGTACATGCACGTGCGTGCACGCACACACACTTACCTTCTCAGAACAAGTCATAAAATATAAGTGTAGTGCAAGACAGTTTTCAAGGTCTTGGACTGGGCCCGGTTCTTTCAGCTTTCTGGCTTATAGTTCTCAAGAATAACTGTAGAATGTGCTGGGAATCCAACATCCTGGAATCTGTTCCAGTCCCCCGACTACCCCACACCCCCAAACACGATATCCTTCAATGCTTTAGCTCAGTGATTCTTGTTTCCTTTGAATATAAAACCCAGGGTGGGCTGCCTTCCTGGGGGTCCTCAGTTGTGGTACAAGTGGGCATGTGCAGATGAGGATCCGTGTGCCACAGGCAGCTTTCCTAAGCCTTGGGTACTGGCTCACATGAATTTCAGGCTTCTGTTGTCTGCTGCCTAGCTGTAAGTAATAAGCCAGATTCCTGTAACTCATTGCATGCATAGGTGTTCTGTCTCCCAAGACTCAGACAAATCACAGTGAACCTGCTTTTCACACAGTACGGTCTAAAACCTTATGGAGAAAGAACATTTCATGCCTCTAATATGCCAAACCACATTATTTTAACTTTCATTTAAAAACATCTATATTCTGTCTCTGTTTTTCCAGAAAGAATAAGTAGAGACCAGCTTTATATTAGCCCAGACAAAAAGGTCACTTGTGGTTTTGCCAGAACAGAGATGCTGTGTACCCCGCAGGAGATGCCAAGCCTGCAAGTGTTGAGAAGGCTAAAAATTATTTGTAGCTTTAAAATGACAGTTTGATACTAAAATTCAATGGTTTAGTGTTTATTCCCTGAGATCACCTAACTTCAAAGTAAAATTGTGAACCTTAAGGGTTTATCTTTGGGTGTGCATTATGGCAAGGGAGTATTGTGAGAAGGTTGAAGAGAAAGAAAACCCTGTGAGCACCCGGGGTTGTGTCAAAAGTTTCCCAAATGACATAAGAAACTGGCTGGAGGTGGTTGTCTGGGAATATCCCTGGGTCTCTCATTTCATGACAGCTTGGTAAAAAGAAGACACTAGATACACTTTCTAAAAGCTATCAATAATATATAGATAGTATATGTTAACACATCTTTTTCCATTTTTTGTTTAACTGCTTATTATATGCTAGATACTATGCTGTGTAAAAAGTACAACAATCCCACAAGGTAGATACTATTATTAACCCCATTTTCCACGTTCAGAAACAGGCAGCGCAAGGTTTAATAACTTGCCCAAGGCTACACAAAGTGGCAGAGCATGGATTTGAATTTGAAAAACTACCACCAGCAATAGGTCCTTATGCATTCCACTGAATTTATGCTACCCACTCTCATTCTCACCATTCTCCTCAAGGTGGGCATTATTAGCCTCAACTTACATTAGTCCTGAGCAACCTGAGGCTTGGAGGCATCTGGTGGCAGAGCCGGGTTTCAATGGCAGCTCTCTGGAAAAGATCACAGAGCATGCCTTTTCTTAGTCCTAATTACATAGCAATTACCATGTGCCTGCAACAAGGAAAAAATTCACACCTTCAGAGCACCCCCCTCCTAGGTCTCCTGGATTCAGGGCTGGTGGAATAAGGGACAGTAGAGAGTCCACCTCACCTCAGAATGTCACCTTCACTAGAGCAGTCTCCAATAGAAAGTGTATTTTAGAAGGAAGATATAGTAAGAAGACACAGCCGGCCCCTGAAGTGGGCCAACAGATGGACTGTGTCACTTCCATCTGCTGGCATTGACAATGGGGAGGAGGGTTGTCCATATACCAGCCAAAATGATGAGAAACACTGCTTTGAAGCATGGCTGTCTATTAGTAAATGTTTCTATCCACAGCTCTGTAGATTGGGAGACCAAAGGATTCTTTCTTTGCTCTTATCTCCAAGTCAGACAACCCCATTTTAGACTCATGTTCTTTGGGCATTAGTATTGAAAATTCAGGGGCTCCAAGCTCAAATACCCTGAGAGGAGTCACTTGCCTGAGGCCACCAGCTGGTAGAGACAATGACCTCAAGGCCCACAAAGGTGAAGGACCTTGGCAAGTGGGGACAGATATAACCAAACGCAGTGCGAACAGATAAGTCTAGATCATGTCCGAAGCATTGGGTGGGGTCTCTACAGTGACCAAGGGGCAAAATGAGTGCAGAGGTGGGGGAGCTGCCTGAGAAGGGGAAAGAGTCTGAAGGGGAGTGAAGATTCTCTGCCCACTTCACAATTTTTCCTGGGCTCACTCTGTCCCTTCCCTTCCCCTGCTGCCAAATGCGGATCTCAAACCTACACCTAGCCTTTCCTCTTGACATCACCACTTAGTTGTAGGAAGGTGAAGAGAGCACAGGCTTACACTGTCACCATACTACACCATTTTGCCTCTAAGGAATGATTTTCTAATACTTAAACAGCTAACAATTAGAGTGTAGTAGAGTGTGTACAAAGAAAACGGGCTTTAAAGACGTGGTCTGATGATATAGTAAGAAATATGTATCTGGTCTCTACGCCTGAGTTTCTGACGCAGAGCTCCTAAAACCCTCGTAGATAGGGGTGCTAATCTTTTGTTCAAATATTTGGTCTTTGACCCTCGTTCCTGACACAGAACTCCTAAATCCCTTGATAATTCCCGGGTGAGAGGAGCATCTTTTGTTCCAGTGAGGTGACTTTTTGGTGGGCTCCTGGATAGCCTCTGGATGGGGGCTTGTTGCCAGGGGGATCAATCATGTGATTAGAGGGTTGCAACTTTTGTCCCCACCCACCTCATGACCCGCAGGGAGGGGTGGGGGCCTAAAGGCTGAGTTGATTCCAAATGGCCAATGATTTAGTCAATCAGGCCGGCACAATAAGCCTCTATAAAAAGCTAAAAGAACTGGATTTGGACAGCTGAACCCATGGAGCTTCCTAAGGGGTGGTATACCTGGAGAGGTCACTGAAGCTCCACACCCCTTCCCACATGCTTTGCCCTGTGCATCTCTTCCAACTGGCTAGACATTTATAGCCTTTGTAATATCCTTTAACAAACCAGTAAACTAAGTGTTTTCCTGAGTTCTGTGAGCCACTCCATCAAATTAATCAAACCTGAGGGGGGTTTTGTGGGAACCTGATTTACAGCTGGTTGGTCAGAAGCACAGGCCACAACCTGGGACTTGTGGTCAGCATCTGAAGCAGTGGTGAGGGGGAGGAGGGGGCAGTCTTGTGCCTTAACTTGTGGAATCTGATGCTATCATCCAGAAGATAGCATCGGAACTGAATTAGAGGACACTCACTTGGTGTCTGTTAGAAACTTGCTTGGTGCATGGAGAAACAACTCTCACACCTTTGGGTGTCAGAAGTGTGAGTGCTGCATGAGACTGGGAAAAGCACCTTGGTTTGGTTCTTTTCCATCCTTTGTAGGATAAACAGACCTGGTTTTAAACCCCAGTTCCATCTCATCCTGTGTGACTTTGGACAGATGGCAACCTCTCTGAGCCCAATTTCTTCATCTATTAATGGGTTGTTGTGAATGATCTGACACACAGCAATATTCTCTTCCTCTGTTCTTTATCCTTCCCCAAATGGAAAGAGCTTCACCTACTCCCTAGGAATTACTCTTCTCAACCCCCAAGCCCAGAGAGTAAAACAAATGATGGTAGGCTGCTCCCCAGTCCCTATCTAAATGACCTGTGGATCCTCAGTGAGACCCCAGGCAGCCATTGTTGAGAAGCTGGCCGGGGAGGCTGGTTGGATTGTGAAGTTAATCCCCATTCCTTCCCCTCAATGTCCTAGTAGCTCAGTGGCTGTTTTAAAAAGATGCAAGTTTACTCGCTCCAGATAGGTACAGAAAGAAGAATAAATGGAGAATGTGGTGGTTGGAGAATCTTGAAGAAGAGTGAATGAGGTCAATGCTAATTTTATAGATCTAAAACAAACAAACAAATAAACAAAAAACAACTATTGCCAAGACTTCTAGACAACATGTAGCAATCTTGGCTAACAAAGAAAGCAAATGAAGCAGCATCACACAGCAGGTCCAAAAAGCATCATTTGAAATGTCACATATGACCTCTTCTGTTGTTCAATATGCATAGATTAACTTGATAAGAATGGCAAATTCATACGATGTGTCAGACCATCTTTATTGATTTACCCTAATGTTATGCATAAAGTTTATCTCTTCCCCCCATTCGTTCTCATCCTCCCTTCTCTCTCTCTCTCTCTCTTTCTCTGACACACATACACACACATAAAGAAGCAAAGTCACCAGCTGAGAGCGAAGTTTGGGGTGGAAGTTTTGAGGTTTGAGAAAAAAGAAGTCTGAAAGTCTAACCTCTTTTTGAAATGTGCCTGTGATGAAGAGTGACAATCGGCAAAGCAAATCTAATAGGATCTCTAAAGAGCCTTTTCCTGTTGTTTACAATTGTGGCTAAAGCCCTGCACTAGAAAACAACAAATGCTAAGATCCTCCCTGCATCCCCTACCCCCGACCCCCTGGGGCACACACAACCCTCCTCCACCACGTTCTAAAAAGACTGGAAGGACTTGGAAAAACATTCCTATGGGATGAACTAGAAGGTGGCAGGACTGCTATCATCAGACCTCATTTACCCACCGCTTCCAGCTGAAAACCAGGGATTTCACAAAGGAAAAATCATGAGAGTCATAGTTCTGTGGTTTTCTCAAAAGGAGAAGGAAGGGACGCTCTTCCTTCCCACCCCTGAGAACAGGCCAAATGAGAGCAAGCCCACTGGCTGGACTGAGGGTGACCAAATGAATGTGACGATGGCATCTCATTTCCCAGGTGGACATGTGCTGGGCAGCATGTGCCTAGGACTGACCCAGAAGACACACAGCACCACACAACAGGATTGATGTGATGACAAGGCCAAGACAGAAGGCTGTGGGAGGAGTGAGGAGAAGGTGGCCAAGTGCCTGAACAATCAAAGCAGGTTTCACTCAGGAAGCTCTATCTATCTGAGTTGGGTCTTGAAGGACAAGTAAGAATTTATTATCAGGTAGACAAGGATTGGGAAGAGCATCAAGAAATGAAGAAAGGTGATGTATTCATTGGAACATGATTAGTTTAGCATGGTCAATTTGTTATTCGTAAACATAACTCTGGAGGGTAATGAGGGAAGCACGAGCTAGGAGGCTAGTTCATAACACTCAATAGATACTGATTAATGCCTATTGGCTGCCCAAGCACTGTGCTAGGTTCTGTTTAGAAATAATGCAAACAAGCAAACAGACAATAACAAAATTGGTAATGTGTTAACTGCCATGATGAGGAGAGTACTGAGAGCAGCTCAGAGCAGCATCTCCCAGACTTGAGTAGCTTGGATTGCAGAAATCCAGCTGAAAAATCCTCAGTGCAAGAAGGCAATAGAGGTGATAGATTCAGAGTATATTTAGGAGGTAGACCAGCCTAGCAGATATTGTTAGGACCCCACATATGTCCCTCACTGTTCCCATGCCCTTTACAGCTTGCCCCTGCAAGTATCTCTGAGTCTTTACCTGAAGACACTAAGGTTTGGTTTGTACAAAGGGTAAGCCAAGAATTACCAGGGAGTTAGCATCCCTGGCAGTGGTCCTCAACCAGTGTCAGATGGAAGTCAGTGGATAAATACCCCAGGTTTGCTTGCCCTTCAAATGGGACAGTTCTGAGGAATGCTTTAGGCAGAGGACTCAGATGGCAGAGTGCCAACCGCCCACAGTGGAAACCTGCTCATTAACATACCCCATACTAGCTCTCTTCCCTTCCTGGTTTCATTTCCCCATTCTCATATCGGTATTTCCTGGAATCATCTCCCATATAAACTGCTTGCATTCAGATCTTTGTCTCAAAGTCCACTTTGTGGGAACCCAACTTGAGACAAACAGAAAAAACTTTTAGAACAAGTAGATGATGAAAATGAAGACTCAAATATGAGGTCATGAGATTTTTTGCTTGCGAGACGCTGACCCTATCAATTGAGCTAAAGGACTCTTCAGTGTAAGAAAAGGGATAGATTCTGGAAGAACAGGATGAGCCTGAAAAAACTGAGCTTAAGGTGCCCAAGGGACTTGTTATCTCAAAATTCCCTGAGTACAAGGTTAAGACTCTTGACTTTGGAAAAACTGAAAAGAAATAGCAGAAAAGGAAATACACAAAAGAAGAATCCATCAGAAGTGAACATCACGTCTCCCTAAAGGGAAATTACAGTGTCTTCTTTTGACCCGAGAGAATATAAAGCCCTAGCTGTCTCTTCCAGCCGGTTTCTGTATTCTAGTTTCTCATAGTTGGAGGGACTCACTCCTTTAAAACCATACATAACTCCCCACCAGCAGCCAGCAATGGCAGCTGTAGAATCACTGTCTCCACCATGGAAAAAGGCTCGGTGGGCAAGCTCCTTCCAGGAGTCTCCTGCAGCAAGAACAGCATCGTAGGCAATCATGGGGGCATCGTGCCCACTGCTGCCACCCCAGCCAGAGTAGCTCAGGGAGGTGTAGAACTGATCCCTCTCCTTCACACCGAAAGACTCAGGGAAGGTAGGGGCTGATTCTCCATCCAAAATCCCTCTAAGTTTTAGGTAATTTTCCCATTTGGTTTGGAAGTAGGACCTGTAGAAAGGAAAAAATCTAGAGTCAATTGAAAAAAATAAAGTGAAAAGTCATAACAAAAAGCACCAGATGGATGTGTGAACAGAGAAAAATCCAACATAACTTCGGCTTCTTGCAGTAATATCATAAACTATTTAAACATCAAAATTATTTCTATATAAGTACCATTCATTCAATACATTTTTCATAAGGATCTACATAAATAAGGCATTGATCCTGTTGCTAAATAAAGAGATACATATCAAGTTAAAGGGTAAGAAATACAGGTTTGTTTTCCCTGGGAGGGTCGAGAGTAATGACCTTTTAAAGGGGAACTTCAAGACATCACAACTGTGGGTGACTTCAGCAGAAAGCCTCTTTTTATTCTAAGAAAGACAATGTGAAGTGAACTCACGAGAAGGGGAAGATGTGGCCTTACCACTTATTAGTTAGCTAGTGGAAAAACGTATCTCTGGAATTTTAACCAAGGATTTCAAAATATTATTTGTATACCAAGACAACACTGAAAAAGCAAATTCCAGGAAAGTAGGAAATAGGCATGAAAATTCATGGCAGAATAGGATAGCCACAAAAATGACAGGATTCCGTGTAAGAGGGAAACACCACAGCTGCCCTATTCATTGAGGTATCCACTTGGCTACTTTGTAGAATCATTACTGGAAGGGAACTTGAAATCCTTAGCAGATGGGTAGAAAGGGGGCTGGGGGTGAAAACCATGAGGGTTGCTGTGATCTCTGAATACAAGACATATATGTGCAGGTGGATGTACACGCACAGATTCAACCGTGTTTGAGCAGGGCGTGCGCTTACAGACTCACCAGTGTTGAAGATTTTCCTCTACAAAGTAGCCTGATTGGACAATGTACTTTTTAGCTTCTGGTAGCAGCTCCATCAGTCCTTTTCCCCACTGCAAGGGTGGTCTGCTATTCACAGCATAGGCTGTAAAAAGAGCAGACGCAAGGGCCCCCAGGTAGCCTGTTGGGTGGTGGTGGGTCATCCGACCACTCTCGATGCTCACTTGGATCAGTGTGTCCAGTTGGCTATGGTGTGGGAACCTGAGACCGATGCACATGGCCCGCATGGCAGCCCCACAGCCGCCCTCATGGCTGTTGAAGGGAATCCTCCAGCCATTGGGCTTGCCCGGCTTCAGCTGCATGGCGTTGTGCACCGAGGCACCACCTGGGGAAGAGTCGGATAAGGGATGGGGGTTAGCATAACCAAAGCAAAGGCCCCAGCAGGAATAAATAACTAAACTCTGTCTCCAAGTATTTTTGATGGAAAGGGAGAGCCAAAAAATATGATGATGCATGCCCCAAAACTCCAAACCCCACCCAACAATGTGCCTTTCTTTATGTATAACCCTTGGCAAGATAACGCTAATAAAGGCAGCAGACTCATATAGGGATCCTTGGAATCTTTACCAGTCATTACTGAGACATCACAAAAAAATTAAGAAGTAAGTATATTGTTCTCTTTTTTAAGTAAATAAGCCTTTTAAGCTCAGAGCTTAAGAAACTTCCTCAAAATCACATAATCAGCTAGTTAGTGGCTGGGTAAAATCCATCAGACTCCAAAGCCCAATTCCTTATGGAGTCCAATAAGAACCTTACAATTAGGCCGGGAGCAGTGGCTCATGCCTGTAATCCCAGCACTTTGGGAGGTGGAGGCAGGCAGATCACGAGGTCAGGAGATCGGGACCATCCTGGCTAACACGGTGAAACTCCGTCTCTACTAAAAATACAAAAAACTAGCCGGGCGTGGTGACACATGCCTGTAGTCCCAGCTATTTGGAAGGCTGAGGCAGGAGAATCGTTTGAACCCGGGAGGCAGAGGTTGCAGTGAGTCGAGATTGCACCACTGCACCCTGGCCTGGGTGACAGAGCGAGACTCCGTCTCAAAACAAAAAACCAAAAAACAAAAAACAAAAACCTCACAATTGGAGTTCCTGAACATCAAAAAGAAAGAAAGCGGCCAAAAATTCTACAGTGAAGCCCTGGGCTCAGATGAGGAGCAGTGGATTCAGGGAAACAATGTGTCTTTGGTGAGTCACTGAACCTCTGGGCCTTGGCTATCCCCTCGTGACAGTGACGTAAGCAGGCTTGTCCCCCGACCTGTCCTACTGGGGACCTGTGAATACGCATGCGAACCAAGCGATGGCAGCAACATACGATGGAGTGTGGCACTGCTGTTCCTTTACTGGTCAGTGTTTTCACAAAAATGTTCATGGATGGCACAGGTGGACAAAAAAAAGTTTCCACTTGCTAAACTGATGAGCTATCAGATGCCGAGAAAGGATGAACAGAGATTGGCATCTAAAGCCAATCCTTGGGGTGACAAGGGCCCCTTGGTATGGTGATGGGAAGCTTTCATCAGGAGGTGTTATGTGCTGAATTGAGTCCCCCCAATTCAAATGCTGTAGCTCTAAGTACCTCGATTTGGAGATAGGGCCTTTAAAGAGGTGGTTAAGCTAAAATGTGGCCTTTAGGGTAGGCCCTAATCTAATCTGCCTGGTGTCCTTACATGAAGAGGAATGCAAACACACAGAAACACCAGGGATACATGCACACAGAGGAAAGACCATGTGAGGACACAGCGAGGAGGCAGCCATCTGCAAGCCAAGGAGAGAGGCCTCAGAAGAAACCAGGCCTGTCAATATCTTGACTTGGATTTCCAGTTTCCAGAGCTGTGAGAGACAAATTTCCATTGTTTCAGCCACTCAGTCTATGCCATTTTGTTATGGCAGCCCTAGCAGCCTCAAATAGGAGAGGTAGGTCAGATGGGCCAGAGAAAATCACCTGGTGGCCCAAGTGGCTCTAACAAGTTGCCGAAGTGGGCAAGAACCACTTGTGAGCGAACCTGTGGCCAGAAGTCTCTACAAAAGCCTTTGCATTTTTTTTTCTTGAGATGGGGTCTCACTCTGTCGCCCAGGCTGGAGTCCAATGGCGCGATCTTGGCTCACTGCAACCTCCGCCTCTGGGGTTCAAGTGATTCTCGTGCCTCAGCCTCCTGGGTAGCTGGGATTACAGGTGTGCACCATCACACCCAGCTAATTTTTTAATTTTTAGTAGAGATGGGATTTCACCATGTTGGTCAGGCTAGTCTCAAACTCCTGACCTCAGATGATCTGCCCGCCTTGGCCTCCCAAAGTGCTTGGATTACAGGCATGAGCCACCATGCCTAGCCGCATTTTTCTTTAAAAATAAAAAATATACATTTTTCTTTTTACTTATTCATCACAGAAAACTTAGAAATACAAGTAAGTAAAAATAAAAAACTATAAATACTCCCATCACCCAAATATAATTAGTAACATCTTTGTACATGTTCTTCAAGATCTTTCTCAACACAGAAATACATATCTATTTTTTAAAAAAAAGTTTTTTTTTGGCCAGGCATGGTGGCTCATGCCTGTAATCCCAGCACTTTGGGAGGCTGAGGCAGGTGGATCAACTGAGGTCAGGAGTTCGAAACCAGCCTGGCCAACATGGTGAAACCCCATCTCTACCAAAAATACAAAAATTAGCCAGACGTGGTGGTGCGTGCCTGTAATCCCAGCTACTTGGGAGGCTGGGGCAGGAGAATCGCTTGAACCTGGGAGGCAGAGGTTGCAGTGAGCCGAGATCGTGCCACTGCACTCCAGCCTGGGCAACAGAGTGAGACTCCATCTCAAAAAAAAAAAAATTTTTTTTTAACTGGCCACTCAAAAAAATTTTTTTTAAAGACAGGCTTTTGCTATGTTGCCCAGGCTGGTCTCAAACTCCTGGACTCAAGCAATCCTCTCACCTTGGCCTTTCACAGTGTTGGGATTACAGGTGTAAGCCACAGCACTTGGCCCCACAGATCTATTTTTTAAAGGACAGTAGGTTCATAACATACATACTATTTTATAACCTATTAGTGTATAATAATACTTTTCAATATTAGTAAATATTATTTGCAAATTTTAAATTTTTATTAATATTTAAATTGACAAATCAATTATATACATTTATTTAGTATAATGTGATGATTTGATATATGTAAACAATGTGGGATGATCAGGCTAATTAGCATATCTATTGCCTCACTTTTTTTTGTGGTGAGACATTTGAAATTTACTCTATTGGTTATTTTGAAATATACGATACATTGTTATTGAGTAGAGTCACCCTGAATAATTTTAAATGGTTGCAAATGTGTCAGCTTAATTAATTATGAGAGATTTAGGTTCTTTCTATTTATTTCTTTATTTTTTAGAGTCAGGGTATTGCTTTGTCACTCAGGCTGGAATGCAGTGGCACGATCCTAGCTCACTGTAGCCTCAACCTCCCGGGCTCAAGCAATCATCCTACCTCAGCCCCCCAAGTAGCTGGGACTACAGGTATGTGCCATGACACCTGGCTAATGTTTTAAAAATTTTTTTCTGGAGTTGTAGTCCCCAGCCTTTTTGGCACCAGCGACCGGTTTTACAGAAGATAATTTTTCCATGGACGGGGTTGGTTGGGGGAGGTTTTGGGACAAAACTGTTCCACCACAGATCATCAGACATTAGATTCTCATAAGAAGCCCACAATCTAGATCCCTCGCATGTGCAGTTCCCAACAGGGTTCAGGCTCCTATGAGAATCTAATGCGCCACTGATCTGATGGAGGCAGAGCTCAGGTGATGATGCTCCTTCGCCCATCACTCACTTCCTGCTGTGTGCTCCAGTTCCTAACAAGCCACGGATCAGTACCTGTCTCTAGAAGAGGGATTGGCTACCCCATTCTAGAGACAGGGTCTCCGTATATTGCTCAGGCTTGTCTTGAACTCCTGGGTTCAAGTGATTCTCTCACCTTGGCCTCCCAAAGAGCTGGAATTACAGGTATGAGCCACCACCATGGCCGTTATTTCTATTTTTATCACATTTACAAACACTATTGTCTCTGTTATTTAAATCTCCATCAACATTCTTAATGATTTCCTCAAGGCTGTTTTATTCTTTGCCCTCCTTGCACCTCCCACCGGCTGTGCTCACCTGGTGCCCGCCCATCCATGTCTTCCATGCAGTCTTGGTAATGCTTAGCAAGGAGGTAATACAGTTGAGTCAACTTAGGGGCTTTCCCAGCTTCCACAAGAGCTTCTGCTGTGGCCAAGTGCATCACTGTGTCGTCACTAACTCTCCACCTTCCCACGTCTAGGGCATCCAAGCCGCCCAGCTGGGCCAACTGCCGGTGTATCTTCTCCCCATCCTGGAGGAACTCCCACTTCCCATTGTAGTACCCCAGGGCATCTCCAGCTGCACTCAGCACCATAGCAGCCACATACTTCTCCATCAGTCCCTCACAATTGCTGGGCTCTGGAGAGGGTGTCTTTGTGGGGAAATTAAGACAAAGGAAATAGGATGAGGAGCAAGAAGAATCAGAAAAAACAACGACTCTAGCTATGTTTTATTGAGCACTCACTACTTGCAGACATTGTATCAGTGGCATCTCATGTAATCCTCATCACTGCTCTATGAGGAATATAAAGCCCATTTTATGTATGAACAAATGGAGGACCATGGAGATAATGCAGTTTGAGAAATGTTCAGTGACTTGTCTCAGGTCACAGAGCCAATAAGTGGCAGGGCTGGGATCCCAACATAGGTCCATCTGACTCCAAAGTCTATCATCATAACTACAACTGTATCTCTTGCCTCTTGGTGAGTAGTAAGCCCACTAAATTCTGCAAGTCAAACCCAGCTCATCATTTGCTCTTCTTAGCTGGGATTTGGCCTTAGAAGTGCAAGGCTTTACACTTCCTATTAGTGTCACAATGTGTAGTTCACAAAGCACCTGCACATTCATTGTCTCACTAATAGGGAGGGATTACAGTATGCATTTCACAGATAAGAAAATGAAGGCTCAGATAAGCTAAATTCACAAAACAAGAGGAGTGGAAGTACTGGAACCCAAATCTGATTCCAGCCAAGCCAGGATGCTTGGTATCACACCACTCAGCCTCAGTCCAGATCTTCTTACCTTGGGCAACCTCTTGGTGCCTCAGCCTCCACATTTATAAAATGGCACTGATTTTAAAAAGTAACAACCTCCTGGATTTGTTGTTAGGAATAAATAAATTAAATTTCATAAAGTTGGCTGGACGCGGTGGCTCACGCCTGTAATCTCAGCACTTTGGGAGGCCGAGGTGGGTGGCTCATCTGAGGTCAGGAGATCGAGACCAGCCTGGCCAACAGGGTGAAACCCCATCTCTACTAAAAATACAAAAATTAGCCGGGTATGGTGGTGCATGCCTGTAGTCCCAGCTACTCAGGAGGCTGAGGCAGGAGAATCGCTTGAACCCAGGAGGCAGAGGTTGCAGTGAGCCGAGATTGTGCCACTGCACTCCAGCCTGGGCGACAGACCAAGACTCTGTCTCAAAAAAAAAAAAAAAAAAAAAGTTCTTAGAGTGCTTGGCACATAGTAAGCTTGATTTTTGACATATTTGTATTATTCATATACAACCAGGGAAAATGGGTGTTCTGTTTTAGAACTAGAACATTTTCTCCCCACAACCTTTCCTTCGACAGTAATGTTTAAATATTGTTTCTCTTAGAAATGATCAGCTTCTAGAGAATTCGAATCTCTATTAATAATATACCCACCATGAATGAAATCCCTGGTAAAGCGCTGGCTTCCCTGTTGGTGCATTTCCTAAGAACCCCCCTCTTTCAGCCAATTCCTCAGGGTTCCCTTCTCCCTGTGGCTTTCAGGTCAAAGCCCTCCATCCCATCCAGGCCAATACTTTTATAAGGGTCTGGCAGACTAGCTCATTCTCCCCTCAGGTGAAACTTTTCCCTCCCCTCCACTTATCTAAACCCTATTTACCCAAGGTCTAGTTCAAGTCAGGAGGCTTCCAGAAGTGCTTCTGCAGCTGCACTGCTGTTGGCCATGGAATGCAGGCTGGAGAGCCCCTGGAGAAGGAGTAAACGACGAAGATGGATGCGTTCCACTACCCAGTTACTGGTAATGCTGAGTTTCTGAGCTCACAAAGGATATTTGTAAATGTTATTTACATAGTTTATTATTTACAGTGAAGCCTAGGCACTGAGATTCTGGGCTACTAGACCTGACAGACACCCGGGACAGCGGTTTGCCCATCTGTAAACTGGAGGGGGAAGTGGGGAGGTATAGGCTCTCGGAAGTTCCGTCCTGCGCTGCGATTTTCAGACACTAGGCCAAGACACTCTGCTTCTTGGCCTCGGAGGACTAACTTTAACCCCCCATACCCTCCCTCTCAATGTCCTCATTGTCCTTTCCGTAATTCCTTCTGGCTCCACCCTAATGTGTGCTTCTGTGAATTGCAAGCTGGGATGGGGGAAGAAGACCGGCATCTTTTTTCGGTTGTAAATTCCCTTTAACGTTCGCTTTCAGAACGCTGTAATTACTTAACTCCTCTGAACTTTCACGGGTCACATTCTCGTACCCGAACTATACATTCAGAACTAAGATCTGATCAGCTGCTTCCGGGCCATGCCCGGCTTTGGAAAGAAACGGGGCGGTTGACACGCTCCCACGATTTGCAAGACTGGGAATCCTCATGGTCGGCCACACTCGGAGAGCGCCAGGGGCGGGGGAGGGGAGCGCGGGGCCGAGGGCCGGGATCGCGATACCTGCTGTAGCCTGGACTGGAACGCGCGAGCGACGGGCGTGGCGCGGGCTCCCGGGGCCGGGGAAGAGGCCTTGGCTGCTGCGGGTGGACGAGGGCGCGGGTTGGGGCGGAGCCGGGTCACCGGGTTCCGGGACTGTCCCCAGATAAGCAGGGTGGCGGCGAGGGCCCCCGCACCTGCGCTTGGCCGCGCTGAGTGAGCTAATCTTGGAGCCTCCAAGGCGGCTTCCTGGCACCGCCGCGCCCTTCTGCACCCAAGCGAGAGTGGACGGGACCTCCGTCGCCCGCCCCAAATGCTCTGAAGAGCCCGGAGCCTGGTGCCCGGAATGTGGCGGCACCGGAAAGCCGGCTCTCGCCTGGCTGTGGTCAGTGACTCCCGTGTGGCCCCGGCTGACGCCTTCGCCCGTGCTCACGTCCGACTTTGTAGGACTGTAGTGGACCGGGTGTGCCCAGATGCTTGAAGAGCGTACTGAGTGTGCCGCCCTTGCCAGGGTTCTGGGCCCTCACGCATAAAGTGGGATAATAATATCTGCCTCTTAGAATGGTTGTTAAGGATTCAGTTAGTTAATTTTAACTAGTCATTTATTTGGCAGCAGCGTAGAATTCTTGTATCCTGATCGTAAATAAAAGCAAAGAAAAACGAAGAGTATTTTTGTCTAAATACATTAATCATGTCACTTTTAAAGCAAATCAGAATCACCATATGCAAATATTCTATATATTTCTCCAAAGTTTTAAATTTGCTATGCCTATTTTCTTGCTGTAATGACTAGCCTTGGTCTGAGAGCTTTTTAAAAAATTGATATATAATTTATATATAATGAAATGTCCTTACACCATAATCGAGATATGAAATATTTCCATCACTTTAAAACATTCTCTTGTGGCCTTCCCAGTGAATAACCATCTCCATCTCCAACTCTAGCCTAAGTGACTTTTGAGTGTTTACAAAAATCAAGTTCACCAATAAGGGAGGCAGAGATCACCTCCAACCCCCTACACCCTCTAGCTCTTAGTGAGCTAATCAGCTGCATCTAGAAGCCAAATTGACACTAGGCAGATTAACAAGAGAAAAGTATACAAATTTTATTAATTTTACATGTACATGGGGATGTTAAGAGACTGAATCCTGAAGAAAGTGTCCAAAGCAAGATGCTTTTATACTTTTTAGAAAAAGAGTGATAAATTTAAGAAGAAGTGACAGGACAAAGAAAATCCGGCTAGGGTGGTAAAAAATTTCTAGGGGAGCCCCTAGGAGATATATGGGGGGTGGGGTGTAAAACAGGTGGAAGATAATGGTTACTTTGCAAGAATGTTTACTCCAGTCCAAATGCCACCTCCAGTTCCAAATCTCTGGTGATGAGAGCTATTTTCTCGCTCTGGCGTGGAGAACATACCTCTCCTAGAGGAATCTTTATTGCTGGCTGCATGCAGGAAGAGACAGCTCAGCTCCTGTCAGGGAACCAGGCTCATTTGTCTTTCACACAGTATGCCAATCACTGAGGCGCACAAGTTTTGCAGTAGAGAAAGGGTGTATTCACAAGGCAGCCAAGACAGGAGACTGGAGAACAGGCCTCAAATGTGCCTTTCCAAAGATGGAATTTTAGGAGTGCTTATGGGATAGGGGAGGAAGGTGGTCCAAGGTTCAGAGAAAGATGAGGTAAGGAAAAGTGAGGCAATCGGTAATCTGAGCAAGCATAGTCAATCTTCATGGCTGTTCATAGAACACATGTTCACAAAATCGTGACGTTAGCATGATCTGAGAGTGGAGTTTTGGGCCTTCTGATGTCAAAAGGTCACCCATTGGACACTCACGCAGGCCAAGATGAAGGGCTGGTGGCTTGAACTGGACAAGAACTGACTCTAAGTTCCTGAAAAATAACTTAAGCAATATTTTCCATGGTGTCCTATCAGAGAAGTTATCTATAAGGAGGCAAGTGGAATTTAGTTATGTATCGTCTAGCTACATGACTTTTAGCTATGCAGGTTTTAAAATCGACTAGAAGCAAGTGACCAAAAGCAAGCAAGGCAAATTAAGTGTCAGGCCTAATCAGGTCAGCCCTCAGTTTTACCCTTTCTGAAACTATAATTTCTCTAATGTTTTCAACTCAAAGTAATCAATATATTATATGGCATATTTGGGGATGGCACATCCTTCATTCTTTCAACTGTCAAAGATTTTCAGCCTCTGAGGATGCAGTCAAAGCAAGTTCTGTAGTAAGAGACATTTTGAATAATAAGCATCCCGATAAAACTCAACACAGTTTCAGCTTAAGATGTCTGCTGAGGATATTGTTCATATTATGTAGTGATCTTTCTGTGAGAATCCATGGGAAAGGGTGATTTTTTGTTTTCGTTTTTGACTTAAATGTAAAGAATAACTGGGGCTGGGCACAGTGGTTCATACCTGTAATCCCAGTACTTTGGGAGGCCAAGGGGGACAGATTGCTTGAGACCAGGAGTTCGAGACCAGCCTGGGCAACATGGTGAAACCTGTTCTCTACAAAAAATACAAAAATTATCCAGGCATGCGCCTGTGGTCTGAGCTACTCAGGAGGCTGAGGTGGGAGGACTGCTTGAGCCCAGGAAGCAGAGGTTGCAGTGAGCTGAGATTGTGCCACTGCACTCCAGCCTGGACGACAGAGCAAGACCCTGTCTCAAAACACAAACAAACAAACAAAAACAAACAGAAAAACTGGGGTTGTTAGCAATTAGTTTGCTTTGAACTTTATGGTGCCTATGAACTTTGTGACCATTAGCATAGACTCCCGACACATCCACGCTATCTGGTTTCAAACCCTTGTAACAACACTTGGGGGCCAGGCACGGTGGCTCACGCCTGTAATCCCAGCACTTTGGGAGGCCAAGGCAGGTGGATCATGAGGTCAGGAGTTCGAGACCAGCCTGACCAACATGGTGAAACCCTGTCTCTACTAAAAATAAAAAATTAGCCGGGCATGGTGGTGGGTGCCTGTAATCCCAGCTACTCGGGAGGCCAAGGCAGGAGAATTGCTTGAACCCAGGAGGCGGAGGTTGCAGTGAGCTGAGATCGTGCCACTGCACTCCAACCTGGGCGACAGAGTGAGACTCCATCTCAAAACAAAACAAACAAACAAAAAACACTAGCTTGAGTAAGTGATTTTAGACAAGTCACTTCATCTTGCTAAGCTTCACTTTCTGTTATTAAGTAGGAAAAATAATAGTACATATTTCATAAAGTTGGTTTGAAGATTGCATGAAATAATTAATTGAAAAATTTTAGCACAGTGCTTATCAATGTAGTAGTCATGCAAGAAAAAATTACTACCAGGTCAGATATCTCTCTGTATTCCCAGTTCTCATCTCCATCACACACATGAGCCATTCTACCTTCTTTTCACATTAGTTAACACCTACTGACATCCTTTCTCTTCTGTCAAAATTAGAAAATGTTTTTGGGCATCAAGGACATTGTCCTATAAACCAAAAGGATAATTTATCAGTTAGCATGTTTCCAGCTCCAAATAACGGCAAATAACCATCACTCTTCCCCACCCCCAAAACACCACATACTCACTGGGCTTAAATAATAATGGCACTTATTATCTTATGTAACAAAATGTCTAAAGGTAAGAAGTCCCAGGGTTAATTTAGCAACTGTATACTATCATCAAAGAAAGACCCTGTTCTTCTTATCTTTCTGACCTACTATCTTCAGTTATTTTTATCCCCAGACTGACGTTTTTAATTGGCACAAGATCATATTTTCCCCATTTTAATTTATTTTATCAAATGTATATAGAGGTCTTATCCTTCGGTTTGTTTTTGTTTAAACCATTTTGCTATTTTGTGTCTGCTAGCGAGCCCAAGAGGCGTTGCCTATTAACCATTTACTGTTAATTTCTTCGAAAATTTTTGTTTAGCTCTGATTATTTAACTAGGCAGTCAAGATAATGTGTATGCATAATAACACATTGCAGTTACAGTTATAGACAGTGTCCAGTGGAAAAAGAGAGTGTTTCTTCTTTCAAGATGAAGAAACTATTCTCAAAGATCCTCCAGAAGTCTAAACCAATTCCTGGCAGGCAGGCTGGATTATGATGTTTCCCTTAGATCAAGGATAGACACATCTTCCCTGAGAGGTAGAGGTAGGTTCTTTTACAAAAATCAGGGTTTGTTTGCAAAGGAAACAGTGAATGTTGTTCTGCCAAGAAGAACAAATAGTTACTTGGCATCTTACTAGGTGCTAGGCATTAGTATAGGTCCTGGAAAGACAAATATATTGCATAGTTGGTTCCTTGCTCTTAGTTTTATTGAGGAAGACACATCATAGGCATCTTCATTACTCACCAATACAGAATCAATTGCTATGCTGAGGCTGTTGCTGAGAAATAAACTTGTAGCCCTCGGACCTGATCTTAAGATATTTCAGACACTTCATCTATAAGGTCGGAACAATGACACTGTTCTTAACAAACTGGTCACTTACAAGAATGATCTTTATACATTCTTCAGACATTGAATACCTGCTGTGTAAGTATATGCTAGGCCCTGACAGCCCCTGCTCTTCTAGAGCACCCAAGTGATCTCATTTTTCGGCTGCTAACATATTTTTAAAATTACCAAAAAAGTGTTTATATGTTTTCTTAAATCACGTTATTGAGATATGACTGAGATACAAAAAGCTGTACATATTTCGGGTATACAACTTGATGAGTTTGAAGATAAGTAACCAAAAGTAGCTGCTCACATATCCTGTGTTGTCAATTCAATTCAAGAAGATTTAGAGAGCATCTGTGATGGCTAATTTTGTCAGCCTAGCTAGGCCACAGTGCCCAGATATTTGGTCAAACATTGTTCTAGATGTTTCTGTGCAGGTATTTTTTAAGATGAGATTCACATCTAAATCAGTAGCCTTTGAGTAAAGCAGATTACTCTCCCTAATGTGGATGAGCCTCATTCCAATCAGTTGAAAGCCTTAATAGAAAAAAGACTCGCCTCCCCCAAGGAAGAGAGAATTCTGCCAGACTGCCTTTAGACTCGAGCTGCAACTCTTTCCTGGGTCTTTAGCCTGCTGGCCTACCCTGTCGAACCTGCCAGCCTCCACAATTGTATAAGCCAATCCCTTAAAGTAAACTCTCTTTCTCTGCATGTGTGTGTGTGTCCATCCTATTGGTTCTGTTTCTCAGAAGAAACTTGACTAATACAGTATCTAAAATGTGCCAGCCAGTCTGGCGCGGTGGTTCACGCCTGTAATCCCAGCACTTTGGGAGGCCAAGGCGGGCGGATCACTTGAGGTCAGGAGTTCAAGACCAGCCTGGCCAACAGGGTGAAATCCCTTCTTTACTAAAAATACAAAAATTAGCTGGGCATGGTGGCGGGTGACTGTAATCCCAGCCACTTGGGAGGCTGAGGCAGGAGAATTGCTTGACCCTGGGAGGCGGAGGTTGCAGTGAGCCAAGATTGCACCATTGCACTCCTCCAGCTTGGGCAACAAGAGCAAAACTCTGACTGAAAAATAATAAAAATAAATAAATAAATAAACAAAATGTGCCAGCCAAGCACATGCTTGGCGCTTCTTGCACCTACAGAGGTAGGGCAAAAATCACACAAGGAGAGAAGACACTGTACAGTATAATGGCACGAGGCCGTGAGGAGTATGGAAGCAGAGAATGTTCAAGGTACATGGTTGGCAACTATGAGAGAGTTAATGGTATCAGCTCAGTCAGGGTGTTCAGAGACGGCATCCAGAAGATCAGCTCATCAAGGAAAACAGGCTCAGACTTCACCGCTGATTTCAACCAACCACGTGACTGCTGTCCCTTCCTTTTGCAGTTTTGACACAACTGACCATCATTCTGCCCTGATAAGAGACCACCAATCACAGATTGGTTCTGGCCAGCCTACAGAGGACCTGCAGTGAGGGTTTTTGTGTCCTCTGCTTCACCTTTTAACATCAGAGGGCCGAGAACTCCACCCTCAGATCATGCTAATGCTGCCATTTTTTGTAAAAGGGACTCTTGAAGGGGCATGACGCTCAGTTGCACATGCACATGTTTCTCCTTTCATAAATATTCATGACTCCTCCTATAGTTTATTAAATACATGTATTTTTGTAATCCTACCTACTTGGGAGGCTGAGGCACGAGAATCGCTTGAACTTGGGAGGTGGAGGTTGAAGTGAGCTGAGATTGTGCCACTGCACTCCAGCCTGGGTGACAGAGTGAGACCTTGTCTCAATAAATAAATAAATAAATATGTGTACTTGGCTGCTCTGCTCAGCATACATTCCTGTTCCCTTTGCCTTTCCCTGGAGGTGCCTCTTTTTGGCTTCTGGCTGGAAGGCTACACTTCCCAGACTGAGAATGGCCATCCTGCCGTCTGCAACCCTTTATAAAAATAAAGCTCTCTTTTCCAGATTTATAAACCTTGTGAATTTTCAGTTGACAATAAGTTTCTTTTTTTTTTTTTTTTTGAGACGGAGTCTGGCTCTGTCACTCAGGCCTGAGGGCAGTGGTGCAATCCCAGCTCACTGCAACCTCTATTTCCCAGGTTCAAGCAATTATCCTGCCTCAGCCTCCCAAGTAGCTGGGATTACAGGCGATCGCCACCACGCCCAGCTAATTTTTGTATTTTTAGTAGAGAGGCAGTTTCACCATGTTGGCCAGGCTGGTCTTGAACTCCTGACCTCAAGTGATCCACCTGTCTCAGCCTCCCAAAGTGCTGGGATTATAGGCATTAGGCACCGTGCCCAGCTGACAATAACTTTCTAGGGAGGAAGCTGAGGCCAGTGAAGACAGTTACTCAGAGTTTATATAACTCAGTTTCACACATGGAGAGAAGTGGGCCTGGAGCCCATGCCCTCTGAACTCCCAGCCAGGACTTCTTCCATTCCTTCTACTGTCACTTAGAAAAAAATTGAAATGACATGATAGACTAAACACCTATGAAAGATTTGAACCTCCTGAGTCTAATTTTTAAAATATTTGCTGGGCGCAGCTCACGCCTATAAACCCAGTACGTTGGGAGGCAGAGGTGGGAGGATCACTTGAGCCCAGGAGTTCAAGACCAGCCTGTGCAATAAAGTGAGACCCTGTCTCTACAAAATAAATAAATAAATAAAATTATCCAGGTGTGGTGGTGCACACCTGTAGTCCTAGCTACTGAGGAAGCTGGGGCAGGAGGATTGCTTGAGCCTGAGAGTTCAAGGTTACAATAAGCTAGGGTCACACAACTGCACAGTAGCCTGGGTGATAGAGTGAGAACCTGTCTCTAAATAAATAAATAAATATTCTATATCCCACTCCCAAAGAGCCTTAAGCCTCTTGTTGATGACAGTCTAAAAGTGGTATTTAAAGAAAAATCTAAGATATGCACCGTAATTCTAACAAGCAGGCAGGAATCAAATATAGCAAGAGGTAGAGATGGGAGACTATATGGAGAGGAGCAAAAGAGATAAGTGGATACAAACCGGTGTTTTAAAACCTAGGAGTGGCCAGGTGCGGTGGCTCACACCTGTAATCCCAGCACTTTGGAAGGCCGAGGCAGGCGGATCATGAGGTCAGGAGTTCAAGACCAGCCTGGCCAACATGGTGAAACCTCCTCTCTACTAAGAATACAAAATTAGCCGGGCATGGTGGTGCATGCCTGTAATCCCAGCTACTCGGGAGGCTGAGGCAGGAGAATCGCTTGAACCTGGGAGGCAGAGGTTGCAGTGAGCCAAGATCGTGCCACTACACTGTAGCCTGGACGACAGACCGAGACTCCATCTTAAAACAAAAAACAAAAAACAAAAAAAAAACCCTAGGAGCAGCTTCCACCCCTCTCTGCAGAGCAGAAAGAGACCCGAGGGAAGTCCATGTGGATGTGAATCCTGCTCCTCCCAACAATGCAGTAGCCCGCTCCTGTAGGTCAGGGCTTTCCAGCCTTTGCTCTGGAGATCCACCAGTAATTTTCAAATCTTCTTTGGTACATTTCCTGGCAGATGACCTCTGTTGCTCCCTTTCTCCTGGTTTCGCTGGGATTTCCCACAGGAAGAGAAGCTCAGCTGGCCAGCTGAGTCCTAAGTTCCGCTTCCAGGGTTTACAATGAAACAGCAATGCTCTTGCACACGGTCCCATCCTAAGGGGACTTCACTGCCTGCTAGAATCTCAGTAGGTGAAAATACAGCTTCTAGGAAACAAAAAGTGACTGCTCCCTAAACCAAAAGTTTGGGGGGCCTTACTGAAATTATCTTTCTTTCATGTTATCATTCTTTCTGCCCCACAATTCCTCCACTGGGGTCAACCTGGGCAAATGTACATGAATCTACTCTTATTTCTATTTCTAGAAGAGTCCTTGAGACAAAAGGTAAAGAAAAATCTAGTCAGGGGACATTTTGTTCC
Source organism: Homo sapiens (assembly GCF_000001405.40). Classification (NCBI taxonomy): domain Eukaryota; kingdom Metazoa; phylum Chordata; class Mammalia; order Primates; family Hominidae; genus Homo; species Homo sapiens. The sequence goes on along the minus strand of NC_000003.12, from coordinate 119,571,492 downwards.
TCTTGTTTTTCCAGCAAGCTCCTTCCCCCTCTGATGAGGCAACAGTCCCTCATCCCTTGGTCTCTGGCATTCATTCCTAAAATTACTCTCTGGAGAGAACTCCTGAAGTTTAGGGTGGGGCATCTAAACAAAGGACACCAAAAGGTTTCAAATGGCAGCCAGTTTAGGCACATTTCTTAGTTGTGTCTGGGGCCATTGGAGGAGTCACGCAACCCCAGTGGCCACTGGAGAAATCAGTTCAAGGCTCAGGAGAGATTCAATCTGAGAGTGCTGTTAAGGATCTTCACTCCATAAAATCCTGTTCTTCATCATGTGGTACTTGTATAAATCAGGCCCTCAAGTGGTCAAATTCCTTCTCGTATTCAAATAATAGGTAAATATCTACATAAGGTTAACTTTTTTTGTTTGTTTGTTTGTTTGTTTTTTTTTGAGTCAGAGTCTCACTCTGTTGCCCAGGCTGGAGTGCAATTGTTCAATCTCAGCTCACTGCAACTTCCATCTCCCAGGTTCAAGCGATTCTCATGCTTCAGCCTCCGGAGTAGCTGGGATTACAGGCACCCACCACCATGCCCAGCTAATTTTTAAATTTTTAGTAGAGATGGGGTTTTGCCATGTTGGCCAGGCTGGTCTCAAACTCCTGACCTCAAGTGATCCACCCTCCTTGGCCTCCCAAAGTGCTGGGATTACAGGCGTGAGCCACTGCACCCGGCCACACGTTAAGTTTTAAATGTTGACCCTTCTAGAAAGAGTTATTGAAGGGGAACTTCCCCTTTCCATCCAAGCCTTGCAATTTCTCTTTAATTTTAGGAACAGAATCAAATTCCTTTTCCGAAATCTGGAAACCATGACCTTTGACGTTGTGGACCAACGTAATATAAAAAAAATGGCAACTGTTTGATTCACTTTTCAGAATAATACAAAAAAAGGAAGAAGTGGGGGACAGAGCTGGGGAGGAGAGAGGGAGGAGGAACAGGCTGTTTCCATGACCCTTCAGCTCTAATTCATTCACGCCATGGTGACCCACTTTGAAAGCATAGATCATGTCTGGCTTCTCCTACTGCCTAGTCCTTGGTTCCTGTTTCTCAGGGGACAGGGAAAATGAAATAGAAACTGAAAAGGGTGACTTTTGTAACTTCGTTAGTGGTTCTGGTGGACAGTGTGGCAGGGCAGGGGAGTGGCAGCCAGTGGCAGTGACATTTAACGCCTCAGGTCCTAGAATCGTGGACTGCCTGGGATTCCACCATAGTCCCTTACTCTCAGGCAGAGAAATCTCTGTTTTCCCCAAACAGGATTTGTCTCTTCTCTTCTTAAAGCATCAGGCAATAAAAATTTGCAACCTTCTTTGAAAGTCACCTTTTCCAGCTTCAACACAAAAAAAATGCTTCCTTAAACACAATCAAAATTTATCCTGCTTACATGTAGATTATTTTCTCCAGTTTGGTCGCCTACAGATGTAGAAGGCATTTATGGCCATGACTAGCTCAAAACAAAGAAACAGAAACACCTCAAAGCCACAGAGGATCATTACCAAAGGCCTCAAAATCATTTGGCCCATCTAAAACATCTTGGCTCCCCATTCCTCTGTTCTCTGAGCTGCCTGGTTTAGCATCCTTTTTGTTATTGTTTGTTACTTTCTGCCGGATCCTCTCCACATTTAGTTTGAAATTGGACGTAATATTCCAATAAGGATCTGGGTTCATGTAGAAAGAATCCAAAAAGATAATTTCTGGCCATGGTATGTCATATTGCCACTCATGTCTCGCAATATTTTGTTGGCATTTTCGCCACACTGCAGACTTAAATTCAGCTAGCTGCCCTGCTCTTTTTCTGCTACTGTTTCTTTTTCTTAGGATCGGTCCATGTTGTCCTTATCTCTCCTAGTCAAGCCATTTTGCTTCCCCAATGTTTGAACCCTTCCAGGCACATAGTAGGCACTCAATAAATTTGGGGGGGTGGGGAGGGATTGGAATGATGCCAAATGAGTGGCACAGACATAGGATCTCAGAGAAGGGAAAGAGCAGATGGAGATTTAGAAGAGTCAGGAAAGCTTCTTGGGGAAATGGCATTTGGCCTGGTCCTTTGAGGAAGAAAGATGTTTAGATGGGCAGAGAGAATGGGGAAAGGCAGCCAAGGAAGTTGGGGGACAGTGTGTCAAGAGTCACAGGCAAGGATTATGAGGCAAGGTGGCAGAATAGGAACAGCTCCAGTCTACAGCTCCCAGCGTGAGCGACACAGAAGACAGGTGATTTCTGCATTTCCAACTGAGGTACTGGGTTCATCTCACTGGGGTTTGTCGGACAGTGGGGGCAGGACAATGGGTGTAGCCCACTGAGCGAGAGCCGAAGCAGGGTGAGGCATCGCCTCACCCGAGAAGGGCAAGGGGTCAGGGAATTCCCTTTCCTAGCCAAGGGAAGTGGTGACGGACGGCACCTGGAAAATCGGGTCACTCCCAGCCTAATACTGCACTTTTCCAATGGTCTTAGCAAATGCCACACCAGGAGATTATATGCCGAGCTTGGCTCGGAGGGTCCCACGCCCACGGAGCCTTACTCATTGCTAACACAGCAGTCTGAGATCGAACTGCAAGGCAGCAGCGAGGCTGGGGTAGGGGTACCCGCCATTGCTGAGGCTTGAGTAGGTAAACAAAGCGGCCGGGAAGCTCGAACTGGGTGGAGCCCACCACAGCTCAAGGAGGCCTGCCTGCCTCTGTAGACTCCACCTCTGGGGGTAGGGCATAGCTGAACAAAAGGCAGCAGAAACCTCTGCAGACTTAAATGTCCCTGTCTGGCAGCCTTGAAGAGAGTAGTGGTTCTCCCAGCGTGGAGTTTGAGATCTGAGAATGGACAGACTGCCTCCTCAAGTGGGTCCCTGACCCCCGAGTAGCCTAACTGGGAGGCACCCTCCAGTAGGGACAGACTGACACCTCACACAGCTGGGTACCCCTCTGAGACAAAACTTCCAGAGGAACGATCAGGCAGCATCATTTGCTGTTCAGCAATATTCGCTGTTCTGCACCCTCCGCTGCTGATACCCAGGCAAACAGGGTCTAGAGTGGACCTCCAGCAAACTCCAACAGACCTGCAGCTGAGGGTCCTGACTGTTAGAAGGAAAACTAACAAACAGAAAGGACATCCACACCAAAACCCCACCATCATCAAAGGTCACCATCATCAAAGACCAAAGGTAGATAAAACCACAAAGATGGGGAAAAAACAGAGCAGAAAAGCTGAAAATTCTAGAAATCAGAGCGCCTCTCCCCCTCCAAAGGTATGCAGCTCCTTACCAGCAACAGAACAAAGCTGGATGGAGAATGACTTTGATCAGTTGAGAGAAAAAGTCTTCAGATGATCAAACTTCTCCGAGCTAAAGGAAGAAGTTTGAACCCATCTCAAAGAAGCTAAAAACCTTGAAAAAAGATTAGACAAATGGCTAACTAGAATAACCAGTGTAGAGAAGTCCTTAAATGACCTGTTGGAGCTGAAAACCGTGGTACGAGAACTACATGACGAATGCACAAGCTTCAGTAGCCGATTAGATCAACTGGAAGAAAGAGTGTCAGTGATGGAAGATGAAATGAATGAAATGAAGCAAGAAGAGAAGTTTAGAGAAAAAAGAGTAAAAAGAAATGAACAAAGCCTCCAAGAAATATGGGACTATGTGAAAAGACCAAATCTACGTCTGATTGGTGTACCTGAAAGTGATGGGGAGAATGGAACCAAGTTGGAAAACACTCTACAGGATATTATCCAGGAGAACTTCCCCAACCTAGCAAGACAGGCCAACATTCAAATTCAAGAAATACAGAGAACACTATGAAGTTACTCCTCGAGATGAGCAACTCCAAGACACATAATTGTCAGATTCACCAAAGTTGAAATGAAGGAAAAACTGTTAAGGGCAGCCAGAGAGAAAGGTCGGGTTTTCCACAAAGGGAAGCCCACCAGACTAATAGCGGATCTCTCAGCAGAAACTCTATAAGCCAGAAGAGAGTGGGGGGCCAACATTCAACATTCTTAAAGAAAAGAATTTTCAACCCAGAATTTCATATCCAGCCAAACTAAGCTTCATAAGTGAAGGACAAATAAAATCCGTTACAGACAAGCAAATGCTGAGAGATTTTGTCACCACCAGGCCTGCCCTAAAAGAGCTCCTGAAGGAAGCACTAAACATGGAAAGGAAAAACCAGTACCAGCCACTGCAAAAACATGCCAAATTGTAAAGACCATTGATGGTAGGAAGAAACTGCATCAACTGACGAGCAAAATAACCAGCTAACATCGTAATGACAGGATCAAATTCACACACAAAAATATTAACCTTAAATGTAAATGGGCTAAATGCTCCAATTAAAAGACACAGACGGGCAAATTGGATAGAGTCAAGACCCATCAGTGTGCTGTATTCAGGAGACCCATCTCACATGCAGAGACACACATAAGCTCAAAATAAAGGGATGGAGGAAGATCTACCAAGCAAATGGAAAACAAAAAAAGGCAGGGGTTGCAATCCTAGTCTCTGATAAAAAAGACTTTAAACCAACAAAGATCAAAAGAGACAAAGAAGGTCATTACATAATGGTAAAGGGCTCAATTCAACAAGAAGAGCTAACTATCCTAAATATATATGCACCCAATACAGGAGCACCCAGATTCATAAAGCAAGTCCTTAGAGACCTACAAAGAGACTTAGACTCCCCCACAATAATAATGGGAGACTGTAACACCCCACTGTCAACATTAGACAGATCAACGAGACAGAAAGTTAACAAGGATATCCAGGAATTGAACTCAGCTCTGCACCAAGCAGACCTAATAGACATCTACAGAACTCTCCACCCCAAATCAACAGAATATACATTCTTCTTAGCACCACATAGCACTTATTCCAAAATTAACCACATAGTTGGAAGTAAAGCACTCCTCAGCAAATGTAAAAGAACAGAAATTATAACGAACTGTCTCTCAGACCACAGTGCAATCAAACTAGAACTCAGGATTAAGAAACTCACTCAAAACCACTCAACTACATGGAAACTGAAACACCTGCTCCTGAGTGACTACTGGGTACATAACAAAATGAAGGCAGAAATAAAGATATTCTTTGAAACCAATGAGAACAAAGACACAACATACCAGAATCTCTGGGAAACATTTAAAGCAGTGTGTAGAGGGAAATTTATAGCACTAAATGCCCACAAGAGAAAGTAGGAAAGATCTAAAATTGACACCCTAACATCACCATTAAAAGAACTAGAGAAGCAAGAGCAAACACATTCAAAAGCTAGCAGAAGGCAAGAAATAACTAAGATCAGAGAAGAACTGAAGGAGATAGAGACACAAAAACCCTCAAAAAATCAATGAATCCAGGAGCTGGTTTTTTGAAAAGATCAACAAAATTGATAGACCACTAGCAAGACTAATAAAGAAGAAAAGAGAGAAGAATCATATAGACACAATATCAAATGATAAAGGGGATATCACCACCGATCCCACAGAAATACAAACTACCATCAGAGAATACTATAAACACCTCTATGCAAGTAAACTAGAAAATCTAGAAGAAATGGATAAATTCCTGGACACATACACCCTCCCAAGACTAAACCAGGAAGAAGTTAAATCCCTAAATCCTTAAATAACAGGCTCTGAAATTTAGGCAATAATTAATAGCCTACCAACCAAAAAAAAATCCAGGACCAGATGGATTCACAGCCGAATTCTACCAGAGGTACAAGAAGGAGCTGGTACCATTCCTTCTGAAACTATTCCAATCAGTAGAAAAAGAGGGAATCCTCCCTAACTCATTTTTTGAGGCCAGCATCATCCTGATACCAAAGCCTGGCAGAGACACAACAAAAAAAGAGAATTTTAGACCAATATCCTTGATGAACATTGATGCAAAAATCCTCAATAAAATACTGGCAAACTGAATCCAGCAGCACATCAAAAAGCTTATCCACCATGATCAAGTGGGCTTCATCCCTGGGATGCAAGGCTGGTTCAACATACGCAAATCAATAAACGTAATCCAGCATATAAACAGAACCAAAGACAAAAACCACAGGTTTGTCTCAATAGATGCAGAAAAGGCCTTTGACAAAATTCAACAACCCTTCATGCTAAAAACTCTCAATAAATTAGGTATTGATGGGACGTATCTCAAAATAATAAGAGCTATTTATGACAAACCCACAGCCAATATCATACTGATGGGCAAAAACTGGAAGCATTCCCTTTGAAAACTGACACAAGACAGGGATGCCCTCTCTCACCACTCCTATTCAACATAGTGTTGGAAGTTCTGGCCAGGGCAATCAGGCAGGGGAAAGAAATAAAGGGTATTCAATTAGGAAAAGAGGAAGTCAAAGTGTCCCTGTTTGCAGATGACGTGATTGTATATTTAGAAAACCCCATTGTCTCAGCCCAAAATCTCCTTAAGCTGATAAGCAACTTCAGCAAAGTCTCAGGATACAAAATCAATGTGCAAAAATCACAAGCATTCTTATACACCAATAACAGACAAACAGAGAGCCAAATCATGAGTGAATTCCCATTCACAATTGCTTCAAAGAGAATAAAATACCTATGAATCCAACTTACAAGGGATGTGAAGGACCTCTTCAAGGAGAACTACAAACCACTGCTCAATGAAATAAAAGAGGACACAAACAAATGGAAGAACATTCTATGCTCATGGATAGGAATAATCAATATCGTGAAAATGGCCATACTGCCCAAGGTAATTTATAGATTCAATGCCATCCCCATCAAGCTACCAATGACTTTCTTCACAGAATTGGAAAAAACTACTTTAAAGTTCATATGGAACAAAGAAGGGCCTGCATTGCCAAGACAATCCTAAGCCAAAAGAAAAAAGCGGGAGACATCACGCTACCTGACTTCAAACTATACTACAAGGCTACAATAACCAAAACAGCATGGTACTGGTACCAAAACAGAGATTAGACCAATGGAACAGAACAGAACCCTCAGAAATAATACCATACATCTACAATATCTGATCTTTGACAAACCTGACAAAAACAAGAAATAGGGAAAGGATTCCCTGTTTAATAAATGGTGCTGGGAAAACTGGCCAGCCACATGTAGAAAGCTGAAACTGGATCCCTTCGTTACACCTTATACAAAAATTAATTCAAGATGGATTAAAGACTTAAGTGTTAGACCTAAAACCATAAAAACCCTAGAAGAAAACCTAGGCAATACCATTCAGGACATAGGCATGGGCAAGGACTTCATGTCTAAAACACCAAAAGCAATGGCAGCAAAAGCCAAAATTGACAAATGGGATCTAATTAAACTAAAGAGTTTCTGCACAGCAAAACAAACTACCATCAGAGTGAACAGGCAACCTACAGAATGGGAGAAAATTTTTGCAATCTACTCATCTGACAAAGGGCTAATATCCAGAATCTACAATGAACTCAAACACATTTACAAGAAAAAACAACCCCATCAAAAAGTGGGCAAAGGATATGAACAGACACTTCTCAAAAAAGACTTTTATGCAGCCAACAGACACATGAAAAAATGCTCATCATCACTGGCCATCAGAGAAATGCAAATCAAAACCACAATAAGACACCATCTCACACCAGTTAGAATGGCGATCATTAAAAAGTCAGGAAACAACAGGTGCTGAAGACGATGTGGAGAAATAGGAACACTTTTACACGTTGGCAGGACTGTAAACTAGTTCAACCATTGTGGAAGACAGTGTGGCGATTCCTCAAGGATCTAGAACTAGAAATACCATTTGACCCAGCCATCCCATTACTGGGTATATACCCAAAGGGTTATAAATCATGCTGCTCTAAAGACACATGCACACGTATGTTTATTGTGGCACTATTCACAATAGCAAAGACTTGGAACCAACCCAAATGTCCATCAATGATAGACTGGATTAAGAAAATGTGGTACATATACACCATGGAATACTATGCAGCCAGAAAAAAGGATGAGTTCATGTCCTTTGTAGGGACATGGATGAAGCTGGAAACCATCATTCTCAGCAAACTATCACAAGGACAAAAAACCAAACACCACATGTTCTCACTCATAGGTGGGAATTGAACAATGAGAACACTTGGACACAGGAAGGGGAGCATCACACACGGGGGCCTGTCATGGGCTGGGGGGAGGGGGGAGGGATAGCATTAGGAGATATACCTAATGTAAATGACGAGTTAATGGGTGCAACACACTAACATGGAGCGTGTATACATATGTAACAAACCTGCACATTGTGCACATGTACCCTAGAACTTAAAGTAGAATAATAAACAAAAATTGATAATAAAAAAATTAATTAAAAAAAAAGAGTCACAGGCAGGAAGAGTAAGATGCCAAGTATAGGAGGAAGAGTGTGTGGTGGGTTAGTAAGAAGACGGCCCTCACTCTGAACGAGGGCTAGCTCTGAAAGTCACTTGTTTTCATTTTAAGCATTTTGGTGATTTCCATCTCAAAGAACCAGAAAGAATGTGACAGCATTTTAAGAGGAAGAGGTGAACTCTCCCACTTTGATGAGTTTGCTGCCAACTTTAGCAGGCTGTGGCACTCCTGGGGAGCACCATAGCCTTAAAGCCTAGATCAGCTGCCCTATGATGGGTGCAGGCCTTATAGACATGCCCAGATGAAGTCATATCTAAAAATGAACTTCTAAACCTCACGGGAGGGTCATCTTAGAACATGAAAAACTCCCCTGAAAATTTTTGTCAGTGCAACAGGTTTTGTTTACTTGGCAACAGTGAGCCCACTGTGGGAAAGGGGTTTTCCCAGCAGTCAGGCTAGCACCGTGGGCCCTGAGTAGGCAACCTGCAAATGACAGCACTGAGGCCACTGCCAGGAGCCAGCCCAGCCCTCCCTGTGGATGCTGAACGGAAGGGTAGGAAGGTTGAGCTCAGGCCAGCTTTATCAGCATGAGGAGGTGAAGTGGCTCCAAGGTCAAGAGCAGAAAGATGGAACCTTCATTTCCACAGAGATCATCCTGTTCAGGGGTAAAGCAAAGGGCCAGGCTTCCCCTACGGTGTCGCAACAGCCTCTGCACCAACCTCTGAGTGACAAAGCTGCATCTCCCTCTCGTCATCTCTTCCTGCTGGGTCCTCTACAGTCTGTGATTGTGTTTTCATTTCATTTATAATGTCTTTCATTGTACAAATATTTTTAATTTTTATGAATTCAAATCTGTGTATCTTTTCTTTTTTCGTGGCTTCCAAGTTTTGTGTCTTGCTCACCCTAGAATTATAAAAATATACTTTCATAAATTTATCCTTTCAATTTTTCACATAAAAATTTTTAAAAGAATTTTTATGTGAATTATTTTTAAAAGAATTTCTTTTACTTTTATTACAGTAAAGCCAAGGATGGATTTACAAAAAAATAAGTGGCACTAAAGAATTTACACTGAGGAGCAGTAATTCCTGCTTTATTCTTCTCCAACCCTGGGTCTGCTCCTCAGAACAAACTCATTTAAAGTTTTTTTGTTTTGTTTTGTTTTGTTTTTGAAACAGAATCTTGCTCTGTCACCCAGGCTGGAGTGCAATGGCACAATCTTAGCTCACTGCAACCTCCGCCTCTGAAGTTCAAGCAAGTCTCATGTCTCAGCCTTCCCAGTAGCTGGGATTACAGGTATGCACCACTATGCCCAGTTTTTTGGTTTTTTTTTTTTTTTTGGAGAGCTGGGGTTTCATCACGTTGGCCAGCTGGCCTCGAACTCCTGGCCTCAAGTGATCCGCCCACCTCAGCCTCTCAAAGTGCTGGGATTACAGGCATGAGCCACTGTGCCCAGCCTCCTTTTAAATCTTTTACTTGGTTTTGTTTTGTTTTGTTTTGTTTTCCAGTAATATAGGTATTCGGGTTCGGCTTCCTTTGCCCGTCTTCATCCATCTCACCTCCAGTGTCCAGAAATTTACCTTAGAAATCTGTGGTCCACAGGTCATGCTCCTAGACACATTGTAGGAGGAAGAGGAATTAAACACATCCCATTAGTACATAATCTTGGAAGAGAAGCCTTCTGAATTTTACAATCAGGATTGGGGAAACTCTGTAAAGTACCTTCCTGGTGTTCCTTTCTTCCAGCCTCTTTGATTAAGTCACATCAAAGCGCTAATGGCAAAGTTGTTTAATGTGTGTTTCTCCAAGGCAGGTTAGGATTTCACTGGGATTCTTAAAATTTGAGGGTGTCTGTGATCGTCAAAATTTGTATTCATGTAGTCCCTCATGAAATTTCTAAAACTCGGCTGGGTGCAGTGGCTCATGCCTGTAATCCCAGCACTTTGGGAGGCCGAGGAGGGTGGATCACAAGGTCAGGAGTTTGAGACCAGCCTGGCCAATATGGTGAAACCCCATCTCTACTAAAAATTTAAAAATTAGCCTGGCATGGTGGCACACGCCTGTAGTCCCAGCTACTCAGGAGGCTGAGGCAGAAGAATTGCTTGAACCCAGGAGGCGGAGGTTGCAGTGAGCCAAGATTGCACCACTGCACTCCAGCCTGGGCGGCAGAGAAAGACTTCATCTAAAAAAAAAAAAAGAAAATAAATTTCTAAAACTCTGTATTTCTTTGCTCTTTTAAGTTGACATCTATAACTTTCTATTACTTTAAATACCTGGAAAAAAAATCACTTCCAGTGCATTGTAATAATGTATCAAGTAGAAGTGGCTAAAATCAGTGAAAACATTTCTTTGATCTGAATAAATGTTCAAGAAAATAGAAAACATGAACTTACCTCCAATCTATGTTCCCTTTACTTGAAAATGTAATGTTGATCTACTAGAGGTAAGGCAGGAATTGTCACATCCATATTCCTTGCAACTATTCAAAATATGCATCTGAGACCAGAACAAGACACAGGTGAAGAAGGGTGCTCACTAGGCCCCTTCTGCCAATACAGAAGGAGACAGTGCAGTGGAGTCCTTTCATAGCAAGTTCTGCCTTCATGATTTCCAAAGCTTCAGTATTCCAAATCTCAGGTGAATAGGGTGGTATCCACTAAGCTCTGCCACAAACTTGTTGCTGAGATGAAGGAAGCCGCCGCTGTAGTCAGTATTTCTCACCCACACGGTTTGCTCTCTTTCTGGCTGGTGTGGGAAGGATGGCGTCTTTTTTTTTTTTTTTTTTTTGAGATGGAGTCTTGCTCTGTTACCCAAGCTGGATTGTAGTGTTGTGATCTCGGCTCACTGCAACCCATGCAAGGTGCTGTCAGGTTCCACCTGTGCAAACAAGTACACTGGTCCAGCATGGGTCAGCTGCTCACTCACAGGGGCTCCAGAATCCTACAAAGGGACACACAGGGGTGGGTGGCAACCTAGTTGGAAATGGGAGTGATGGGCATGACTAAAGTCTTCCTCATCCCACCAGAGGCGCACTCAACTGTGGCTAGGGTGACCAGAATTCACTGTCCAGCGTGGCTGGCAGGAGCCCACTCTCTGAAGATGGTGGGATTCAGAGGTGGGAGTAGAGTTGGGTGGTCCTGTGAGCTGAGCACTCTCCCAAAAGTGTCCCCTACATATGAGGTTGACAGCTTATTCCTGCAGGGACTCAGGAGTAACTCTGGGTGCTAAAACAAAACTTGAGACCAGCACAGAAACAGCCAGCCCATGAAGCTGGCCTCCCATCACACAGCAAGGCTAGCCAGATGCCCCTCACTCTTCTCGGGCACCATTCTTCTCCTCCCCTAGGCCGCCTGGTGCTCGTGGTGTTTCATGTTTGTTAGTCCATGCACGGTGGTGAGGGAGGCTGCTGTGTGATTTGCCCCAGCCACAGCCTCTACAAAAGCAACTAGAAGAAGACGGCAGCAGAGGGCGCTTCTTCAAACACCCTGTCCAACTCCTGGCACTGACAAGTACTGAGTGAACTCAAACCCTCTGTAAAGTAACAGAAGTTAGAAGGGGAAATGTCGCCTCTCTGAAGATTACCCAAAGAAAAAGTGATTTGTCATTGCTTTATAGACTGTAAGAAGAGAACATCTCAGAAGTGGAGTCTTACCCTGAAATCAAAGGATTTAAAGAAAAAGTGGAATTTTTCTTCAGCAAGTAAGTACATTTACTATTATCTTACTATGGGATAGCTTGGTAGAACTAGTTACCAGCAACCTCACTGCTTTTTAAACAAACAATACCTCTGCTACCACCTCCTGGATCCAGGCTTGCCCTCAAAGGAACCCTTAGGGTCTCATTCCCACAGGAGGCTGTGGCTTCCCGACATATTTGGAGCATCATAGTGAGAATTGTGGCCCATTATTTTAAAATATCCTAGATCCTAGCAAATATTGTTTTTGTGGGCCGTATTTGAATTTCTCAAGCCAGTAAAATTCTAGTGAAAGTGGGAAAATCGCTTGAGCTCGGGAGGTTGAGACTGTGGTGAGCTATGGTCACGCCACTGCACTCTAGCCTGTGTGACAGAGCAAGATTCTATCTTAAGAAAAACAAATTCTGGTGAATAAGTCTCTTTTAACTAATCCTGTCTAAAATGGATGATGGCTAATAAAACAATATGGCGTGGCTGGAACTCTAGCTCTAGGGTGGTCTCCAAAGAGGACACTCAAGCATTCTCTGAGCAGCACGGGGCTGTGTCCTGGTAGCAGCCTGAAGGGGTGACAGTGGAGCACAGTGTTTATTTTCATTTCTCAATTTTGACATATTTACTGGAAAAATTAATCCCTAGCCACCTCACATGACAGTACATAATTTTTTTTTTTTTTTTTTTTGAGATGGAGTCTCACTCTGTCGCCTAGGCTGGAGTGCAGTGTTGCAATCATCTTGGCTCACTGCAGCCTCCACCTCCTGGATTCAAGCAATTCTCGTGCCTCAGCCTCCCAAGTGGCTGGGATTACAGGCACCCACCACCACACCTGGCTAATTTTTGTATTTTTGGTAGAAATGGGGTTTTGCCATGTTGGCCAGGCTGGTCTGGAACTCCTGGCCTCAAGTAATCCGCCCACCTCAGCCTCCCAAAGTGCTGGGATTACAGGCGTGAGCCACCACGCCTGGCCCTGGAGTACATAATTTTGATAAGTAACGTCTGCAGTGTCTTTTTTTCCCTCCCTTTTTATGGATAGACTTTTCTGGTTATTGAGATCTCATACCCCTTTATGATATATTATTTGAGTAGAGGGTTTAAAGAATTGAGATACTTGTTTTCTTATGTTAATATGTCAAGAAAGAAGTTGTTTCATAACTTAGGTCCTGCCTTGGACAAAATACACCCTTACTGTCTGCTCTATGTTTCTTGGTATGTTCAGAAGAGGATTTGAACTTTTGCAGGTTGGCTAACAGATATGGAGGGTCCTTAGAGCTCTCCTGTTTCTAACCAAATCTTCACCCCACCTATTAAGTAGAAAGCCTTTTCATGGAAGGGCTGTGGTTGGTTCTTGGAACTGGTCCCCTCACAGAATTTCCATTCGCTTTTCCTCAGGGTCACGCCCTGCTTTAGAGGTTGCTTAGGTTAAGCTCTCCAATTAATTTTAGCAGGCAACTCGAGAGTTTTGCAACTCAAAGTAGGCACACCTTCCTTCCTGAATGACTTTTATTTGTTCCTTTTTCAGGCTGTGAAACTAAATCCACAACCTTTGGAGACCCAGGAACACCCTCCAATCTCTGTGTGTTTTGTAAACATCACTGGAGGGTCTTCTACGTGAGCAATTGGATTGTCATCAGCCCTGCCTGTTTTGCACCTGGGAAGTGCCCTGGTCTTACTTGGGTCCAAATTGTTGGCTTTCACTTTTGACCCTAAGCATCTGAAGCCATGGGCCACACACGGAGGCAGGGAACATCACCATCCAAGTGTCCATACCTCAATTTCTTTCAGCTCTTGGTGCTGGCTGGTCTTTCTCACTTCTGTTCAGGTAAGCAACTTTCAGGAACTTAACTGAGTCAACTGCTACAGGGTTAAGAGAAAGGACATGGGGTTCTCTGAGCTGCTCCCTTCTATTATCCTATAAGCTGGAAGGAACCTTCAGGGTGTTTTCAGAAGATTTTAAAGATTAGAAGACTGTGGTCCAAAGAGGTTAAAGGACCTGCCTATCATCACACAGCAAGTTAGCAACCAAGTTAACTCAAGAACCCAGGCCTTCAAGGAAGCGTGGAAGGGACAGTGTTATTTTAACAAAACCATACAGCCGATTCATAATGGTCTCTTCCATGAATATTAGATGCTCATTTACATTTTGTGATGTGCCGATACTGGCCTCGGAGTCTAGTCCCAAACTATGTTTTCATGATACAGCTCAGCGAAAGTGTCCTGCTTCTAAAATTGAACAATGGTGATCTTCTTTCCAATCTGAAGGCGGGAGAGTAGTTGAGGACAATTCCTCTTAATGACATTCATCTTCTTAACCTTCTTAAGTTCCTCTTAATACATTAATCTTATTTGTTCTGCTTTGGATGCTGAGATCTTTTTTCAACATTGGCATCTGACTTTAAGTGGTATCAGATTTAACACAAAATTATGTTTTTAGTTATTTTTAATCTGCCACATAGGTATTACATATATGTCCTGAAAGTAATAATTTGACTTCTAGAGGCTTTTGTTCCTGCTCAGGTGATCTTAAGAGTGCTGAACTTTTGGGACTGTCAAGAAGGGTGAGGCTTGTCCCTGCTGGCAGGATGGTTCTGATTTTTTTTTTTAAGTCAGAAAACAAAAGATCTGTTTTCTAGTGAGCAGCATACTTCCCAGTTTCCCAAAAACAAAGAAGTTTGGGCTCCAGCATGATTTGCCAGTCTGCAAAGACCCGACTATTAAGGGTCCTTGTCTTAAAAACTTCTCACATAAAGTACTGCCTAGAATATCAGAGGTGTGAGAGAGAGGTAGAGGGAAGAGAAGAGGAGTTGGGGGCCCACAGATTACTTGACTGCGATGGTGGTCATTTAAAATTTTCTGTCCAGAGCTATTTTACATTGTTTCAGAACCAAGAGAAACATGGCCTACATTTCACAATTTACACCTCAGGTTTTTTATATATTTGACAGTTACATTACATTTCCAACAGTTACAATTTCCTTCTGGGGAGCTGGGGAAGCATTCCCAAACTAGTCTTCTGGGGAGTACAGAGGAGTTTAAAATATATAGAAGGAAATTTGTACAGGCTTCCCAGAAATAAGGGGGGCAGGGAGGGGGAGAGACAGAAAGAGGGAGAACAATAAAAAAAGTAAAAGAGGACATAAAATAAAAATTAAAACCCAGACTTTAGAAATTGTACAAGGAAAATTAGGGTCAGAGGTAAGTGGAAAGAGATCTTTGAGCTAAAGAAAGATGTTTAGGAAAGCACCTTGTTCTCTAGCTACATCCTGGTTTTACTGCTGCTGTGACTGAGTCAATGAAGCACCTACTGTGTGCCAGGTGGGCCATAAAAGTTGAGGCTAGGATTCCTGCACTCAAAGAGGTCTGCATATGTTAGTTGCGGAAATGCAAAGCTAACCCATGTAGAACAAGCAAAGAGCAATGAAATGCTTTGCCCTGATTGTAGGAGCCCAAGATCTGGGAAAGTGGGTAACAGACTGGGCTGCAGGAAGGAGGGCAGGCTTTACAGAGGCAGATGGATGATGGAGAGAGAATTCTGGTCAGGGCAACAGCCTGGACAAAGGCACAAAGGTAAGGATGAGGCTGGCACAGGTGTTCATTCTTTTGTTTAATCATTTATTAATTCAACAAACATGAGCATCTCCTAAAACCAAGAGACTTTTCTTGGTCCTGGGGACATGGCTCTTGCATTTGTGAAATTTACTATCATTGGAAAGAGGAAAAGTAATCCAATAGCCACTCAAATGAATGTGTTAAAGTGTGGCCAACAAACAAAGCCACGTGCTTTGAAGGCAGGGCACAGGCACTGCCTGAGGAAGTGCTGTCTTCCTCTGCCAGCAAGAAGGGGCAGTGAGCTGGGAAGTAGCAGAGGAGGGACTGGCCCAGTGAGCAAGAACCGGACCCTGCAGCACTTGTGAGTTATAATCATGAATCCGCATGTTATTCAGGAAGCTGGAAGGGCTTTACCCAGGAGAGTGGCGTGGTCTACCCCAGCTCTGTTCACTCTTTACACATACCAATAGCCTGGGGGTTTTGCTAAATTGCAGTTTCTAGCACAGGGAATTTTTTAGAGAAGTGAATCTATTTTGCATAATACTGTAATGATAGATATAAGTCATTATAAATTTGCCCAAATCCATAGAATATGCAATACCAGGAGTGACCCCTATCGTGAACTCTAGATTTGGGGTGGTAATGATGTGTTAATGTAGGTTCATTGATTGTAACAAGTGTACTGCCCTGGCGCAGGATGTAGACAGTGGCGGAAGCTGTGAATATGTGGGGAGGGGGTTACTTTACATTCAATTTTTCGATGAACCTAAAGCAGCTCTAAAAAATAAAGTCTATATAGTTTTTTAAATGCTGTTTCTGCTTAGGTGGGTCTGGGATGGGGCCTGAGATTCTGCATTTCTAAGAAGCACCTAGGTGATGCTGATGCTGCTCCACCATACACTTTGAGTTTCAGTAGTAAAGGTGTAAATAACTTTAAAAGGAAAAAAGTGTTACTGAAGAACAGAGTGGCTTGTAGGGCAGCCACAGTGACTGTGCAAAACCTATTAGGAGGTTATTTCAGTAACTTACAGTAACTGATGATGTCTTTAATGAAAAGAATTGGATCAGAAGGAAGTTGATGGGTTGGAGAGTGTGTACCATGTAAAATTAGTGAGGACTGCTCAACGGGAGTGTAGGTGTGAGTGTGCATGGTCTGTGGGAGGTGAGATTCAGTGAATACAGTGGAGTAGGATTATAGAGGGCTTTATTCAGGGCAGAGATTTGCCACACTAGGCCTTCCTCTCCTGCCACACCATGGCAGAGGTGTTCCCCCTCTCCTCCTGCCCAGCCACTGATGCCCAGGGGAAGGGACTCCTCTTTCATGCACAGGGTGGAACCAGCCAGGCTCCTCTCCCCCTCTAGGCCTGCAGGCACTGTCTATGGAGGCAGAAACGCCTGACTTTATAGTCCAGCAACTGGTGGCAGTAAGGCAGAGGCTCTAACAGGGCAGCCCTCAGAGGGACCAATGTGGGCAGCTTTTCCTTCAGAGCTGGAGTCCTTTAAGAGAGGGTCAGGTCTAAGGAGAGGGGAAAGGCCTCCTGTAGGAGGAGGCAAGAGATGTAGGAAAAGCATTGCCTATAAGTTTATAGTCTGAGAACTCAGAGCTAGGAGAAAAGAGAATACCCCAAAGTGCCACCATTCACAGAACACATCCTCCTCTCCCTGCAACACACACCGCTATGCTGCTGGCCCAGGGGTCCCATGAGCAGTGATTGTTGCCATCATCACCCTGACAACAGCTGTTCAAGTCCCTGTGCATTTTAAGGATATAAATACTGTTTAGAAAGAGAAAAAGTAAGGATCAGATGGTACAGAGTATATGAGCAGGGTCTAAACAGGGGGAAAAGTCAGGAACAGTGTGAACACGAGGAGACACAGGTCTCAAGCCTGTGGCTGCCAGAGGCAGCTCTGCCTGTCTCCTTTGTGTGGCTAGCACCTAGCCCAGGGCTGACACCAGCCCTGTCGGTGCTAGTTCACCTAATCAAACATTTAGAGGGGGGTCACTCCTGTTGGAAGAGTGTGCACAAACCAGGAACGGTAAAATCTCCAGGTGGTGAGACAATAGGTGACTTTCACGCTTTTCTATATCTTCCATTCTTTCTAAGAATGTTTATTTCATAGTCAGGGAAAATGTTTATTTAAAAAGCACACTTGTGTTTCCAGGGAGATCATGTATGTCCCGTCATTTGGTGAGTTAAAAGATGTTGTGTCAACTGCTTCTCTCCCTTCTCCACTAGCAGTGGTGATGCAGCTCCCAGACCCCTGCGAGGGCAGCCTCTCTAACGGCTGCTGAGGTTGAACTCCCTGGGAGGGGCACTGCAGACTGGCCACTGCATCCTCCAGGCCTCCAGGCTGCACGGAGAGGGTGGGGAAGACTCAGGTCTTCCTAGTATGGATTCTTCTTTTCCCTTCATGTTTTATTTGCAATGACATAAAATTCAACGTTTTAAAGTATACAATTCAGCCAGGCACGGTGGCTCACTCCTGCAATCCCAGCATTTTGGGAGGCCGAGATGGGTGGATCACCTGAGGTCAGGAGTTTGAGACCAGCCTGGCCAACATGGTAAAACCCTGTCTCTACTAAAAATGCAAAAATTAACCACACAAGGTGGCCCGTGCCTTTAATCCTAGCTACTCAGGAGGCTGAGGCAGGAGAATCTTTTGAACCCTGGAGGCGGGGGTTGCTGTGAGCCAAGATCATGCCACTGCACTCCAGCATGGGCAACAGAGCGAGACTCTGCCTCAGTAAATAAATAAATAAATAAATAAATAAATAAATAAATAAATAAATAAATAAAGTGTACAATTCAGTGGGTTTTAGTATATTTGCAATGTTGTGAAACCACCATCACTATCGAATTCCAGAAGGAAATGTTCTGGATGATGATGGAAATCATCATCCCAGAAAGAAACCTGCGCCTATTTGCAGCTACTCCTCATTCCCCTGTACCCCATCTCCTCGTAACCACTAATTTACTCTCTGTCTCTATGAATTTGCCTGTTCTAGACATTTCTTTTCTCTTCCTTTTTTTCCAGAATCCAGGTAAGAAAGAATATTCTGGACATTTCTTACAATATGTGGCGTTTCGTGACTATTTTCTTTCACTGAGCATTATGTCTTTCAGGTTCATCCATGTTGCGTATGTCTTAGTACTCCATTCGCTTTTACGGCCAAATAATATTCTGAAATAATATTCTGTTGTAGATTGAGATCTATTTTTTCTTTTTGTAGCGATGGGGTTTTTGCTATGTTGCCTAGGCTGGTCTCGATTTCCTGGGCTCAAGCAATCCACCCGCCTTGGCCAGCTCCCAAAGTGCTGGGATTACGGGTGCCTGGCCTAGATTGAGCCCTTGAGAGGTCCTTTTTTTTTTTTTTTTTTTTTTTTTTGAGACAGAGTCTTGCTCTGTCGCCCAAGCTGGAGTGCAGTGGCACAATCTCTGGCTCACAGCAAGCTCCGCCTCCCGGCTTCACGCCATTCTCCTGCCTCAGCCTCCCGAGTAGCTGGGACTACAGCTCGTAAAAGTCCTCCACACAAAAATCAGCCCGCCACCACGCCTGGCTAATTTATTTTTTTTGTATTTTTAGTAGAGACGGGGTTTCACCGTATTAGCCAGGATGATCTTCGAGCTCCTGATCCGCCTGCCTCGGCCTCCCAAAGTGCTGGGATTACAGGCGTGAGCCACCACGCCCGGCCGAGAGGTCCATTATTTGTCTAAAATTCTTGGTCTCTACTCTTGTTGGCAAATAGCTTCCTCTCCTGTGTGGCTAGCAGTCCAGAGTTGAAGTGGTCAGAGCAGGAGGGTGGCCAAGGGGTCAGGAGAGGCAGAGGCTGAGGCCAGCAGTGTTGAGTGTCCCTATTGTGCCCTACAGGTGGGCAGTTTCCATGCATTCGCCAGAAGGCGAGCAGCGTTGCCGTCCATCTCTGCCTTCTCTCCGCCTCCTTTCACAGCCTCTGGCCCTTTCTGACTGCTGCTGGGTAGAGGTGCAGGAGGGGCTCCCCATGCCAGCTATGGGCACTGAACTCAGTTCAAGAATCAGCCAGTTACCATGGTGATGCTGGTCCTATGGGGGTGTGGTTCAGCAAAGCAGGCTGTTGTGCATGAGAAAGAACAGCCCCATTTAAAATCTGTAGAGCATTCTAAAGTTAAGAAAGCACTTTACATCTGGTATCCTGTGATCGCTGTGATAATTATGTGAAGCAGGGAAGATAGTTATCTCGGTCTGGTTTGTGCTGCTATAACAGAATACCTGACATTGGGTAATTTAGAAAGAACAGAGATTTATTTCTTACTGTTCTGGAGGCTGGGAAGTCCAAGGTCAAGGGGCTCACATCTGATGAGGACCTTCTTGCTGCATCATCCCATGGCAGAGGATAGAAAGGCAGGAGAGCACGCCCAAGGCAGAGTAGGAAGGAGGCCAAAACCATCCTTTATAAGGAAGCCACTCCTGCTGTAGTGAACCCACTCCCAAAAAAATGGCATTAATCCATCCATGATGGCAGAGTCTCCATGACCTAATCACCTTTTAACAGTCCCAATTCTCAACACTGTTGCACCCGGAATTAAATTTCCAACACAAAACCTTTAGGGGACACATTCAAATCATAGCAATAGTATTATGACTGTTTTACAGAGATGGAACCTGAAGCCCAGAGAGGTTACCCAGCTTGCTCAAGGTTATGATTCTAATACACAGTGGATGGAGCCAGACCTCATTTCCTCATGCCTAGACATGCATTCAGCAAGTATTTACTGAGCACCTACTATGGGCCAGGCCCTGTTCTAGACACTGCAGATATGGCAGTGAACAAAGGAGGAAGCCTCTGCTCCATAGCTCCATACGTAATTATGTATCACATATACCTGTAAATATACATCACAGTTGTAAAAATATATATCAGCTGGAGACAAGCCTGAAGAGAAACAAATCAGGCAAAGAGACTAAAGAGTAGCAGGATGGAGGGGGGCAGGGAGGATGGCGCTGTTCAAGGAGAGTCAGGGAAGGCCTCTTTGACAAGGGGCCACGAGAGTAGATGTGAGCAAAGTGGGACCTGAACTGTGTGGATCTCTGGGGAAGACACTGGCTCCCTCTAATGTCCTAGGTACTGTGGAGGACTTTTATGAGCAGTATCTCATTTTGAATCCTTGCACCCACTGGGTTGGGTAGGTGTTACAATGCCCATTCAAAAATGGCAAAGCAAGCTCAGAAGTTCAACCAGGTTTGAGACAGTAATATTGAGATTTCCAGGTGCTGACTTTCCCCGCCAGTCACTGAAGCAGACAAAATCGTTAGAGACATTTCCGTTTCAACTGCTTTTTGTCCGTGTGTGATGGAGTCCCTAAAACAGACAAAACTGATATAAATTTGGGCAAATTTATAATGACTGTTTTCTGTCTCTGTGTGGTGGAATCCCGAAAACTGGGTTCCCGTGTGAATTTCCAAATTGTTCGGAAGATTTTGGGTTCCTCTTTTTAGTCCTGTTCTTCTTCACTCTTCTCCTCAGAAGGCTGGACAAAAACTCCTCAGAAGCCATCACCAAAATTAGATAGTCTCTCTTTCAGCTATGCTTTCACTTTTGCTAACATCACCACATACCAAAATCAGTGAGAAATATTGGATTCTTTTTGGCTGGGAATGAATAGTTCGGTGGGGAAAGACCCTATTATTGGGAGGCCCAGACAAGTGAGTTGCTGTCTGTCTGGCCCATAGCAAGACCAGAGTGCTATATATCTGACATAACCCTTGAGTGAAATGAAAGGTAAGAGTTGGCAGTGGGAGGAGGGAGAAAGAAAAATGGAAACTCTTACAGAAGACCTGCTATGTCCTTGGGACTTTTTATTTATATCATTTAATTGAACTGAATTTTCCAGTGATCCCAAGGGGTAGGTGTCATACCTATTTAGAGATGAAGAAACAGATGAAACAGCAAGTGGCTGAGCTGGGACTAGAATCCAAGTCAATGGAGATGGATAGCCCATGTTCCTTCTACGTCTCATTTTGCTTTCCTTGCAACACTAGGAGTGTCTGGGTTGTCATTTGATCTTTAGCTAATATAGCTTCACTTTGAAATATGCTCCCTTCAAGTATGTCTTTTTATTTCTTCCTTTCTTTCAGTTATATTCCCTAAAGCAGGGACTGGCAACATTCCACACAATTGCTGAAGAGGTGCCTGGACCTTTCTGCATTACCTCACTTTGCTATGCAAATACCCACCATCACAAAACTCTCTTGTTCAGTGCTGTGGTGGGGCCGTATCCAGTCTGACAGAGGCCTGAGAATGGCTGGTGAGATGGAAAGGTGCTAGTGCCCCATGATCCTGCTATCTAAGAAAAGAGAGGGCTTGGAAATGAAGTCCCTAGACATGGGTCTCCCTAAGGGGATCTGTGTGGCTCCAGGGGATACAGGGCCCAGAAGGCACAGTACGACAGCACTGGGCAGGGGGCGCTGGGGCCTTAGAGGGATGCTGCTTTTAGGTCCTACAAGAGCCTAGGAAGAATGACCATGCCTTCTAAACCAAAAATCAGAAAATACAGCCTGCTAAGGAATTTTGGTGCTATTGACACAGAGACTAGTTTAGATATTGATATGCTGATATTTCTTGGCTATGTGGATGGAGAAATGAACAGAATATTTTAAATAAAAACTCTTTTAGCAAATCCAGGCTGGAGGGTAATTGTATGGCATGGACTGCAGATAGCCAAAGAGATAAAGGCAGGATATAGGATCCATTTAGGGTACCTGAAGATGGTAGAAATAGTCCAAAGGTATAAGCATGGGAGTCATTTCAGCCTGGAACCATGGGATCAATCAGGCCTGGAAAGAAAGGGACTCTGTTTCTTATTTATTTATTTATTTATTTATTTTGAGACGGAGTCTCACTCTGTCACCCAAGCTGGAGTGCAGTGGTGTGATCTTGGCTCACTGCAACCTCTGCCTCCCAGGTTCAAGTGATTCTCCTGCCTCAGCCTCCTAAGTAGCTGGGATTACAGGTGTGTCCCAACATGCCCGGCTAATTTTTTTGTATTTTTAGTAGAGATGGGGTTTCACCATGTTGACCAGGCTGGTCTCAAACTCCTGACCTCGTGATCTGCCCACCTCAGCCTCCCAAAGTGCTGGGATTACAGGCTTGAGCCATGATGCCCGGCCTGGGACTCTGTTTCTTATAGCAAAAGGGCTCAGTGGTAGGGCTGGATTGGGGTGGGTGGGGACAGTGTTGGCTTAACTTACTGACTGTGGCCTAAAACTGAAGAAATCGGTAAACAAGAAGAATGGCCCTAAAAGCCTGGGCCAGAAAGAAAAAAATGTGTAAAACTGGGGCAGTTTCTTTTCCTCAGCTCAGTTTCCTCATTTGTAAGATAAGGCCACGAGAATGAATGATCATGGAAGTCCCTTCCAGATCTCACATTCCTTACTATGACTTTCATATCCCCTGGGGCTGAGCACATCGTTTAACCCATGGTTGGCACTTATATTCAGGTCTTCTCAGGGGACCAGTGGACTTTCTCACTCACTAGGGATCCCTGTCTCTGTCCCCAACTCCTGGCCCATAGGCATCTGGCTATATACATAAGACAAGCAGGTGCCTTTCCATATTTCTGAATGCTCACGATGTCTCATCATGCTAGGCGTGGTGGCTCACACTTGTAATCCCAGCATTTTGGGAGGCTGAGGTGGGAGGATCACCTGAGATCAGGAGTTTGAGACCAGCCTGGCAAACATGGTGGAAACCCTGTCTCTACTAAAAATACAAAAATTAGCTGGGCATGATGGCGGGCGCCTGTAATCCCAGCTACTCAGGAGGCTGAGGCAGGAGAACTGCTTGAACCTGGGGGTGGAGGTTGCAGTGAGCTGAGATCGCGCCACTTCACTCCAGCCTGGGCAAAAGAACAAGACTCCGTCTCAAAAAAAAAAAGAAAAAGAAAAAAGAAAGAAAGATGTGTCGTCTTATGGAGATTCAGGGAAGGGGAAGATTCTGGATAACTCTTGAAAGATAACGTCACTGGAAGAGCTTTACCCATTTGGTGGGGTGTTGAACTGGATGTAGGAGCAGCACACAGTGGTATGTATAGGTGGAAAAATAAGGCAATTTGCTTGTCAGTATATCAATAGTTATATCAAAGGTGTAAGGTGGCTGCTAATATATTGAATTCAACTTTAGGCTGCAAACATAGATTTAGGTAAAGGAAGTGACAACCCGGTTCTACTCTGAGCCAATCACACAGTGGATGTCTGGAATGCTAGATTTAGTGACTTCGCTCTCTCAAAAAAATATACACACAAATCAAACTGTGTAGTGAGGAAAGTGAGGGTACTCACTTTCAGTACATCAATAAGGAACAGGGGCAGATGGGAACCTGCAGAACTGTCTGAGAGAGGATATAAGTATCCTCAGATATCTGCAAGTCTTGTTACATAAGAAGAATGAGATGTGTTTTGTAATGCATGTAGAAGCTAGAGGGAAACAGACTTCAACATAAAGCAAAGCAAAACTTCCTCAGTCAAATTGTCCAAAGACGAAATCAAAAGCCTTAGAGGTTGGTAAATTCCCCACCCCCTTGGAGAAAGGAGAATGGGATTCATATTTGGTGTGGGTCTAGGCATTGAATTACAGTATGTGCTTGCCATAAATTATCTCATTTAATCTTCATAATAACCAATGTGAAGACTGGGGTTCAGAGAAGTAAAGTAAGTTGCTTAAGGTCACACAACTACTGTGGATTTTATTGAATGAAAAAAGCCCATGTTCTTTCTATACCAACAACCAGGAGCCTCTAGGCAAGGATGTTAGCAGGGTGCACTTAGTCATGGTTGCCTTTAAGGTAGGTAGGGAAGTAGGCAGTCCTGAGAGCTTTAAATCCTAAGTCACTCAAGTGAAAAGGGGAGGAATCAGGATGTGTATTAAGGTGACAGATGAAGGTTTTATTCCTGTGCCACGCCACTGAAGTCACATGAAATGGATTGTCTTTAGCTCACTTAATCTGGATAAAATTTATTCTTAGATTTTTCCCACGGTTAAATGCAGTTCTGTAGTTTAAATGAATGCGTGTACATGTGCATATCTGTGTGTGTGTGTGTGTGTGTGTGTTGTTGCATCACGTGATTGTGGGGAGAGGGGCTGTAGGAGAAACGCAAGGGAAAAGGCAGTGAGCATCAGAGACTAGGTCTTTACAGTGAAATTCTTCCTTATTTCTCAAGGCAGTAGTAGCTGAAAATTACCTAATCAAGTGACCAGGCAACAGATCCAAGAAGGAGGCCTTCTGTAAGTGAGAATTCATGAATAATGAAGATTGATTATATTCCCTACCTATTTAAAGTATGGCCCTCTTTTTTCTTCTTAGTTGACCTCATCTCCCTCCCTTATTCTTCGTCATGACTGCAGAATCATAGGCCCTTGGAATCTCAGGCTGACCTGCCCTGTCCTAGACTTCCTGAACCTCTCAATCTCTCAGTTGTCTCAGCTGCAAAATGGGGAAAATAATACATATCTTGTGGGGTTGTTGGGGGATTAAATGACATAGCACCTGTCCCCTCCATAGAGCCACCACAGAGGAAGCAAAAAAAGGAAATAGTATGAAGAGTAATTCAATATAGGCTATCTAGACAGAGGTGGGCAACAGCACCTTGCCCTCCTCCACCACCACTGTACCCAGAACCTTAGTCAGGACTGACTTCTCTTGGGGGTGGTATTGTGTTAGGTAAACCAAATAAGAAGTAATAGGACTAAAAATTGCCTGCTGTGAGAGAAGGCTCATATGCTCCTAAATCTTGCATGTCATTGGAAAATTCTCAAGAAAAAGGAAGGGGATAGGTTATGTTATAATGATTGGTCCATGAGTCTGATTTTAGTGATTTGTCTTCATTGTTTTCAAAACCAAATTTGTTTTTTATGCAATCACATTTAGTTTTTCTAGATAGTGACTTCCAAAACCTTTAACAAGCATTGCGGGTGCAACTGCTATAGAAAACACTATTGAGGTTCCTCAGAAAATTAAAAATAGAACTACCATATGACCCCAAAATTCCATATATCCATAAGAATTGAAAGCAGGGTCTTGAAGAGATATTTGCACACCCATGTTCATAGCAGCACAGTAGCCAGGAGGTGGGAAGCAAGCCAAATGTCCATCTACAGATGAATGGGCAAACAAAATGTGGGGGGGGGTGTGTGTGTAATATTATTCATTATCCTTATGATCATATCATTACCATTCCAAAGGAAGGAAATCCTATCATATGCTACAACGTGAATGAACCTTGAGTGCATCATGCTAAGTGAAATAAGCCAATCATAAACAGGCTGTTACTGTATGATTCTATTTCTATGAGATATTTAAAGTAGCCAAATTCATACAAACAAACAGAATGGCAATTGCCAGAGGCTGAGGGGAGAGGGGGAAAGGGGAGTTGTTTAATGGGCATAGAGTTTCAGATTTGCAAAATGAAAATTTCTAGAGATCTGTTTCACAACAATGTGAATATACTTAACATTACTGAACTGTACACTTAAAAATCAATAAGATGATAAATTTTATGTTATGTGTTTGTTTGTTTGTTTGTTTGTTTGGAGATGGAGTTTTGCTCTTGTTGCCCAGGCTGGGGTGCAATCTCAGCTTACTGCAACCTCCGCCTCCTGGGTTCAAGTGATTCTCCTGCCTCAGCCTCCCGAGTAGCTGGGATTACTACACCCGCCACCACACCCGGCTAATTTTTTGTATTTTTAGTAGAGACAGAGTTTCACCATGTTGGCCCGGCTGGTCTCGAACTCCTGACCTCAAGTGATCTGCCTGCCTCGGCCTCCCAAAGTGCTGGGATTACAGGCGTGAGCCACCACGCCCAGCCTGTTGTGTTTTTTACCACAATTTTTAAAAAATGAAGAGAAAAAAAGCATTGGGGACCCCAAAAATCAAACTGGATTGATACTTAGTCACTAGACACAACACCCTAAGTTCTGTTACTGCCGACTTTGGATTCCTGACCATGCAGGAATCTGTATTTAATAAATATACAATCTTGTTCTGTTTGCCTCTCCATAGGTGTTATCCACGTGACCAAGGAAGTGAAAGAAGTGGCAACGCTGTCCTGTGGTCACAATGTTTCTGTTGAAGAGCTGGCACAAACTCGCATCTACTGGCAAAAGGAGAAGAAAATGGTGCTGACTATGATGTCTGGGGACATGAATATATGGCCCGAGTACAAGAACCGGACCATCTTTGATATCACTAATAACCTCTCCATTGTGATCCTGGCTCTGCGCCCATCTGACGAGGGCACATACGAGTGTGTTGTTCTGAAGTATGAAAAAGACGCTTTCAAGCGGGAACACCTGGCTGAAGTGACGTTATCAGTCAAAGGTTGGTGGGATTTTCTGATTTTACTCTAGGCCGGCAGATTCTTAATGCCCTTAAAGACACATGGCTATTGATTTAGGTGAAAATTTTACCAAAGAGGGATGTATCTCACTTCATTTCTTGGAGTTAAGTCTCTAGTTGTACAATAAACTCTAACTGGTTTCTAAAGATGTCCTGGAAATATCTGTTAATGTGCATTTCTTGTTCTTTGACAATCCAAGTTCATGACAATCATCCTGGGGCACTATAATGACCTAAAGAGCCTCTCAATCACCAAGGGGCATCTTTGATTTGATGTAGCCTTGCTACTAACTGCACTTGACCCAGCAATATATGCCTGTGAAAGTATGCTGAAAAGGTAACGGGGCTGGGTATGGTGGCTTATGCCTGTAATCTCAGCACTTTGGGAGGCCAAGGCAGGCGGATCACTTGAGGTCATGAGTTCAAGACCAGCCTGGCCAACATAGCGAAACTCCGTCCCTACTAAAAATACAAAAACTAGCCAGATGTGGTGGCGCATTCCTGTAATCCCAGCTACTCTGGAGGCTGAGGCAGAGAATCGCTTGAACCTGGGAGGCGGAGGTTGCAATGAGCTGAGATTGCACCACTGCACTCCAGCCTGGGTGACATAGCAAGACTCCATCTCAAAAAAAAAAAAAAAAAAAGAACAATGGAGGCATAAATCTTTTTCAGGTAGTATGTGAACGTCTATTACTATGGCTATCTTACTATTATATTCTAATATTTTCAAAGTGATAATTTACTTATTGCATATTTGAAGCTCTAATCTAGCAGTCAGTCCTGAAAAATTAGATGTTAGAGAATTGGGCCAGGTGCGGTGGCTCAGCACTTTGGGAGGCCAAGGTGGGTGGATGGCTTGAGCTCAGGAGTTTGAGACCAGCCTGCCCAACATGGTGAAACCCCATCTCTACTAAAAATACAAAAATTAGCCAGGGACGTGTTGGCTACTCAGGAGGCTGAGGCAGGAGAATCACTTGAACCTGGGAGGCGGAGGTTGCAGTGAGCAGAGATGGTGCCACTGCACTCCAGCCTTGGTGACAGAGCAAAGACTGTTTCAAAAAAAAAAAAAGTAGACTACAGAGGAGGGTGAGCATTTCCCTACTGGTAGAGACTCTGTCTTAAAAAAAAAAAAAAGTTAGAGAATTGGATGCATAATTAATTCCTGCCACAAGGAAAAAAACTAATTTATGAATCAAAGCCCTGTTTATGTACCTACTGTGGAAGGCAAGCATTTCTGGTCTCGGAAAGAAAGGACCCTTGCTTTTGTAACCACCCAAGAGGTTTACCTCGCCTGCTGCGTAGATAGAGCCAATTCATCAAGACAGGGGAATTGCAATAGAGAGAGTAATTTACGCACAACTGGCTGTGCGGGAGACCGGAGTTTTATCATTACTCAAATCAGTCTCTCCAAGCATCTGGGGAGCAGAGTTTTTAAGGATAACTAGGTGGGTCGGGGGAAGCCAGTGAGCTGGGAGTGCTGATTGGTCAGGGATGATACCATAGGGAGTTGAAGCTGTCTTCTTGCACTGGGTTGGGGGGCCACAAGATCAGATGAGTCAGTTTATTGATCTGGGTGGTGCCAGCTGATCCATCAAGTGCAGGGGCTGCAAAATAGCTCAAGCACTGATCTTAGGAGCAGTTTAGGGAGGGTCAGAATCTCATAGCATCCAGCTTTATGACTCCTAAACCATAATTTCTAATCTTGTGGCTAATGTTAGTCCTACAAAGGCAATCTACTCCCCAGGCAAGAAGGAGGTCTGCTTTGGGAAAGGGCTGTTACCATCTTTGTTTAAACTATAAACTATAAACTAAGTTTCTACCAAAGTTAGTTCAGCCTACACCCAGGAGTGAACAAAGATAGCTTGGAGGTTAGAAGCAAGATGGAGTCAGTTAAGTTAGATCTCTTTCACTGTCTCAGTCATAATTTTGCAAAGGGGGTTTCACTTTAATTACAGTATAACAGAGGATACTGAAGGAGCCAGAGCCCTTTTTGAGAAATTATATCCCTGAGCCATTTTCTCACAGTTGAAATTTGAACATATTTCTTTTTCCCCTGGGACTTGAGCCTCTAGTGAAAACCAAACTTCTTACTTAATAAAACATAATGATTAACCTTGATAATAGATAACTTCAGCAGATCCGTAGTGAATTCCTTACTGTTCTTTGTTTTAATCATTAGCTATGAATCTTTACTTGTGACATCCAGATCACACCTAAAGTTGTGGGGAGTAAGCCAAAGTTACATGGAACTATCTTAAACTTCACTCAGTGTTTTCTCTGCTCTTGGATAGAATAAATTATTATATGGTGATGTGATTTGAGGGGTACTAAGAAGCCTACCTCTTCCACGATTTTCACCTGCATTGACTCCTGAAATTCTCATCATCATAGCCATTCCTGCTAGTTTCTCCATTTTCCTCCTAAAAGATCCCTGTTAAAATGAAAATGTGTTTCCTGGGGTGGGGGGTGGGGGGTGGCACCACAAATATATTAGCCTGTATTAGTTAATTACATTAGGTACGTAGTCCTCTAATGGACTACCGAGAGAGAAGTAGACTCAGGTCAGGTGAATTTGGATAGAAAGATAAAGAAGAAAATCCAAGAGTGAGAAAAGGAAACATTTCAAGGGGGGCAGGCCCTATTAGCAGATTACCGTAAGAGACCAAGGACAGCTAAGGGGACAATGTGAGATTTCTGGGGTACTCAGAACCGAGGGTGTGTGGGTGGACAAAATCCAGTAAAGGGAAGACAAAAAGGTCACTCGCTTAATTTTGCTGAGAAGCATTCTGAATTTTCCAATTGAGTCAAAGCAGTGTTTCTCAAATGCTTATAAGCCTATGAGTCATTTGAGGGTCTTGTTAAAAATGCAGATTTAAGTTCAGTAGGTCTGGGGTTTGGATCTGAGATTCTGCACCTCTAACAAGCTCTCAGGTGATGCCTGTGCTGCTGTGGAGGACCACAATTTGAGAAGCAAGGAATTAAGCTCTCATTTGGCTAGAGTGACCAGGTATCCTCTTTGCTCAGAACCAAAGGGTTTATTTGGGGCACAAGATTTTTGGTGCTAAAACTGGGAAAGTCTCAGGCAAATAGGACACGTTGGTTACCCTATATTTGTCTAAGATTGCAAAATGGTAATATAATATCAGCATAGCCATATGAAAACCTCCATTAACTGGCATGTTTGAGAACTAGCTACATTCGTTAACAGCTTAACTAGGTTAATGGATTTTTCCTCCTAAAACATGTGCACCTATTCCTTTCCTTGTAAGACATTCCTACCCTTTCCTATTAAGAGTGGTAAAAATTGGGTTAACTAATTAAAATGAGATACAAAGGTTACAGTCTTACAACGTCTTTGATTGTTCACAATCTCACAAGACCTCAGGAGTAGTTACCCTAAACAGATCACCTTAGAAAAAAGGTGGGAGATGGAGTTTAGGCTGTTCTAAGCCAAGAAAGATTTTGAAACTTTTTTTTTTTTTGAGATGGAGTCTCTTACTCTGTCACCCAGGCTAGAGTGCAGTGGCGTGATCTCGGGTCTCTGCAGCCTCTGCCTCCTGGGTTCAAGCGATTCTCCTGTCTCAGCCTCCAAACTAGCTGGGACTACAGGCATGTGCCATCATGCCTGGCTAATTTTTTATTTTTAGTAGAGACAAGGTTTCACTATGTTGTCCAGGGTGGTCTCAAACTCCTGACCTCAAGCGATCCTCCTGCCTTGACCTCCCAAAGTGCTAGGATTACAGGCATGAGCCAGCACACCTGGCCTTGAAAAGATTTTTAATACAGTTCCTGGTATGAGTGGCATTCCTGTAGTTTATTTCCCAGAAAAGCAGAGCACAGAAATGAACATGAATCATATTAATAATTTAGGATATGAGTTTTTGGATTTATTATTCCTAGTTATAACACAAAACATATTGATGTTATAAGAAACACAGAATATTCTAGATATCAGCTGCCTGTGTCATGAGTCGATCTTATAGGATAAATTAATAAGTGGGAAATAACAATGCCAACTAAAAGTGGCTCAGGAACATATCAAACTTCATTTAGGGACAGGGTTCATTGAAACAAACAAAAAAAAAAGGTAACTTCACCTCCAACCAAATCCAACTTTTCCTCTTTCCTGGCAATTATCATCATTTGTCATGGCTTCCCTTTATCCTCATTATTGTAGGTGCCACAAGGCATTCCTGGAAGTGTTTGCCTGGCAACCTGATTTAAATGAGGGGGCTTACCTAAGAGAGGATAAATTCAAGACCCACTTAAATATAGCTATCATTGGCTGGGTGTGGTGGCTCACGCCTGTAATCCCAGCACTTTGGGAGGCCGAGGCTGGTGGATCACGAGGTCAGGAGACTGAGACCATCCTGGCTAACACAGTGAAACCCCATCTCTATTAAAAATACAAGAAATTAGATGGTAGTGGTGGGCTCCTGTAGTCCCAGCTACTCTGGAGGCTGAGGCAGGAGAATCACTTGAACCCGGAGGTTGCAGTAAGCCAAGATGGTGCCACTGCACTCCAGCCTGGGCAACAGAGTGAGACTATTTAGTTTCCTGTGTGTCAGGCTCTGTGCTAAGTGATTTCTATGAACGATGTCATTTAATTCTTACAACCCTGGGTATTAGTGTCCCTATCTTATAGATGAGCAAACTAAGACTAAAGGTGGGTAAGTTATTGACCCAGGGTCACAAGGCAGAACTGGTTTTAAAACCTGCTTTTGATGACCATATGCTACATGACATCTCTGTGGGGCTCAGAATTCTGAAAAGAAAGCTAACTCTATGAGGAGATTGAATCCCTACATTCATGCTAAGAAGCTAATCTCTTTATGTGTAAGAATAAGTGACGAAGCCGCTAGGTATCTTTCTCCTATGTTCTCTGCATTTATTTTCCTGTACTTTGTACTTCAGAATCTTATGGGGATCAAATATATAAATGAAACAGTGCCTCAAGGGTCTTGGAGGAATGCTAGGAAGGCCTTCCTGTCCCTTTAAGGCATATCAAAATAGTAAGAAAAACAATAAAGTGTGGTGAATGAGGTTATAGGCTCAATGTTGTAGTTTGGATATAGGTTTTTCTGAGTAAAAGACTACTTTTTTTTTTTTTAATTTCAACCAGGTATTTAATTGGTCTGGCAACTGCACAATATACAAATTTCTGAAAGGCATCTCCTGTTTGAAAGCTAGCATAGCTTCATCCCAGTAATTAATTCGGACAAATATATAGAACACCAAGAAGTCATAAATTATGCATGGAAGACTCCCAAACCAATTAACAACTAAACTCAGTCTATACAGCTTTCTATTTTTCAGGCTTCCATATGCACATTAAATAAATAAACAGCATGTCTACTATCAAAATAATTAAAAAATTCAAATGAATTCAAATAAATTTATTCAAATACATTTCAATGATATTTTCAAATGAAAACATTACTGATGTGGTTCAGAGTTTTTCTTCTCACCTAAAATAAAGAGCTTTGCCCATGGTCTCATGAGGACAGAATAAAGAGGGGAAAACCCATCCAGAAATAAATATGCAAATTAAAAAATACTGGTCATGGGTGTTTTTTTGGGGTATGGGGTGTTGGTGAGACTCAGTAGAAGCAAAAGCTCATGACTATAGTTCAATGCCTGCCCCCCACTCACACGCACACAATGCCCCCTCAAAAGGCAGGTCACAGGTTTGTAAATTAGGCAGCATTTTCCTTTCTCCAAGATCTCCTCTCCTTGACCAGATTTATGTTTTCTCTCTCCCCATCTAGACCCTTTCCAACGAAAGTTCTATGTTAGGCAAAGCCTTCTCTATTTATGTATTGAGTTTAGGTAGCCAGAAAGAAAAGGGAAACACAACTTCATGGAGCCCTTACCTGTAACAGACTTAAGAGTCAATGTTCAAAGGATAAGGCCAGAAAGGAGGACATGAGAAACCATTCTCAAGAGCAAAGGGGTAGGCCCCTCATGTAAAAGACGACCTTTTAAAAAGCAAGGAAATGCTAACCACAAATTTAGGATAGTGATAGTGATTACCTTAGGTAAGGGAAAGAGAGGGACAGGATAGGTGACATCATACCAGCAGATTTACCTAAGTTACTGTCAGTGTTTTTGGTCTCAAGTTGGATGGTGGGTTTTCAGGCGTTCGCTATAGTTTAGTAAATAAATAGATAACATAGAAGAAAGCCACTTGCGTACTTCAAGCATCAGGAAGAAAAGAAGAGAAGAGAAGAAAGGGAAAGGAAAGAAAGAAAGGCAAGGTCAAGAAAAGATAGGCTCTGGTGTCAGACAGATTTGAATTCTGCCATTACTGGTTAGTTATAATTTCTCTAAACCTCAGTTTGATTACTTATAAAATGGAAATTATATTAGGTTAAATCATATGAAATTACTGATCTTTGACCTTTTTAGATCTACAACCTACCTCTCTAGGGTTTCTGTGAGGACAAAATGAGGTAAGGTCCAGACCTAACAAACAAGAGTTCAGTAAACGTTGTCTATTATTCTTCTCTTCATCTCTTACAATTGCAAGTACTCTGGCAACATTTATTCACACGAACCTACTTCTCCTTTCTGTAATAAGTGCCCTCCTATCTCCATCAAAAGTGGCAAAGAATTGATATAACCAATTCAAATCAAAGTTAGTCTTTGGATTATACATAACTATTAATGAGTAATGGGAAGTTGCAAATTATATCTCATTTTATCATTCTTGTTTTGTTTTGTTGTTTTTGAGATGAAGCCTTGCTCTTTTGCCCAGGCTGGAGTGAAGTCGTACGATCTCGGCTAACTGCAATCTCCACCCTCTGGGTTCAAGCCATTCTCTTGCCTTAGCCTCCCGAGTAGCTGGGATTATAGGCGCCTGCCACCACGCCTGGTTAATTTATGTATTTTTGGTAGAGATGGGGTTTTGCCATGTTAGCCAGGCTGGTCTCAAACTCCTGACCTCAGGTGTTCCACCTGCCTCGGCCTCCCAAAGTGCTGGGATTACAGGAGTGAGCCACTGCACCTGGCCTTTATCAATTCTTATTAAAGCTAGAAAATTATTTAAAAATAAACCTCTACACACATAGGTTTGTAACTATACGTAATTATATATTCTTGTTCTTTCTTTAGCTGACTTCCCTACACCTAGTATATCTGACTTTGAAATTCCAACTTCTAATATTAGAAGGATAATTTGCTCAACCTCTGGAGGTTTTCCAGAGCCTCACCTCTCCTGGTTGGAAAATGGAGAAGAATTAAATGCCATCAACACAACAGTTTCCCAAGATCCTGAAACTGAGCTCTATGCTGTTAGCAGCAAACTGGATTTCAATATGACAACCAACCACAGCTTCATGTGTCTCATCAAGTATGGACATTTAAGAGTGAATCAGACCTTCAACTGGAATACAAGTAAGTGACATTGTTCTGGGGAGTTTCTACTATATCGAATCTAAAAAGACAATATAGTCGTGTCATTTAATGATGTGGATACATTTTGAGAAATGCATCATTAGGCAATTCTGTCATTGTCTGAACATCAGAGTGTATTTACATAAACCTAGATGGTACAGCCTACTGCACACCTAGGCTACATGGTACAGCCCAGTGCTCTGAGGCTACACACCTGTACAGCATGTTACCATACTGAACACATAGGCAGTTGTAACACAATAAGTATTTGTGTATCTAAGCGTATGTAAACATAGGAAAGGTACAGTAAAAATACGGTATTATAATTTTATGGGACTACCATCATATATGCAGAATGCCATTGAAAATGTTACATGGCACATTACTGTAACTCAGCCAGATACATTTTAGAATTGTCGTATTTATTTTGATAGTGTTTTATAGTGTTTTTAGATATACAAATGACATGTGCTATTATGACTTATTAAAGTCACTGTGAGACTGGGCACAGTGGCTCATGCCTGTAATCCCAGCACTTTGGGAGGCTGAAGTGGGAGGATCACTTGAGCCCAGGAGTTCAAGACCAGCTGGGAAGCATGAGACTCTGACTCTACAGAACATTTAAAAAATTAGCCAGGCTTGGTGACACACATGTGTAGTCCTAGGTACTTGGGAGGGTAAGGTGGGTGGCTTACTTGAGCCCAGGTGTTCAAAGTTGCAGTGAGCTATGATCATGCCACTAGACTCCAGCCTGGGCAACAGAGTGAGACCCTGTCTCTAAAAGAAATAAATAAAATAATTTAAAAAATAAATTTAAAAAATAAAGTCACTGTGCAAGGTGTGATAATGTTACTAATTTTCTTTTTATTTATTTATTTATTTTTTTGAGACAGTGTCTCGCCCTGTTGCCCAGGCTGGAGTGCAGTGGCACAATCTCAGCTCACTGCAACCTCCACCTTCCAGGTTCAAGCAATTCTTCTGCCTCAGCCTCCCGAATAGCTGGGATTACAGGCGCCAGCCACCACCCTCGGCTAATTTTTTCTATCTTTAGTGGAGATGGGGTTTCACCATGTTGGTCAGGCTGGTCTCGAACTCCTGACCTCGTGATCCGCCCGCCTCAGCCTCCCAAAGTGCTGGGATTACAGGTGTGAGCCACTGCACCCGGCCTTATTTTCTTGTAATAAATATTCTAAAATTTATATATACTAAAAACCATTATCCATCAAGCATTCATCTTAAAAAGTTTTTGTAACAATAGTATTATTGAAAGCATTAAAATTTGCCCTTTGGAACTGCCCTTAGGGATTTGGTGCTTTCTTTTAGGGCATGCCACCCACACGGTTCCATGGTGCCAAACAATTTTTTTTTGTGGGCGAATGTGCTTTTTAAGAACTACTGGTTCATTCTGAACCAAGTCTGGGAAAGGTGAGTGACAAACTCCTTGAAGACAACGCCTGAAAAGAGGTCATTTTGGAGCAAATATTTTACCCTACTGGTAGTAAACTCAGAGAATTCTCTTTCCCCAAGAGGTGAAATCATTTGAAAATATACAATGAAAACGATGGGTTTATATGAATATATACATCTTAGGCCTATAATGGCTTAAGATGGCTTACAAGGTGAACTGAGATGCTCAAAATATTAATACTTGTTTAAATTGTACGGCTGATCATACAGAGGACCACAGGTCTCTCTCCCTACCCCTAGCCCCACTCCCAAGGATAGGTTTTGTGACTGTATAGTAAGAAACAAAACACTGAGTTTGATAATACAGTTGCACATAAGTATATAGCACAATATATACTATATGGCATGTCTTAATTCTTCATGTCTTTACTTGTAGTTGCGAAGTGGATAATTTATTTTAGATGGTCTAGTAATTCATGCTAGTGTATGATTTACTCTAGATCTTTCAGTGTTACAGCAGATTTTTTTTTTTTTTTTTGAGACGGAGTCTCGCTCTGTCACCCAGGCTGGAGTGCAGTGGCGTGATCTTGGCTCACTGTAACCTCCGCCTCCCAGGTTGAAGCAATTCTCCTGTCTCAGCCTCCTGTGTAGCTGGGACTACAGGTGCCAGCCACCACACACAGATAATTTTTGTATTTTTAGTAGAGATGGAGTTTCACCACGTTGGTCAGGCTGGTCTTGAACTCTCGACCTTAGGTGATCTGCCCGCCTCAGCCTCCCAAAGTGTGGAGATTACAGGCATGAGCCACCATGCCCGGCTACAGCAGATTCTTTATTTTCCTCAATGAGACAAAATTTCCTGGGAAAATTAGTTCAAATATAAACCAAACTTTGACATGACTATTGATACTCCAAACTTACCAGTCTCAGTCATCTTTTATGTGTTGTAAAAATTTTATTAAAATGAGGCTTCAATCATATAGTTTATTAAGTCTCTATTTTTACTTTCTTGTTATAGCATTATTTAACCAATTTTACATTATTCTGATTGAAGGCAGAAAACAGTAGAGTACTGATTATTAAATCAGTAATACTAGCTTGGATTGCATTTTGATTTGGACATTATTTATATTGGAATATGGATATATGTGACATTCTAAGACAGGGGTTGGCAAATTTTTTTCTGAATAGAGCCAGATAGTAAATATTTTAAGCTTTGCAGTCACAGTCTCTGTTGCAACAACTCAATTCTGCTGGTTGTAGCACAAAAGCAGCCACAGACAAGACATAAATGAATGACATGGCTATGTTCCAACAAAATTTTTCTTTTTTTTTTCTTTTTCTTTTTTTTTTTTTTGAGACAGAGTTTCACTCTTGTTGCCCAGGCTGGAGTGCAATGGTGTGGTCTCGGCTCACTGCAACCTCTGCCTCCCAGGTTCAAACGATTCTCCTGCCTCAGCCTCCCAAGTAGCTGGGATTACAGGTGCCTGCCTCCACAACTGGCTAATTTATGTATTTTCTTAGTGGAGATGGGGTTTCACCATGTTGGTCAGGCTGGTCTCGAACTCCTGATCTCAGGTGATCCATCTGCCTCAGCCTCTCAAAGCGCTGTGATTACAGGTGTGAGCCACTACACCCAGCCACAAAATTTCATTTTTAAAAACAGGTGCAGGACAGGTTTGGCCCATGTGCTATAGTTTGCTAACTTAAGGTTTTTGTCTTTGTGGCTGGAGAGCTTTAGGGTATAAATGTCTCAAATCTCATTAATTGGACTGTGTGGGGATTCTTTAGAATAAGATTCAAAAGCAAATAATGCATTTATAGGAGGTCAAGGGCTGACTGCACTAACAAATATACATTAAGTGTATAGTACATAGAAATGTTACAGGTCAGGGTGAGTAAAGCTTTGAGGTGAAAATGTATTAGTCCCTTTTCATGCTGCTGATAAAGACATACCCGAGACTGGGCAACTTACAAAATAAAGAGGTTTAATTAGACTCACAGTTCCACGTGGCTGGGGAGGCCTCACAAATCATGGCAGAAGGCAAGGAGGAGCAAGTCATGTCTTATGTGGATGGCAGCAGCCAAAAAGAGAGCTTGTTATAAGGAAACTCCTGTTTTTAAACTATCAGATCTCGTGAGACTCATTAACTATCACAAGGACAGTGCAGGAAAGACTCGCCCCCATAATTCAGTCACCTCCCACTGGGTTCCTCCCATGACATGTGGCAACTGTGGGAGTTATAATTCAAGATGAGATTTGGGTGGGGACACAGCCAAACCATATCAGTAAATAACTGATTTGGAAAAAAAAAAAAAGCCCAAATGTATTAATTAAGCGGATTGCGCATATGATTCTTTTTAGTGTAGTCTCACCAAATTTGTTTTCCCTTGATAAACTGGAAGGAGATACATCTGAGAGAGTCATACTCATGGTATCTAATAAGCTACATGTGCAGATGCCCTCACACCGCTCTGTACCTTGGATTCTGGGTCTGCCCCTGTGGGATGTTACCAGGTTTCTAACAGGTGTCACAATAGACCTGGCTTGCTGCTACTGAGGCCTCCCTCTTTCCCTCACACACATACTCTCTCTAGGTTGAATGAGGCTTGTGGATGGGTGTGGAGTGGAAGCCAGGAATGAGCTGAAGCCTGTGAAACTTCTAGACTCCCAGGATAACAGCAATGGCTTGTTATTTTTTGTGTCATTCTAATCTGTAGAGGTCAACTCTGGTAATCACTTGATGTCTCCATTCAATCTGGTGTTTTAGAGAAAAAAGAAAAACCAACTATCCTGTCTTTAAGTGGTAGGTACACTATGATTAAATAGGTGTTTCAGAATGATTACTGTGACAGCAATGTGCAGGAGTTATTAGAGCCTAGGAAACCTGAGGCAAAGAGACCGGTTTGCAGGCTACTAGGTGGGAGATGAGAAAAATCTCAGCTAAGGCAGTTGCTGCAAGAGATTTGGGAAAAAGCAGTAAGTTCCAGAGATATTCTGAATATAGAACAGAAAATACATGGGAGCCTACTGGGAAGTGAGCACAAAGAAAATACCACACTCTTATTTGGGTAACTAAATGGTATTGTTATTCACTGAAATGGGAGAATACAGCTGGTAGATATGATTTGGAAAGCAGGTAGTAAATTCAGTTTTAATCAGGTGGAGATGCTGGCATCCATCCAATATACAAATTTAGAAATCAGATGGCACTTCTTTTTTTTTTTTTTCTTTGTCTTTTTCTGAGATAGATTCTCACTCTGTCACCCAGGCTGGAGTGCAATCTTGGCTCATTGCAACCTCTGTCTCCCTGGTTCAAGCAATTCTCTTGCTTCAGCCTCCTGAGTACCTGGGATTGGTACTCGCCACCGATAATTTTTTGTACTTTTAGTAGAGACAGGGTTTCACTATGTTGGCCAGGCTGGTCTCGAACTCCTGACCTCAGGTGATCTGCCCACCTTGGCCTCCCAAAGTGCCAGAATTACAGGTGTGAGCCACTGTGCCCAGCCTCAGATGGCATTTCAAATCTCAGGTGTGGAGGATATTACCCAGGAAGACTGGGGCCAGTAAGGGCAAAATGGGACCACAAACAGAACCATGGGAACAACAATAATTAGAGGACAAGAAGAGGAAGAAAAGCCTTCAGAGAAAACGGAGTGCAACAAACAGAAACAGAAGGATGTGGTGTCACAGAAGTCCAAGAAGGAGAAGATTCCAACTGGCTAAATGCTGATGAGAAGTCCAATAAGCAAAAGAATAAAACTAGGCCAGGCGCAGTGGCTCATGCCTGTAATCCCAGCACTGTGGGAGGCCAAGACAGGAGAATCACCTGAGGTCAGGAGTTCGAGACCAGTCTGGCCAACATGGGGAAACCCCATCTCTACTGAAAATACAAAAATTAGCTGGGTGTGGTGGCACGCCCCTGTAATCCCAGCTACTCGGGAGGCTGAGGCAGGAGAATTCCTTGAACTCGGGAGGCAGAGATTGCAGTGAGCTGAGATCACATCACTGCACTCCAGCCTGGCCTGGGAAACACAGTGAAAGTCCGTCTTAAATAAATAAATAAATAAATAAATAAAACTTACCACTGGGTTTGGTAATCAGAAAAGTAAAAACAGGGATCTTGGACTCCCTGGACCCTCTCTCCAGCCCAGCCTTGCTAGCTCCGCCTGTGGTGCATGCTCCTGCCTCCGACTCAATGGTTTGCAGGAAAAATTTAGATAGCACAACAGTGGCAATTCACAATGAAGAGATCTACTGCAAATCCTACTATGGAAAGAAATATGGGACAAAAGGCTATGGTTATGGCCAGGGTGCTGGCACGCTTAACATGGCGAGAGGCTGGGCATCAAGCCAGAGAGTGTTCAGCCTCACAGGCCTACAAGAAATCCAAATGCTTCTAAATTTGCTCAGAAATATGGAGGTGCTGAGAAATGTTCCAGATGTGGGGATTCTGTATATGCTGCCGAGAAGATAATTGGAGCTGGAAAGCCCTGGCACAAAAACTGTTTCTGATGTGCAAAGTGTGGGAAGAGTCTTGAATCAACAACTCTGACTGAAAAAGAAGGTGAAATCTATTGTAATGGTGCTATGCAAAGAACTTTGGGCCCAAGGGATTTGGCTATGGCCAAGGAGCAGGGGCTCTTGTTCATGCCCAGTAAGGTGTAAACCCAGAACTAAGCATCACACATTGAGAATCTCTTCATAATCTAGGCACAGATAATC
Source organism: Homo sapiens (assembly GCF_000001405.40). NCBI lineage: Eukaryota > Metazoa > Chordata > Mammalia > Primates > Hominidae > Homo > Homo sapiens. The sequence continues at coordinate 119,531,003 of NC_000003.12, read as the reverse complement.
TTTAACACTAAACTACTGTGAAATTCTACCAGCATTGAGTACTGTATATTACCCTGTACTTGGATAGGCTGGCTAACTCATAGTGAGAGAGCACTGTGTCGTATCCTTTTGCTTTATTCACTAGCATTTTGGGGGAACATTTCTTTTATGTTTTAAATAAAACTTCAGCATGAAGAAAAAAAGTAAAAACAATAAGTTAGTAAATATTCATTTATTTGTAAGCCATTTCAGAGAAACCAGAAAATGAGCTGCTATAATTTGTGTCCCTGCCGTTTTTCCAGATGTTGCTAATGATTCCTCAAAGCAGCTGAAGAATAAATACTGCAGCTGCTGCTCCTGATCTGGAGGGATGGACCCGCAGCACCATATCCACCAACACCTTTCTCCTCCCCACCCTCATTTCCTTGTGTACTTCTTGTGCTCTCTGTGGGACTGAAACTACAGCTGATAACCTTCAGTGCTCTCTTCTAGGATGGTCCCACCTAATACCAAGCCATATCCACACTTAGTTCTTTGCCAGACTTGTTCTGTGTTTCCAGTAGCTAGAGGGTGAAAAACCTGTATCCGAAAGTGAATGCAAAGTGGCTCCTGTAGCTTTAGGGCAGCTACTGTGAGGTAAGGGTGTGTGTGATGTGTATGTGTTGAGAGAGAATATGGTAGGAGAAAGGGAGAAGGCACGACAGAGCTAGAGAAGGAAAAATAAAGTATACCTAGAACACAACATCAACCAGTTAGTAGTAACACATAGTTATAATCAGCTATAAAAGTGAGATACTGCAAGATGGCTTGTAAAAGATTTCCTTAGAATCTTCCTTATGTCAACTTAACTCAGTAAATGCAGACATTCAAAGTATCTTTTTCACTTTTAATATGTGACATCTGACTATTAGTTGCCCACAAGTATGTGCCTGATTGAAGAATTATGCAAGAAAAATGCTAGCAGCTGCATACTGGAGAGCTGACCAGGCAAAGAATACTCCACAGTTGCATCAATAGAAAAGGCACAGAATGAGTATCAGGCAGTAGGAAATACATTACAGCTGACATTATTCTTTTCCCTCCATAGCCAAGCAAGAGCATTTTCCTGATAACCTGCTCCCATCCTGGGCCATTACCTTAATCTCAGTAAATGGAATTTTTGTGATATGCTGCCTGACCTACTGTAAGTACTATCATACCATCATCCTGATCTCAATTCTGGAAGATCAAACTTTATTACCATGGTTCGGCATCTCTCTGAGGTTTTAGCCTATTCGCTTCTCATGTTTACAGCAAGCCTATGGAAACATGAGCATCTCCTTTACTTGTCTCAACAAGTTCTGTTCATTCACTGGACATTTTCCGGACACCTCCTACGTGTGTGGCACTCTACTAGGCACTGGAATTACAATGACAAGAAGTCACTGCCCTCAAGACACATTCTAGTTTAGTCTGTTTATTTTTTCCCTGACTTTATATATTTTTGGAGACTGGGGTTTGCTAACTAATTTGAAAACGTTTCTGATGCTAAATGATATTCTAATTTTTTTTTAAGGGCTAGTCGATTTGGCAGGTGAGTTGTTACACACTCCTTAGTGAATTCCAACTTCCATGGCCACCATCCTGCTGATATTCTAATTTTGATTTGGAGTTAGAGAAAAGGCAAATTGACAAATTTTGGTGCCAAGAATCATTTTCTTGGAGGAGGGCAAGATGCACTAATACAGTTGAGAAACTACATGGCTACAGGTGATCTCACCAATTCTCAGTTCTTGGGCTGGGTGGGGTGGCTCATGCCTGTAATCCCAGCACTTTGGGAGGCCAAGGCAGGTGGATCACTTAAGGTCAGGAGTTCGAGACCGGCCTGGCCAACATGGTGAAACTCTGTCTCTACTAAAAATACAAAAATTAGCCAGGCATGGTGGCGTGCACCTGTAGTCCTAGCTACTCAGGAGGCTGAAGCAGGAGAATTGCTTGAACCCAGGAACCCAGGAGGCGGAGACTGCAGTGAGCCAAGATCATGCCATTGCACTCCAGCCTGGGTGACAGAGTGAGACTCCATCTCAAAACACAAACCAATTCTTAGTTCTTTTTTTTTTTTGAGATGGAGTCTCACTCTGCCACCCAGGCTGGAGTGTATGCCCCGATCTCAGCTCACTGCACCTCCGCCTCCCAGGTTCAAGCAATTATCCGGCCTCAGCCTCCTGAGTAGCTGGGACTACAGGTGCGTGCTGCCACGCCTGACTAATTTTTTTTTGTATTTTTAGTAGAGACGGGGTTTCACCATGTTGGCCAGGATGGTCTTGATCTCCTGACCTCGTGATCCGCCTGCCTTGGCTTCCCAAAGTGCTGGGACTTCTTGTCTTTGGAATTCCAGTGCCTAGTAGAGTGCCACACACATAGGTGTCTGGAAAATGTCCATTTTCTCAGTTCTTTAGAATACATTTTTGGATGAAAGATCAGGAGTGGCTGATGAAAGAAGAGATTTCTAAGATATTTTACCCTATGAATTTACACTTTGGGTGTTAGACATATGCTGCCCTCAATCTCTATGATTAAATGAAGAGGAACTGCTAGTTCTATGGTCCGAAATAAGGCCATAATCACTATGAAGGGGTACCAACCCTTCTTTGAGTAGAAATCATGTACACTGATCAAATAAAATCGGAAGATCAACATCTGCTGATTTTCCCAGGCTTTAGCACCAAAAAAACCCAAAGCTCAGTGAATTCTTTAGAGAGTATGTGCTGTTAACAACTTATCCCAAGGGTAGGATAAAGAGGTCTGGTGGGCTCAAGGATGTTTCTAATACCAACTATCCAGTGTTACCCCTTTAATTCAGGGGCTCTCATCCTCAACATTATTGGCATTTTGGGCAAGATAATTCTTTGTTTTGGAGTGCTGTTCTGTGCACTGTAGGATGTTTAGCAGCTTCCTTAGCCTCTACTCACTACATGCCAGTAGCACCCCTTGCCCGTTGCGACAATCAAAAATATCCCCAAGCATTGCCAAATGTCCCCTTGGCAAAGAGGTAAAGAGGGAGCATTGTAAATCACCCCTGGTATAAGAACAACTGCTCCAGTTCTAAGCCAGTCTGAAGCCTTGCTAAAGTAAATATTAACATATGGGCACAATTCAAGGGAAACTTACTTATCATTTTTATTGTTTGTTCTTGTCTCCAAGGCTTTGCCCCAAGATGCAGAGAGAGAAGGAGGAATGAGAGATTGAGAAGGGAAAGTGTACGCCCTGTATAACAGTGTCCGCAGAAGCAAGGGGCTGAAAAGATCTGAAGGTAGCCTCCGTCATCTCTTCTGGGATACATGGATCGTGGGGATCATGAGGCATTCTTCCCTTAACAAATTTAAGCTGTTTTACCCACTACCTCACCTTCTTAAAAACCTCTTTCAGATTAAGCTGAACAGTTACAAGATGGCTGGCATCCCTCTCCTTTCTCCCCATATGCAATTTGCTTAATGTAACCTCTTCTTTTGCCATGTTTCCATTCTGCCATCTTGAATTGTCTTGTCAGCCAATTCATTATCTATTAAACACTAATTTGAGTTCATCTTGAATATTCCTGTGGTAACTTCTTATTCTGATCATTCATTTTTCCCTCTATCTCTCAGTATTGATGGACATGGGTTGGGGTCACTTTGTATTAACACGGTAACATTTTCATTGGTTTCTCTGCCTCTTACTAACAGACTCATCCTACTGACGAATCATGGAGCCAAATTTCACAAAGAATTACTCTGTCATGTCATTTTCCCACTCAAAAACTCAGAAGAGACCCCACTGCCTACAGAAAAAGCTTCAAAGCTTTTTAACTTTCCACATTCCAGCTGATCTCTTCAGTCTAAATACCCTTGAGTTCTGTCAATTGTTCCTCACATGGCATGGTTTCCAGTGCCTCACATGAATGGGGTAAACGGAACCCAAGACTTTAGATTTGGTCTTAATGACTCTACATACAATGAGATAATTATTATCTGGGGTCTGGAATGTCCATCCTGTTAAGAGAGCCTAACACAGCACTAGCTTTAGTGAGTCACAAATCCCCAGGTATTTTCATGCAAGAGAAACTTACATGGGACATTAGAATCCAAGAGACTGATATCAGGTCCCAGGTAGTTATAAGCCTCCCTAAACAGTTCAGCTTTGACTTGTGAAGGTTAGAGTAACACCAGTATAGGAATTAGTCTACAAAATTATCTTTAAAAATAAAGGAAAGCAAGAATTGTCCTGGGCAGGAGGGGGAAATATAAAGAAAAATGAAAAATAATACCTGACGCTTATACAACAGGTTGTTTTGCAAAAACACTATTTCATCTTAGTCTTATAAAAATCTCTATGAGCAAGATCTATTTCCATGTTATGGGAGAGAAACCAGAGGCTCCCAGAGGTTAAGAGATTTGCTTGAGGTACGGTCATACAGATGAAGAATAAAACCAAGATTCAAACTGGACATCAAGTTCAGGCTCCTTTCCCTACAACCTGGCAGCCTACACATATTTTCCCCCAAGGCAGTGTCTCAACTTCCTATCCTGTTTTTTCATTTCCACTGAATGCTTGCTCACTCCTCAGAATGTCTTTTCCAGGATGTTGCTCTGGCTCAGTTCTGTCATTATCTACAATTTTCTTGACTTTCTATCTAAAAAGTCTTCTGCTCAGTCTGCTGATACTTCAAAATGAAGCCGTGTACCCAATCTTCTACACAAGGCCTTCTGTGGTCATCTTGTCTAGCTCAAGCAGTTCCACCTCTATAGCACATCTCATACCACCAGCATAGGTTGATTTTCATGTACCACATCTTCCTTCTATCCTTTACTGGACTGTATGTAGGTTTATTGAGAAAAGCAACCATGCCTGAGAGCCCCACACATAGAAGAGTGGCTTGATCAAGCATTTGGTCGTTTGGTAATAGCTGGTAATAACTAAACATTTGCCTGATCGATATTTCATGTGACAAAAATTGCCAGAGTAGTTTTAAGTTCTCTCATAATTCAGCTTTCCCTTCATATTCTTCAGCTATCAAGGTTACTGTGTACAAGCTGGGAATACCCTTGATCTTGAGATTAAAATGTAAATTAAGAGATTAAAATTAAGATCTTATATTTAAAATATATATATATACATATATAATTAAATTATATATACATATATACATATATAATTTAAAAATTATATATGTATAATTTAATATATAAATAAATTTAAGATGTTTTCCTCCTTTGCCAATATAGGGTTTGATGTAATCATTTCTTTGTTTTCTCAGGTCCCACCTCCATTTGCAATTGACCTCTTCTGGGAACTTCCTCAGATGGACAAGATTACCCCACCTTGCCCTTTACGTATCTGCTCTTAGGTGCTTCTTCACTTCAGTTGCTTTGCAGGAAGTGTCTAGAGGAATATGGTGGGCACAGAAGTAGCTCTGGTGACCTTGATCAAGGTGTTTTGAAATGCAGAATTCTTGAGTTCTGGAAGGGACTTTAGAGAATACCAGTGTTATTAATGACAAAGGCACTGAGGCCCAGGGAGGTGACCCGAATTATAAAGGCCAGCGCCAGAACCCAGATTTCCTAACTCTGGTGCTCTTTCCCTTTATCAGTTTGACTGTGGCCTGTTAACTGGTATATACATATATATGTCAGGCAAAGTGCTGCTGGAAGTAGAATTTGTCCAATAACAGGTCAACTTCAGAGACTATCTGATTTCCTAATGTCAGAGTAGAAGATTTTATGCTGCTGTTTACAAAAGCCCAATGTAATGCATAGGAAGTATGGCATGAACATCTTTAGGAGACTAATGGAAATATTATTGGTGTTTACCCAGTATTCCATTTTTTTCATTGTGTTCTCTATTGCTGCTCTCTCACTCCCCCATGAGGTACAGCAGAAAGGAGAACTATCCAAAACTAATTTCCTCTGACATGTAAGACGAATGATTTAGGTACGTCAAAGCAGTAGTCAAGGAGGAAAGGGATAGTCCAAAGACTTAACTGGTTCATATTGGACTGATAATCTCTTTAAATGGCTTTATGCTAGTTTGACCTCATTTGTAAAATATTTATGAGAAAGTTCTCATTTAAAATGAGATCGTTGTTTACAGTGTATGTACTAAGCAGTAAGCTATCTTCAAATGTCTAAGGTAGTAACTTTCCATAGGGCCTCCTTAGATCCCTAAGATGGCTTTTTCTCCTTGGTATTTCTGGGTCTTTCTGACATCAGCAGAGAACTGGAAAGACATAGCCAACTGCTGTTCATGTTACTCATGACTCCTTTCTCTAAAACTGCCTTCCACAATTCACTAGACCAGAAGTGGACGCAACTTAAGCTGGGATAATCACATTATCATCTGAAAATCTGGAGTTGAACAGCAAAAGAAGACAACATTTCTCAAATGCACATCTCATGGCAGCTAAGCCACATGGCTGGGATTTAAAGCCTTTAGAGCCAGCCCATGGCTTTAGCTACCTCACTATGCTGCTTCACAAACCTTGCTCCTGTGTAAAACTATATTCTCAGTGTAGGGCAGAGAGGTCTAACACCAACATAAGGTACTAGCAGTGTTTCCCGTATTGACAGGAATACTTAACTCAATAATTCTTTTCTTTTCCATTTAGTAACAGTTGTGATGACTATGTTTCTATTCTAAGTAATTCCTGTATTCTACAGCAGATACTTTGTCAGCAATACTAAGGGAAGAAACAAAGTTGAACCGTTTCTTTAATAATGCTGATCTACTTTTTGTTGAATTTGTATTTTATTTCAAGTGTCAAAGAAATCATCTTTGTTTATTTAGATGAAACCAAACACTACACATTTACACTCACACTGCTTCCAGGACCCAAGGGTTTCACAGACCATTTGCCTACCTGGTTCTTTCCTCTCCTCTTTCCAGTGATTTCTAGAATACCCTTTCAAAGGACCACATGAATATACGAACTGTAAAATTCAACTTTAATCTTTTGCGAAATGTTTTATTTACTGCTTAAAATCTAGGTGGGTGGATATATTCATGTATGCATATATTGATAGATTAATACAAACATAAGTATGTATTTAAATTTAAGGATAAGTAAAGTGAGAGTACAACAGCCCCATTCTTAGTTAAAAAGAAAAGAAAAAGACAAGAGCAAGCCACTGCCACCACAGGTACCAGCACTTAAATTTGTCAGCAGGCTGACCAAAGAGTGGCCTGTCTGTTGGCATTCATCGGACATGGCAGCTCCCTTCAGCTCTCCAGTGAGTTTCAAGTTCAGAGCACTTTCAGTCCTTGTCTTGTTTATCTATTACTGAAGGGTTTCTAGGAAGGTTTAGCAGTGCTTCAATTTTCTTAGCATCATTCTCAGGTTCATCTTCCTGTAAACTACTTTCAATTTTCTCAGGGAGGTGCTCAGTAACTTGTAGTCTGCCTTTCCTGTAATCAGATAAAAAGGATAAATCAAATACTGCTCCATTTCTTTAGTTCTTACAGATTTAAAACAAAAAGGATAGCATTTGTCTTTTCCTCCCTGCTTTGGTATAGCAATTTAGAAGCAAATACTGCTCCCTGAACTTCAAATACAGTAACTTTCTTCTCTCTCCTAACCTCACAAGCCAATTATGATTTCCACATTACCATAATGGATACCGTTGTGGTGACAGCTCTGATCCATAAGATATTCCTAGTATGCTGGGTCCTAGAGTTCTCACAGGAGTGATGTGTGGGAACTGACACACTTTGTGCTAAGGTGTGAAGGCTTGAAGTCTCGCTGTCCTCTTGCTCCCAGGGCTGGGGGAATGTAAGTACCCTGCCACTCTTAAACTCTGTGACCAGACCTTTTAGGAACTGGTCAAAGGCTATAACAATGGTAATCCAAGGTAGAGAAAAGTCAGATAGAACAAAACTATAGATTTATATTTATGAAGAGTTAAAAACTAATTTCCAAATAATAGATCAGTTCTGTTTCTAAATCAAGTATTAGTGTCTTCCTTAAGTGATTATCGGGATTAAAGTTTCTTCTCAACTCTTCACAGATTTGGTCATTTGTTCTTCTATATCTCTATAGTCAGTTTTCTACATTTTCTGCTCATTGAGGCAATTTTTTTGACTCTCAATTTGTTTGATTTTCCTGTATTATTTTCAAGCGAAGAAGTAGGCACATACAAGACACTTAAACGTTTATTAACTCTCCTTAGAAATATCTCACACACACACACACACACACACACACACACAAACACCCATACGTGTATATGCTATACAATTTTGACACTTTCATTCTGCCAAAGTATTCTTTCATTACTATGATTCAAGTTGTTTTTATCCATCTGTCTTAAAATTGATACTAATAATTGTACATATTTATGAAGTACAAAGTGATATTTTTGTACATATACAATGTGTAATGATCAAATCAGGGTAATTAGCATATGCATCACCTCAAACATTTATCATTTCATACTGCTGGGACCATTCAAATATCCTCTCTTCCAGCTACTTGAAAATATACAATAAATTATTAACTATAGTCATCCTACAGTGCCACAGAACACTAGAATTTATGCCTCCGATCTAGTTATAATTTTGTATTCATTAATCAATCCCTTAAATCTCCTCTTCTTATGCCTTTCCCTGTCCCCTCCTCAGCCTCCAGTAACCATAATTCTACTCTTTACTTCTATGAGCCCATTTTTTAGCTCCCACATGAGCAACAGAACATGCAGTATTTATCTTTCTGTGTATGACTTATTTTACATAACAATGTCCTCCAGGCTCATCCATGTTCCCACAAATGACAGGATTACATTCTTTATTATGGCTGAATAGTATTCTATGGTGGATATATACCACATTTTCTTTATCCATCCATCTGTTGATGGACACTGACGTTGATTCCATACCTTGGCTATTAATAGTGCTACAATAAGCATGGGGGCGCAGATAACTCTTTGATATGCTGGTTTCTTTTCCTTTGGATAAATACCTAGTAGGGAAGATTGCTGGATCTTACAGTAGTTCTATTTTTAGTTTTCTGAGGAACTTCCATACTGTTTCTATAAAGGCTGTAATAATTTGCATTCCTACCAAAAGTATATGAGTTCCCTTTTCTTTCTACATCCTTGCCAAAATTTATTTTTTGTCTTTCTGATAATAGACATTCTAATTGGGATAAATATCACTCCAATTTCCCAAACTGTCCCCAAACCACATTTCATTGTGGTTTTGATTTGCATTTCCCTGATTAGTTATGTTGAATACTTTTTCATATACTTGTTAGCACTTGTAGGTATTTTTTGAGAAATACAAGTTTCCCCCCAAGCTCCCCCGCCCACTTTTTTTTTTTTAAAGAGACAGGGACTCACTTTGTTGCCCAGGCTGGAGTGCAGTAGCACAATCATGGCTCACTGCTGCCTTGAATTACTGGGCTCAAGGGATCCTTCAGCCTCAGTCTCCCAAGTAACTGGGGCTATAGGCATGCACTACTGTGCCTAATTTTCTTTTGTCTCATGCTGTCACTCAGGCTGGAGTGCAGTGGCACCATCTTGGTTCATTGCAACCTCCACCTCCCAGGCTCAAACAATCCTCCTGCCTCAGCCTCCCACGCAGTTGGGATTACAGGTGTGCACCATGACAATTTTTGTATTTTTAGTAGAAATGGGGTTTCACCATGTCGGTCAGGCTGGTCTCGAACTCCTGACCTCAAGTGATCCGCCTGCCTCGGCCTCCCAAAGTCCTGGAATTACAAGTGTGAGCCACCGTGCCTGGCCTCCAATGCCCTTTATTTCTTTTTCTTGCCTAACTGCTCTGGCTAGGATTTCTAATACTATGTTGAACAAGACTGGTAAGAGTGGGCATTCCTATTTCATTCCAGTTCTTTGAGGGAAAAGCTTTTCACTTTTCCCTGTTCAGTATGATATTAGCTGTGAGTTTGACATATATGGCCTTTACTGTACTGAGAAATAGTCCTTCTACCCCTAACTTTTTGGGAGGTGTTACCATGAAGGGGTGTTCAATTTTACCAAATGCTTTTTCTCATTTACTGAGATGATCATATGGTTTTTTTCCTTCCTTCTGTTTATATGATGTAACACATTTATTGATTTGTGTATGCTGCACCATCCTTGCATCCCTAGGATAAATCCCACTTGTTCATGATGTATAATCTTTTTGATGTACTCTTGGATTTGGTTTGCTGGTATTTTGTTAAGGATTGTTTTGTAGAATACATTGGCCTGTAGGTTTTGTTGTTGTTGTTGTTTAATGAGCCTTTGTCTGTTTGTTGTTGTATAAGGGTAATGCTAGCCTTGTAGAATGAGTTTGGAAGAACTCTCTCATCTTCAATATTTCGGAACAGTTTGAGAATTGGTCTTAATTCTTCTTTAACTGTTTGGCAGAATTTAGCAATGAAGCCATGTGGTCCTGGACATTTCTTTGTTGGGAGACTTTTTATTACCAGTTCAATCTTGTTACTTGTTATTGGTCTGTTCAAGTTTTCTATTACTTCTTGGCTCAATCTCGATAGATTATAGGGGCTCAGGAATGTATCCATTTCCTGTAGCTTTTCCAATTTCTTGGCATACAGTTGTTTCATAATAATCTCTAATGATATGACTATGTCCGTGGTATCAGTTGTAATGTCTCCTTTTTTGTTTTTTACCTTAATTGGGTCTTTTTTCTAACTTGTGGTTTCTTGATTTTGTTTTCAAGAAACCAACTTTTCATTTAGTTCTTCTTTTGTGTTTTTTTGTTTGTTTTTAAGTCTCTATTTCACTTAGCTCTGCTCTGATCTTTTTATTTATTTCCTTCTGATTTTGGGTTTAGTTTGTTCTTGCTTTTCGAGTTCCCTGAGGTGCAGTGTTAGGTTGTTTATTTGAAACATTTCTACTTTTTGATGGAGGCATTTATTGCTATAAACTTCCCTGTTAGTGATGCTTTTGCTGTATCCCATAGGTTTTGGTATGTTGTGTTTCTGTTTTCATTTGTTTCAAGAAATTTTTAAATTTCCTTCTTAATTTTTTCATTGACCTATTGGTTGTTCCAGAGCATATTATTTAATTTCTGTGTATTTGCACAGTTTCCAAAGTCCTTCCTGTTACTGATTTCTAGTTTTATTCTGCTGTGGTCTGAAAAAATATTTGATGTTATTTTGATCTTTAAAAATTTGTTGAGACTTGTTTTGTAGCCTAACATATGGTTTATCCTGAAGAACACTTCAAGATAAGAAAAACGTGTATTTTGCAGCTGTTGGATGTGATGTTCTGTAAATGTCTGCTAGATCCATTTGATCTACAGTACAGTTTAAGTCTGATATTTCTTTGTTGATTTTCTGTCTAGATGATCTGTCCAGTGCTGGGAGTGTGGTGTTGAAGTCCCCAGCTATTATTACATTAGGGTTTATCTCTCCCTTTAGCTCTAATATTATTTGTTTAGATATATATATATATGGATGCTCTGGTGTTGGGTGCATATATATTTACAGTTGTTATTTCCTCTTGCTGAATTGATCTCTTTACCATTATATAATGACCTTGTCTCTTTTTATAGTTTTTTATTTAAAGCCTATTTTATCTAGCATAAGTATAGCTATTCCTGCTCATTTATGGTTTCCATTTGCATGAACATCCTTTTCTATCCCTTTACTTTCAGCCTATCTGTATCTTTACAGGTGAAGTGAGTTTCTTGTAGTCAGTATATATAGTTGAGTCTTTAAACTTTTTTTTATTCATTCAGCCACTCTAAATCTTTAATTGGGGAATTTAAAGTGTTTATATTCAACATTGTTATTGATAGGTGTGGATTTACTCCTGTCATTTTGTTAACTGTTTCCTGGTTGTTTTGTATAATCTTTGTTCCCCTTTCTTCCCCTCTTATTTTCATGGTTGGTAGATTTTTGTAATTATAAGGTTTGATTCCTTTCTGTATCTGCTCTACCAGTGAGTTTTATTCTTTCACGTTTCCATAATGGTAGTTACCGTGCTTTTGCATTCAGATGTAGGAGTTCTTTAAGCATTTCTTATAAGGCAGTCTAGTGGTGATAAATTCCCTCAGTGTTTGCCTGTCTTGAGAAGACTATTTCTCCTTCATTTTGGAAAAATAGCTTTGCTAGGTATAATACTCTTGGCAGGAGTTTTTTGGGTTTTGTTTGTCTGTTTGTTTGTTTTTTCCTTTTAGCACTTGGAATGTATCATCCCATTCTCTCCTGACTTGTAAGGTTTCTGCTGGCAAATCTGCTGTTAAACTGATGGGGGGAGGTAAATGGTGGCAGTGGACCCTGGATGAGCCAGTCTTCAGGGGGTGCACGTGGCAGCTCAGCCACTAGAATTGGCAGGGTTGCCAGTGGTGGAAGACTCCAGGTGAATGACCTTAGAATGGCCATAGCCAGCCATTCTTAAGCTTTTCCATCTCAAAATCACTGATCTCTAAATCACTGACAAACTTCTGCAGTTTTTAATGTTTCATTTACTTTTTTAATTTTTTTTTTTTTTTGAGATGAAGTATTGCTCTGTGGCCCAGGCTGGAGTGCAGTGGCGCAATCTCAGCTCACTGCAACCTCAATGCTTTTCTTCTCATATAGCACTTAAGTCCTTGGATGATGGACCTACAGCTCTTAAGAATTTCCGTGTGTGTGTCTGTGTGTGTGTGGTTAGCAGAAATGGAGGTTTCAAATGAAAACACTGGAAAAAAATGATTTCTCATCTATCCAATTATAATACCAAAACAGCAACAGCAGCAGCAGCCAATGCTGTCTTAGGTACCCAGGAAGGTGAACTAGTGAAAATCATTTGTACTCAGGAGCACTAGATGGCAGCCTGTTATATTCATCTTACATATTGAATCTGTGCAAAGTCAGCTATCAGTCTGATTGCCCTATCCCACAAATTGCATCCCAGGAGATGATTAGATGCAATAGGTGAAAGTTTTCATGTTCCTCAGTGGCATTCAGTGCATGAACAACCATTGTCCACCTAATTCCTCTGCATCTACAGCAAGAAATAGAATTTTTGTGGAGACTTAACATGCTGTGTCTTACTTACATATGTATGCAAAAAAAAAAAAAAAAGTCACTTTTTTTCTTTTTTGAGACCGAGTCTTGCTCTGTGGCCCAGGCTGGAGCACAATCACGGCTCACTGTAACCTCCGCTACCCAGGTTCAAGTGATTCTCCTGCCTCAGCCTCCTTGAGTAGCTGGGACTACAGGCACGTGCCACCATGCCCAGCTAATTTTTGTACTTTTAGTAGAAATGGGGTTTTGCCATGTTGGCCAGGCTGGTCTCGAACTCCTGACCTCAGGTGATCCACCTGTCTTGGCCTCCCAAAGTGCTGGGATTACAGGCATGAGCCACCCTGCTAGGCTAAGGATGTCACTTTTTAAGTAAGCCAGGTAAAGCTCACTCCTTGGTGAATATTCCCTTTAGGTAATTTCCTATGCAGTTAAGAACACAGGAAAAGAAAAAACATGCAAGCAAGATTTACACCACTTTTAACTTAAAAAGATATCCAAAGAAAGATCTTCATTAAATTAAAACTAAAATCAATCTCTTTCATTTTTCCATTCTCCTTAAATAGATTAAAAGACAATGTACAGTATGAGTTGAAGGACTTGGTAAAAATAAACTCTTCTTTGAATTGAGTGGCAGTTTAGAGTACATAAGTTTAAAAGAGCACCACTATATAAGGCCTGGGGCAAGAGAGCCAAGATTCCCTGGGCTCAACATGTTCCTTACCACTCTTCCAGTTTTAGCTCATGGAGTGCCTTTCGATCCTTCTGTTTTCTTTCCTGAACAGTCTCACCAGAGTACTTCTGAAATGCCATCAGCAGGCCTCCTACAGGAGTGCTGAGAAGAAAGGAGAGGGAAAGCTTAGGAAAAACGAGTCATTAGACCTTGCAACATGTGAGATTCTCTGCTAAGGTGTGAGCAACACCAGAGCCACTTGTTCACTATTAGGTACAGGAACATTTGAGAATTAAAGTGTCCTTGTCAAATAAAGAAAAACATTGAGGTAATCTCTTCCTTGGTCTGAACAACAGACAAAAACAATCACTACAACCTCCTAAAGTTAACTGATATATAATAAAACAACAGATCTAGAAACTGGCTGTTTTTATGAGGAATGAGAAATAAATCAAAACAAAGAGGAAAAATATATATATTTATGACAAGTTCTAGTAAGTAGCCCCACACCAAAGATTTCTCAAAAATGAAATTTCTAGTTCAGAATGGCACCAGCTCCTCTAGGAGACAGGAAATGTGGAGGGCATTTCTGGTTGAGGGAGGGATGCTACTGGCTTTTGGGGGTGGGACCACCAAAATATCCTGAAGTTCAAGAGTCTGGCGTAACTGTCTCACCCACAATGCCAATAGCAACCCATTGAGAAACTGATTTAGATAATAATTATTATAGTGATGAAGAGAGTTTGGTTCTTGTGTTCTCAGACTAGAAGTATTTGACCTTCATACACCTTAAATTTCCTCCAGCTACAATTTAAGTAACCTCATACTAATAACTATTTTTGCTAAGTGGAAGCAACATAAATGTTCACTGACAGATGGTTAAAGAAAATGTAACATACACATACAATGGAGTATTATGCAGCCTTAAAAAAGAGGGCAATCCGTTCAACAGGTTACAACATAGATAAACTTCAAGGACATTATTATGCTAAGTAAATAAGCTAGTCACAAAAGGACAAATAGTGTATGATTCCACTCATATGAAGTATCTAAAGTAGTCAAAATCTTAGAAACAGAAAGTAGAAATATATTTGCTGAGGGCTGGAGGGTATGGGGAGGGGAAATTAGTTTTTAATGCATATAGTTTCATTTCTCAAGATAAAAAAGTTCTAGAGATCTCATGCACAATGTGAATATACTTAGCATTTTTGAACTATACACTTAAAATATGATTAAGATGGTGAATGTTATGCTATGTGTTTATTACCACAATAAAAAATATTTTTGTTGCTAACTCCTACAACTTTTCCCTTCAAACCAAACTGGTATATTAACACTACAACAAAAGCAATGGCAGCAGTAGATTATGACATGCTGATTTTATTTAATTCAAATTTTTAAAAAAATCATTAAATCTATAGCATTACCTTCTCCTTCAAAGGAGGTAGACAAAGGGGTGAACAGGTGGAGGACGAAGGTAGCACTCTTCTAGTCAGACAAATACCAACTAATAAAAACAGAAGAACTGACAGAACTAGCTTATCAACATTTACAACCACCTTTCTAGTAACCAACCGATTACAGCATGGGTCGTCAATGGATCATTAAAAACACATGATGAAAAGATAGCTGGAGAGCAGAATATTCAGTTTCACCCTCCAGATTACTAATTAATCACATTGGGAAAAAGATATCTTTGCAATGGAGACACTGAACAGATAACACCTTAACCAAGTGTGGTAGGCAGAATTCTAAAGTGGTCCCCCCAAATATCCTGCCTAATCCCTCAACTGTGAATATATTATGCCCATGATTATATTATCTTACATGGCAAAATTGATTTCAGAAATGTAATTAAGGTTACTAATTAGTTGAATCTGAGATAATGAAAAAGGAGATGGCTATCTGAGTGAACACTCAAAAGCAGAGTTTTCCCTGGCTGGTGGCAGAGTAGAAGTTAAAGATTTGAAGTATGAGAAGGGGTTAATGTGCTGTAGCTGGTTTAAACACAAAGGGGCCCTAGGAGAAGAAATGTGGGTGGCCTCCAGGAACAGAGAATAGTCTGGCTGACAGCCTGCAAGGAAAACAGGGACCTCAGACCTCAAGGCACAAGGAAGTAAATTCTTTTTTAGTTTTTCCTCTTTTTTTTTTTTTTTTTGAGATGGAGTCTTACTCTGTTGCCCAGGCTGGAGTGCAATGGTGCGATCTTGGCTCACTGCAACCTCTGCCTCTGCCTAGGTGAAGGGTATATGGGGTTCAAGCAATCCTCCTGCCTCAGCCTCCCGAGTATCTGTGATTACAGGCGCTTGCCACCACACCTGGCTAATTTTTGTATTTTTAGTAGAGACAGCATTTCACCATGTTGGCCAGGCTGGTCTCAAACTCCTGATCACAAGTGATCTACCTGCCTCGGCCTCCCAAACTGCTGGTTTTACAGGTGTGAGCCACTGTGCCTGGCCACAAGGAACTAAATTCTGTCAACAACCTGAATGAGCTTGGAAACAGATTCTTCCCCAGAGCCTCCAGGTAAGAGCCTAGCCCGGCCAAGACCTTGACTTTGGCCTTGTAAAATCTTGAGCAGGGAAACCCAGCCAGATTTATAATCTACAGAACTACAAGGGTGTTGTTTCACATGCAATACATGCTCAGTTTGTGGTAATTTGTTGCACAGCAGAAAACCAATATATCAAGTAATTAAAGTTAATATTACTTATAATGGGTGACAGAATATCTCCTGATGTGATACATGAGGATACAACTTCACCTATGTTGTATTCCTGACAAAAATACATTAATCTAATCATGATGGGATGATCAAACAAAATGGAGAAACATGTGGGCATTAGTATGATAACTGAGGAGTTTTTAATATAGACCCTAACTTAGATAGTTGTGTTGAAACAATGTTTACTGTGATAATTGTATTATGATTTCATGGAAGAGTATTCTTCATCCTGGGAGATACATGCTGATATATATGGGGGTGAAGTATCATGAGGTCTCAAACAGTTTAGCCAAGAAGCAAACGGAAAGAAAAAGAAATATATTCACATCCCACACATATACATAGATATGGAAAATATCACCAAGGCGTTAACAACTGGTGAATCTAGGTGAAGGGTATATGGGGTTTCAATGTACTAATTCATTCAACTTTTCTGTAGGTTTGAAATTGTTCAAAGTAAAAAATTGAGGAAGAACATTTTTTAAAAATGTATTAAGCAAAACAAACAAAATCCTAACAATTTTTACAGAATATGCTTGTTAACTGTTTTTTGTTCTTTTTTCCCTGCTCCCATAAATACCTGTGTTCGAACTATAGTTTCAGGTGTTAGCAATATTTAAACAGTTTTAGCTGGTAAAAAGGCATTTTGAATAAGGGCCCTATCTTAGATAGTTGTATTGAGTCAATGTTATTTATTGTAATAACTACTAAGTAAAAGAAACTATAAATAAAAACTGTAAATAAGATAAACTATTGGGGTAGAATTAGAATGGACAGTCAAAGCTACTGCCAATGCAAGACTAGAGATCTTTTATAGATTCTAAGGATTAAATTTGTTCTTTGAAAATAAATGAGACTTTTTAATAGGCAAGGTATTAATGAAAATTGTGCCAATTTAGAACCAAACCATGTTAATGCTTACCCCAGCAAGGCTCCAATTATGCCACCAGCCACCAGGCCACGCAGGCCTACGTTTATCCTAAAAAGACTTCCCGTGACAGCTATTTAAAAACAAGAAAGGCAATATTAAATCATCTTTAAAACTAGAATCCTATTTTAAAACTTTCCTTCTACAAAAAGGAAATCCCTAAGTGAGCTTTCTGAATCCAATGTTAATATACTACTACAGCCTATACTTCCTGAATCTAAAATGCCAACACAGGTAGCTTCCCATCCACTCTGCAGATTCAAAGGAAGACACATCCCTTCTACAAAAGTAAATCTTCAATATGTTCTATGGATCCATTCATTCTGCTTCATTTTTGCCCATCTCTCCTTAAAAATCTGAAAATGTTTTTCCCCTTCTCTTTCTTTCTTCTTTCTTCAAGGAAAATAAAAAAGCAAAAAACCTTCACTAGCCCCTCCAGTTTATGCCTTCCCCTAGACTCACTCTCTCTGTACTGCTACATGGCACCACTCAGGCAGGGTGACAAGCAAGCAGCATTTGGCCTACAATGCTACCTGGTGACCAGTGCACAGAAAGACTTCTTTCCTTTCTGCTGGGACTGTGCATCAATCATGCTCATTCATTTTCCTTTCACTATGCACAATGCAACTAATGCCATCTAAGGTGGTAACACTTTTTAAATAATAACATTTGAAGCCAGGTGCAATGGCTCACACCTGTAATCCCAACACTTTGGGAGGCCAAGGCAGGCGGATCACTTGAGGTCAGGAGTTCTAAGTCAGCCTGGACAACATGGCAAAACCCTGCCTCTACTAAAGATACAAAAATTAGCTGGGTATTGTGGTGCACGCCTGTAATCCCAGCTACTCAGGAGGCGGAGGCACAAGAATTGTTTGAACCCCAGAGGCGGAGGCTGCAGTGAGCAGATATCACACTCCTGCACTCTAGCCTCAGCGGAAGAATGAGACTGTCTCAAAAAACAAAATAAATAACAGTTGAGGTTTATATTTTTAAGTACTATATATTCATTTTTAAAATTTTCAAAATTAACAAGAATCAAAATCACCTTTAATCCCATTACCCAGAGTCAGTAATAAGTTAGTCTTTTTTTCTGATCCTCCAAACAAAATAAAACAAAAAACAAAAACAACAACTGGGGCCGGGCACGGTGGCTCACACCTGTAATCCCAGCACTTTAGGAGGCCGAGACGGGTGGATCACGAAAGTCAGGAATTCAAGACCAGCCTGGCCAAGATGCTGAAACCCCGTCTCTACTAAAAATACAAAAATTAGCCGGGCATGGCGGCACACACCTGTAATCCTAGCTACTCAGGAGGCTGAGGCAGGAGAATCACTTGAACCCAGGCGGCAGAGGTTGCAGTGAGCCGAGATCGCGTCACTGCACTCTTGCCTGGACAAAAGAGCAAGACTCTGTCTAAAAAAACAAAATAAAACAAAAACACAAAAACTGGGGCCATGGTGTACATACTAAATTTTTTATTTTCACAGAACATATTATTAAATTCTGTATCACTGAGTTTTCTCCCACCTAGTTCCATTGCATGGAGGTACCACAAATTTTTGTCTAACACTTAGATTTTCTATTTATAGATATTTTAAATAAAGGTATGATGATAATCCCTCCACAAATAATCTTTTTATACATTTGATTGTTTCCTTAGGACAAACTCACAGAAATGAAATTTCTGGGCCAAAAGGTATAAGTATAAACATTTTTAAGGCTTTTGACTTAAATTACTAAACTGCTATTCAAAAAGGATGCATAAACTTATTTTCCAAATAAAAGTATGCAAGTAATCTAGTCTTCTGCATTCTCTTAGTTTATTTTTTCCAATTTGATAGGCCAGAAGTGGTATGTAATTTTTAAGTTGCATTTCTCTGATTAGTAGAAAAAAGTTGTTTTTCCCTAGGTTTACAAGTTATTTGTGGTACGTCTGTGAATTACAAATTCATGTCCTTTGTCCAGTCTTCAACTGAGCTATCCTTTCTTTTTGATATATTAGGGCTTTTATCCATTACCTGCACATACTATTATTTTGGCATTGTTTACATTTAATGTCTTCCATAGTATTTATGACATAGATAGGTTTAAAAATTTTATGTGGCCAAAACTGTGTTTCCTGTTTCCTAGTTTCTTAGTTCTTATGCTTAAAAATACATACAGTTGATAAACATGAGTTTGAACTGTGCAGATTTACTTACGCACAAATTTTTTTTTCTTTTTTCTTTTTTTTTTTAAGATGGAGTCTCACTCTGCTGCCCAGGCTGCAGTGCAATGGCATGATCTTGGCTCACTGCAACCTCTGCCTCCCGGGTTCAAGCTATTCTCCCCCACCTCAGTCTCCCAAGTAGCTGGGACTACAGGTGCATGCCACCACAACTATTTTTTTTATTTTTTAGTAGAGACAGGGTTTCACCATGTTGGCCAGGCTGGTCTCGAACTCCTGATCTCAAGTGATCCACCCGCCTCAGCTTCCCAAAGTGCTGGGATTACAGGCATGAGCCACCATGCCAGGCCACATGAATTTTTTTCAATAAATATATTGAAAAATGTTTTGGAAATGTGCAATAATTTGAAAAAACTCGCAGATAAACTGTCTAGCCTAGAAATATCAAAAAAAATTAAGAAAAATGTATGTCTTTAAGTGCATAAAATATATGTAGACACCAATCTATTTATGTGTGAAGCAACTGTTTATGTTATTGGTAAGGCCTCTGGATAACAGCAGGCCATTAGTAGTTAAGTTTTGGGGGAGTCAAAAGTTATATGTGGATTTTTCAACTGCACAGGGCAGATGTCAGCATTGCTATTGTGTTCAAAGCTGTTTTCAGTGTTGTCCAAAGGTCAACTTGTATATGTACACATTTATATATCTTCCTACTCAGAAATCAGAGACACATTTACTTCTATATTTTCCCCAATCTTTTATGGATTTTTTTACATAAGCACCATAATAAATGTTAACTAATTTTGTTGTACTGAATATAGTTATAATTTCTTTCCAAATAGTTAATAACTGTTCCAGCCCAAGAATGGTCTATTCTTAAACCACGAATGTGAAGTATCACCTTTACTTATTTGTGGGTGCTTGGTTTTGTTCCTGACCTTGCAATTCCATTCCACAGATCTACCAATACCTCTTTATTGTCCTCTTTATTGTAACTTTATACAGATTTTAATTTTACAGTTGCAAGAACCCCTCATTATTTTTTGCTGAAATGTCTTTGCTATGCTCTTAATAATCAGCATTTTAGATATGATTTAGACATTGTATCAAGTTTTTTTAAAAAAGCCTGTAATTTTGATTTGAATTGCTTTCAATTTATAAATGAAGTAGAAAAATACTGGGTTAACTATCAACTGTTTCCCCATTTTTATTATTTATGATTTGTAATTTTCTTCAGAGAAGTTGTACATTTATTAAATTTATTCCTTATTATATTACATTCTTAGTACTATTATTAAGAAAATTTTTTACTTTTCAAGTAACTGCTGAAATATAAAAAGGCTATTTATATATTTACACTTTACTGATAGCAATAATTTTTCAAGTCATCTTTTAAAATATTACCTACAAATACAGAAAATTTTGCTTCCTCCTATCTAAAAGCACTGCCTTTTTCCCCTTCTGTGTTAATATATTTTTAACAGTTTTATTGAGGTATAATTTACATAACACAAAATTCACCTAAATGTACAATTCAATAATTTTTAGTAAAAAAATCTAGTGGCCCGGCACGGTGGTTCATGCCTGAAATCCCAGCACTTTGGGAGGCCGAGGCGGGCGGATCACGAGGTCAGGAGATTGAGACCATCCTGGCTAACATGGTGAAACCCTGTCTCTGCTAAAAATACAAAAATTAGCCGGGTATGGTGGCATATGCCTGTAGTCCCAGCTACTCAGGAGGCTGAGGCAGGAGAATCCCTTGAACCCGGAAGGTGGAGGTTGCAGCGAGCCGAGATCGCACCACTGCACTCCAGCCTGAGCGACAGAGCAAGATTCCGTCTCAAAAAAAAAAAAAAAAATTTAGTTGCATTGCTATATAATCATCACCAAAATCCAATTTTTAAATGATTCCATCATTACAAAAAGATCCCCCACGCCCATTTGTGGTTACTCCTGGTTCCCAATCTCACCTCAATCCACTAATGTACTTTCTAACTCTACAGATCTGCTTATTCTGGACATTTCATATGAATAGAATTATACAATATGAAGTCTTTTGTGTCTAGCTTTTTTCACTTAATGTTTTTGAGTTTTATTCATGTCGCAGCATGTATCAGTTTTTTACTGATGAAAATATTCAAGTGAATGGACATATCATATTTTATTTATCCATTCACTAGTTGATGAATTTATGGGTTCAGTTTGAGGCTGTCGAGAATAACACCACTATAAAAATTTATATATAAGTCTTTGCGTGGACATGTTTTCATTTATCTTGGGCAGATTCTAAGACATGGAATTGCTGAGTTGCACAGTAAATTATACTTAACTTTTTTTTTTGAGATGGAGTCTCACTCTGTAGCCCAGGCTGGAGTGCAGTGGCGCGATCTCAGCTCACTGCAAGCTCTGCCTCCCAGGTTCACGCCATTTTCCTGCCTCAGCCTCCCAAGTAGCCGGGATTACAGATGTGCACCACCATGCCCAGCTAATTTTCGTATTTTTAGTGGAGGCGAGGTTTCACCATGTTGGCCAGGCTGGTCTCAAACTCCCAACCTCAAGAGATCTGCCTGCCTCAGCCTCCCAAATCGCTGGGATTACAGGCATAAGCCACCACACCTGGCCTTCCAATGGTTTTCTTAATTCATTTGGATTTTCTACTTGCAAGATGTTGTGGTTACCCTCCAGAGACAATAAACTCCCCCACCCAAAATTTGAATCAGATATTGAAATGCCAAAGTACCAAGAGGTACTAAGAGGATACCAAAAGGTTTATTACACATATAATAAGGCTTTCCAGGGAGAGCAAGGCAAGATCCCAAGCATGTCCCAAAATGACTTGAGAACCTGAAGGCTGACTGACTGGCTTGTGGTTTTAGAAGGTGGGGCTAGAGCAAGAGCTCCCTCATGTAGGCCTGAGCTTGCATGGTTGAAACTTCCTGCTGGTGTCAACCAAGGTAGCACTTGGGCTTTCTTATCAGCTTGTCAAGATGTGGGGCAAAAAGGAAAGGGAGACTTCCAGTTTCTGGTATGGCATGTGAGAAGTTTAGAGTTTATCACTTATTCCTAACAACAAGTAAAAAGCTAAACAAATGGAAAAACTGACAACTCTTCTTAGATCCACCAAAGAAGTGAGATCATGGGTAAACTGCTGCCCTCAAAATAGGAGAGACAGACAGATAAATACAGAGAATCACACCTTATTAGAGCAGAAACCCACGAGCAGAAGCCTCCATGGAAACCAGTACCAGAGTAGGAAACCTTGACTATAAATGATAAATTGCTGGAAGTTCAGTGTAGAAAAGTCTAAGACCTAAAAACTGTAGGGGAGCCAATCATAGAGGGTCCCCACACTCCAGGAGCTCTACCAAGTTCTCCCAGTAAAGATCTGAGAAAAATCCCCTCAGGCTTCTGGCAAGGGGGAAGAAAAGTAACCATTTTGAAATATGCCAGAACATTCCGTTATTCTCACTAAGGCCTGCCCTCAAGATAAATGGTTTTGCACAGCCCAAACTATTGGGGTTTTGTCAGAGATTAACCAGCCTGGGGAATATCCAAATGCAACTGCTCTAGCCTCCCATGTGGGAGAAAGGAAATACCCATTCCAACCCACTGTAGTATCCTGTCCCACCAAAGGAGAGGAAAAAAACTGAAAAGCACTTGTGAAGTTAACAGTTCAGAAGCACAGGCTCACTAAAAGACTAAGAACCTAATCATAGGACTGCAAAACACTTTCCCTCTCCCACATCTTAATACCAAATTACTAAAGACCTATTTACCATAATTCCTTTTTTACCCAGGTACATCATGTCCAGCTATCAAGAAAAAAAATTACAAGGCATCCTAAAAGGCAAAAGCAGTTTGAAGAGACCAAGTAAAACTAAGAGAGTAAGCACCAAAACCAGACTCAGATATGGTGGGGATACTGGACTTACCATATGAAGAGATTAAAGCAACTATGACTAATACACTAAGGGCTCTAATGGATAAAGTAGATAGCATGCAAGAATAGATGGGCAATATAAGCAGAGAGATGGAAATTCGAAGAGAGAATCAAAAAGAAATGCTAGCGATAAAACAAATTTAAAAACCCACTGTAACAGAACTGAAGAATAGTAGACTGGACACAGCTGAGGAAAGAATCCCTGAGCTTGAAGACATTATCAACAGACACTTCCCAAACCGAAAGACAAAGAGAAAAAAGATGGGAACCTCCTCCACCAAAAACAAACAAACAAACAAACACAGAATAAAATATCCAAGAACTGTGAAACAATTACAAAAGGTATAAGTGTACTAGAACACCAGAAGGAGAAGAGAAAGCTAAAGAAATCTTTGAAACAATCACTGAGAATTTATCCTAAATTAAGTCAGACAACAAACCACAGATCCAGAAAGTTCAGAAAACACCAAGCACAGTAAATGTTCCTCAAAATTACACCTGGGCATATCATTTTCAAACTGCAGAAAATCAAAGATAAAGAAAAAAACAGTGAAGTATGTGAACACAAGGGAAAGACAGCTAAATAGAACTAAACATGGCTAGGGAGAAAATGGCTAGGGAGAACTCTCTAGGGAAGCTGAGGCTGACAAATGATCTGGACTTTGAAAGGTAAGGTTAAGTAGGAGCCGAACAAAATTAATTGTGGTAGTGGGAAAGTGCATTCAAGAAGAGGGACTGATTCACAAAAGGAAAGAACATGTTGGGAAATCCGAGGAGATTGTAAAGTGAAAGCAAAAGAGTGGCGCATGGAAGCCAGATCAAGAATTGACATTAAAGTGACAGGAAACTATAGAAGAATTTCAAACAGAAAAGTGGCAAAATCATATTCATATTTCAAAAATGTAACTAGGTTACAGGTAGAGCACATCAAGATTAGAAACAGGGACGATAAGATAGTAGCAGTGGGAAAAAAGAAGTGAAAGAATCCATATATATTTAATGAGTATAATTAATAGGACAAGAAGTGGAAAGAGAAAAAAGAGCAGAACCATATCATTCCTTGGTTTCTAGT
This sequence comes from Homo sapiens, assembly GCF_000001405.40. NCBI lineage: Eukaryota > Metazoa > Chordata > Mammalia > Primates > Hominidae > Homo > Homo sapiens. Next base: position 119,506,533 of record NC_000003.12, on the reverse strand, counting down.
TTTTTTTTTTTTTTTGAGACAGGGTCTCGCTCTGTCGCCCAGGCTGGAATGAGGTGGCATGATCACACCTCACTGTAGCCTCGACCTCCTGGGCTCATGCCATCCTCCCACCTCAGCCTCCTGAGTAGCTGAGCCTACAGGCATGAATCACCATGCCCAGATAACTTTTTGCACACACACGGTCTTGCCATGTTTGTTGCCCAGGCTGTTCTCAAACTCCTATACTCAAGCGATCTGCCCACCTTGGCCTCCCAAAGTGCTGGTTACAGGCGTGAGCCACTGTGCCTGGCCTGGTTTTCACATTTAACAATTGACAGAGAACGTAACAGCAGGAGCAAGTAAGGAAGTAAAAGTGGGTAGACAAGACCCATGTAAAAATGCTTGCAAATTTAAAAATGAAACAATCTGGCTGCTCTAACGCTATTAATGCCTATTTCTAGTTTTGTATTTTAAAAAGTTTTCATTAAAATGTTGTTTGAGGATCAGGAAAAACAACTAAGATACTAGGCTTAATACTTGGGTGATGAAAGAATCTGTATAGCAAATCTCCATGACACGCGTTTACCTAAGTAACAAACTTACACATCCTGTACATGTACCCCTGAAGTTAAAAGTTAAAAAAAAAAGTTCAAATTGTGTGTTTTCCCATGTGTGTACACATATACACAGAGAAGAGGGAGAGTGCATGCAGTAGCAAGAAGATAAAGCAAGTTGTCTGACTTAATTTCGGATAAATTCTCAGCATGAATTGTTAACAATGGCTAAGTCTCTGTATGTGAAGGATAGAGACTGCCCTTTGTATTATTTTTATTTTGCAATCTTTTGTAAGCTTATTCCCAAAAAAACATTTAAAAACTGTTATGTTCAGGCCGGGCGTGGTAGCTTACGCCTGTAATCCCAGCACTCTGAGAGGCCGAGATGGGCGGATCACCTGAGGTCGGGAGTTCGAGACCAGCCTGACCAACATGGAGAAACCCCTTCTCTGCTAAAAATACAAAAAATTAGCTGGGAATGGTGGCGCATGCCTGTAATCCCAGCTACTAGGGAGGCTGAGGCAGGAGAGAATCCCTTGAACCTGGGAGGCGGAGGTTGTGGTGAGCTGAGATCGCGCCATTGTACTCCAGCCTGGGCAACAAGAGCAAAACTCCATCTCAAAAAAAAAAACAAAAACAAACTTATGTTCAGAATACATATGTGTGTTGTACATAAAAGAATGTACACAAGTTAGTGATTGAGTGTATATAGCAGTTAACTTACCTTTCTGAAACGAATGCTCATTTTAAAATTATTTTTTAAATCTGACAAGTAAAAATTGTACACATATGGTGTATAACATGTTTTGCAGTATGTATATATTGGGGAATGGCTAAATTAAGCTAATTAACCTACACGTTACTTCACATACTATTTTTTGTGGTGAGAACACTTAAAATCTACTTTTTTTTTTTTTTTTTGAGACAAGAGTTTCACTCTTGTTGCCCAGGTTGGAGTGCAATGGCGTGAACTCAGCTCACTGCAACCTCTGCCTCCTGGGTTCAAGTGATTCTCCTGCCTCAGCCTCCCAAGTAGCTGGGATTACAGGCACCTGCCACCACACCCAGCTAATTTTTGTATTTTTAGTAGAGACGGGGTTTCACCATGTTAGCCAGGCTGGTCTCAAATCACCTCTGATGATCCACCTGCCTTGGCCTCCCAAAGTGCTGGGATTACAGGTGTGAGCCACCGCTTGGCCAAAATCTACTTTTTAAAAGCAATTTTGAAGTATACAATACACTGTTAGTAACCATAGTTACCATGTTTTAAATAGATCTCTTGAACTTATTCCTCCTGTCTAAATGAAATTTTGTATCCTTTGACCAACATCTTTTCCAACCCCATATCCAGTCTCTGGTAATCACCATTGTACCTTCTATTTTTAATGCTCATTAAAAAGAAAATATACATATATATACTAGAGGCAGAGAGCTTTAAAATAAAATCCAAGTTCTTACCATAAAAAATCTAGTCCATTCCTATAGTCCTCACCAATCTCATCTCAAGCTACTCTTTCCCTCACTCACCACGTTATTATCCTGCTTTTAAGGAAATGTTTTGCCTTAGAGCCTTCCCCCTTGATGTTCCCTCTATTTAGGACACCCTTCCTTGCAAGTCTTGCTCCTTCCTATTCTTTGGTATCAGCTCAAATGTCACTTCCTCAGAAAGGCCTTCTTTGACTACCCTGTCCATATGAGATCCCATTGTTCCACCGAATTGTTACTTTCTATCACAACAACCTGTATTATCACATACATATTAGACATTAAAATTCAAAGAAAGCAAGGGCCTTGCTGTTTTGCCCATTGAGTATATCAAGGGTGAAGCACAACACTGTCCATAAATACATTTTGCATCAATGTTGATGAGATGTAATGGGAAGCCAACCAAAGAATTCAGTAGTTCTGATGTATAAGTCCTTACACATTTTCTAAACTGTATTTGAGAAGACTGAAAAATATAAACAAAAATGTCTTACCTCCTGCAATTACAAAATGGCTTAAGGCATCTTTATTTCGGTATACATTCAGACTAGTGTTCACTGTGCTGGTAAAAAGGGAGGAGAAGGAAAATATAAGATTTAAAGCATATCCCATTTACCTTCTTGAGTGTTATTTTCACTGACTTAATAGATTTAGAAAAGCCTACTATATCAATCCCTGTTCCTAGCCTAGGCCCCTTCAATGTGTTCCAGACATGGTTGTAAAACCATAACTACACCAGTCTTTTACACAGAGAAAAGTTCTTGAAAAAAAAAAAAAGGCATTATTAATCACTTTCATGTGGGTATTCAGTTTTCATAACCCCACCTGCTCAAAAGACACACTCCTAAAACAATATCAAGAAAATTCACTATCTCACAATTCAGAGTGAACTTACTTGAATATAGTCACAAACACTGCAGTTCTCCAACCCCAGCGCCAGCCATAACGAATGAAGCCTCGTGTGGCAGCACGATGTGCAGATTGCTAAAGTTAATTAAAAAACTGTGAGGTTCTAAGACACCATCATATTTTCCTTATTCTAGAACTGCGGTAGAGGAATTTTAGCTATGGATTAGTCAGGTACACCCAAACAGATAGAAATACTAGAAAATCTCTAGAAATACTATTCTTTAAGTATTGAGGCTTACGTAAAAGTTCCATGTGTAGCCTATCCTATCAGGAGATGAAAAAATGGTTGAGTATCCCTTATCTGATACTTGAGACCAGATCCCTTATCTGATACTTGGATTTAGGATTTTTTCAGATTTGGGAATATGCGCTTTTAACACTTACTGGTTGAGCATCCCAAATCCAAAAAACCGAAATCTGAAATGCTCCAATGAGCAATTCCTTTGAATGACGTGTCAATGCTCAAAAAGTTTTGAATCTGAGCATTCAGGATTTCAGATTTGTGCTGCTCAACCTGTAATGAATTATAAATCTACAGAATAAAATAAGAATCCATGAGTCCCTACTGATAGAAATAAATTATAAATAGATAAATAAATATGTAAATAGAGGGGGGAAGGGAAAACACTTCCTTAGAGCATAATACTAACCAATAAATGTAGAAAGAATGATAGACTTTAGAAAATGCCCATTTGGCCACCACAGTCATAATTGTTACAGGAAGAATCATCATTAAATGCTAAAACTGCCTGGGTATGGTGGCTCACACCTGTAATCTCAGCACTTTGGGAGGCAACTAGGGAGGATCACTTGAGCCGACAAGTTTAAGACCAGCCTGGGCAACATAGCGAGATCCTGCCTTTACAAAAAAAATTTAAGAATTAGCTAGGCATGGTGGTGTGTGTTTGCAGTCCTAGCTACTCGGAAGGCTGAGGCGGGAGGAAACCTTGAGTCCAGAAGTTTGAGGTTGTGGTGAGCTATGATCGCGCCGCTGCACTCCAGCCTGCACTGAGGCAGGAAGACCCTGCCTCAAAAAATTTCAAAAAAAAAATTAATTAATTAAAAAATAAAAATAGGCTGGGCACAGTGGCTCACACCTATAATCCCAACCCTTTGGGAGGCCAAGGAGGGGGTGAACTGCTTGAGCTGAGGACTCTGAGACCAGCCTGGGCAACATGGCAAAACCCTGTCTCTACAAAAAATACAAAAATTAGCTGGGAATGGTGGCACATGCCTATAGTCCCAGCTACTTGGGAGGCTGAGACAGGAGAATCGAGTGAGCCTGGGAAATGGAGGTTGCAGCAAGCCAAGATTGTGCCACTGTACTCCAGCCTGGGCAACAGAGTGAGACCCTGTCTCAAAAAATAAATAAAGGAATAAATAATTTTTAAAAAAATAAAAAAATTATAAATGCTAAGAATTTAGAATAGTTTTTAGATAGTAGAAATATTATAGTTTATAATAGCATTTAAGTAGTAGAAATTTGATGAAAAGCAGGATATTTACATAGTCTCAAAGGAACTAACAAGTACTCAAAATACTTATAAATTACCAAGGAAAAACATAGTAATTTTACAGTGTATAGTTGGCAGAGGCCATCTTAAGCAAGTCACTGAAGTAAACATCACCAGTAAAGGGACAGAGATATCATGGGTTTCTAATTTAATTTCAGTTCTAGGGTATTCCTGTCAAAAAACATAGTCTGAATGCAGTCATGAGAAACCATCAAACAAACCCAAATTGAGGGACATTCTACAAAATAAATCACCCATAGTCAAGGCCATGAAAGACAAAAACAGAGAAACTCTTCCAGACTAAATGAGACCAAAGCAGCATAACAGGCAAATTCAACATGTGATCCAGGGTCAGATTCTGGACCAGACAAAAAAAAATTTAATTAATTAATTTTTTAATAAGAACTCAAGCCTAACTTCTGAAAAATACATTTTTTTATTTATTTTTAAAATAAATGATACTGTGGGATAACTAGCAAAATTTACAGGTCTTTAAATAAGATAATAGTACTATATCTGTGTTAATTTCCTGATCTTGATATTATAATTGTGGTTGTATAAGAGAATTTCCTTGTTTTTAGGAAATAACACACTGAAGTATTCATCATGTCTATAACCTACTGTCAAGTAGCTCAGAACAAATTAGTACATATTATACAGAGGGAGAATGATAAAACAAACATGGTAAAATGTTAACAATGGAGAATCCGGATGAAAGGTATATAGGAAATCTTTGTACTAGTTTTGCAACTTTCAAGCCTGCTATAATTTCAAAATAAAAAGTTAAAAATTCTCTGAGCTTTAATATTCTCACAAAAGAACTGATGTACAGATCTAATGATGTAACAAACGAGTTAGCACTCTATAAAGTTATAAATGTTAACTATTGCTTTAGTGTGAGCTCCTATACTCATGGAGGCTTTGTGAATGAGGTAAATATGTTACAGCTGAGCCTTGACGATTTAGCAGGGGATTGGAAGAAATGTATTTGAGAAAGAAAAGCCACAGTGGTGATGCCAAACATGCCTGTTCTGAAGATAACAAAGTAGTCTCTCAAACAACATGCAGGCACTTTAACATTAGTACTTCCACTGTTATTAAGTACAGACTTTATTTCTTTACTCTGACACCTTAAAACAACCCTCCATCCCCACAACCTAATTGAATGATTAAGTGTAAAGTGAATTACTAAGTCAGTGTGCCCCAAATTTCTTTAGATCACCAGTACATACCACAGCATCAAACCGGTTATGATAAATTTCTGCCTGGCTCTGCTCAATGTATTGTTGTTTAGCATGAATAAAAGCTGGTATTCCCCCATACACCCAGCCAATGATGCCTGCTGTAGCTGCCGTCTTACAGATATTAGCAAGGTCCTTTGAAATTCTCTGCTGTTCACTACAACATCAAAAAGACAATGTTGTTTGGGATTAGTTTATGGACATTGCTCTCCAAGAGACTCTATAATCAGAATTAACCCAAATGCTACCACCACAACATTTTTCATCATAGGTAGAATTCTCAGATGAATTAAACAGTTCAGTTATATTAAAAGGAACGTAGTCTCAGACAAAACGAAGCTATGGTGTTAGAATTAGGATAGTGGCAACTCCTGAAAAGACAATGACCGGAAAAGGCACAAGGGGAGCTTTTGGGATGTTACAATAGTTGCCATTTCTTTCTTAGTGCTGGGTACAGCTATGTTCAGTTTGTGAAAATTCATCCATCAGTATACTTAGGCACATTTTTCGAAATGCATTTCCTACTCCAATAAAAAGTTTTTTAAAAGGTGCTTTTGATGACTATTACACCCCTAGAAATAGGAAGAATTTGTGAGTTGGATAGAGAGACCAATATTTCCGTTTAAATCTTAAGTTAACTTTTAGAAATCACACCAACTCGTGAGATTTTAGGGCAATGTATGAAAGAATAAAAACGTGGATGTAAGACAAAAAATCTAAATTCTATTTTACTAAATAATTTCATGAAATACTCAGATAGGACTGTACTAATAAAAGCACTGGGCTGGGCACAGTAGCACACGCCTGTAGTCACAGCTAACTTAGGAGGCTGAGGTAGGACTTGAGCCCGAGTTCAAATCCAGCATAGCAACATAGCAAAGATCCTGGCTCTAAAAATAAACAAATAAATGTTTTTTTAAAAACGCACTGGGAAAGTTCACTATGCAGTGGGTGGCACATGCCAATCTAAAATAACAAGGAAAAACTACTATTTAATTCGATTTGTTACTCTCAAATGCATAAGAAGCTAGAACTGCTAATGAAGCTTCCAAGATGTCATCCTGAGACTGCTCTAACAAATAGCTGTCTTAAGTATTAAGTTACTATAAAATAATTGCCCTTCTAGGCCGGGCGCAGTCCAGCCGCGGTGGCTCAGGCCTGTAATCCCAGCACTTTGGGAGGCGGAAACAGGCAGATCACGTGAGGTCAGGAGTTCCAGACCAGCCTGGCGAATGGTGAAATCCTGTCTCTACTAAAAATACAAAAATTAGCTGGGCATGGTAGTGGGCAACTGTAATCCCAGCTACTCTGGAGGCTGAGGCAGGAGAACCGCTTGAACCTGGGAAGTGAAGAGTGCAGTGAGCCAAGATCGCACCACTGCACTCCAGCCTGGGCGATAGAGCGCGACTCAGTCTCGAAAAAAAAAAAAAAAAGAAAGAAAAATACGAGTTTGGGCTGGCGCGGTGGCTCACGCCTGTAATCCCAGCACTTTGGGAGGCCGAGGTAGGCGGATCGCCTAAGTCCAAGAGTTCAAGACCAGCCTAGGCAACATGGTAAGAACCCTGTCTATAAAAAATACATTAAAAAAAAATTAGCCGGGCGTGGTGGTGCGCGCCTGTAGTCCCAATTAATCGGGAGGCTGAGGTGGGAGGATCACTTGAGTCCCAGAGGCAGAGGTTGCAGTGAGCCGAGATAGCACCACAGCACTCCAGCCTGGGCGACAGAGCAAGACCCTGTCTGGAAAAAAAAAAAAAAAAAAGAAAGAAAAAAGATACAAGCTTGGGTTACAAATATCAGAACCTCAAATATAATCTAAAAATGAAGCACACCATCCTTGGTGTCCTAAGGCTGACCCAGGCTGCCCACGCTGCAGGACACCGCTTTCGCGGCCCCCTACCCCACTTCACACCCTAGGCACTTTTACTCTTTGCCAAACAGCTCCCGGAGGCGGTCCCATCCAGATTCCGGGTAATAGGGCTCTGGGACGTAGGGAAGCCGCTTCTGACGCTCCTCAAGGACTTCCGAATCGGCAGTCACAGCTTCGGCAGCAAAGACTCGGGGAAATAGGCACAATGCTCTACAGAGAAAGCTCCGCGGTGCCGGTGGCGGCACCTCCATGGCCTTCTCTCGACCTACGGACAAACTTGAGCGCTCAGGACTTCAAGTCCTCGCGGACGTGCCGCGGGAGAGCGTAACTGTACGAGGTGAGAATCCGTGCATTTGACCCAGGTTAACCCTCTGCCAGAGGGCTCGACACCCACACCTTCAGTCCCCGGCCTCGCTTTGGAGTCCTTGGAAATACGACACAGGAAGTCCCGCCCGACCGGGGCAAAGGCCAGGGGGCGGGGCGACGGCGAAGCCGGAGCCCAAAAGACTTCCGGTTGAGGGCGGGTTGGGCCACTGCTGTGCTGAGTGCACCCCCGGAAGTGAGTTGGCTGCCAGTAGTGAAGCTCAGCGTGGTCCCGGCAGGCCTTCGCTCCGTGTTTGTGGTTCCTGGGTCATGCAAACGGTGTCTGCGGCTACTTATATTCAGCTTGAGGTGGTCATAGGTTGAAGTAATTTATCGTATTTAAAATGCCAGGAATTAGCCGGGCATGGTGGCGGGCGCCTGTAATCCTAGCTACTCGGGAGGCTGAGGTAGGAGAATCGCTTGAACCCGGGAGGCGGAGGTTGCAGTGAGCCGAGATCACACCACTGCACTGCAGCCTGGGCAACAAGAGCGAAAATCTGTCTCAAAAAAAAAAAAAAAAGGCAGGAATCCCGCTTCAGTAAGGAAGAAAGTGCAATATTCAGTGCAAGTGGAGTAGGGAAAGAGGGAAAGGCGATTTGTGCAAAAACAAGTCCAACCTACTCTGCCAACATTAGAGAAGCCTTCCAGGCTGGGCGGGGTCCGTTTGTACCTTGTCAGTTCTGCTGGAAAAAAAACGAGGCATTGGGGATGGGTGTTGGTGCCAGTTACACTAAGATTTCGAGAACACTTTTTTGAAGAATCAGCTTTTTGGCAGGTCTTCCTAAGGTGGATTTCACTCCCTTTAGTTCATATGCCTACTGCTTCTCAAAAGGCAGGAGAATTTCTGGAATTTCTATCAAGTGTTTGTATAATTTGCCGTCACTACAACCTCTGCTAACATATGCTTCGAAGTACAGTTTTCATTAAAATGAATGCATTTAAAATATTCTCAATATTCGTGTAATTTCATTCAATCCTTGTTAACAAGCATACTCCCTTATTCATTTTGCCAATCCCTTCACCTCCTTGATTCCTTTCTAGTTGTCAATCAAAACTGCCACACTGTAGTAGAATACAGTAAGTGGACTTAGGAATTTGATAGCTGGAAATGCTACACATAAGTCCCTGAGAAGTGACTGACTAGAGTGACCAGCTCAATTAGTGACAGCGCCATGAAGACTACTCTGGGATATGAGATTTGATTCAGCACTCATCGTAGCACTTACAACACTGCATCATAATTTCCTATTAATCTGTCTCAATAAACTATCCTTGAGATCACAGACCAAATATATTCATCTCTGTATCTCCAGGACCTAGAACCGCAGTAGGTGCTCAGTAAATATTTGTTGAATAATTCAGATCTCCTGACTTCTGGCTCTGGATTACTGCTTATCCCATGTTAGGTAGAAGTGGGCACCAAGATAAGTTACCAAGGCCTGAAAGCCCAAGAAAATGGCTGTACAGTCTGTTTCTAACCTATATGTAGAAAAAGCTAAATGCATAAGATGACCCCAGAATTATTCTGGGGTGAAGGAGGACTTGAAATGGGTAGGAGGGTTTGGGTGGGTGTTGGGAAGATACTGACACAATCACTTATGTACAACTCAAATGCCCCAGGATTCACTAGCCTGTAGATGAGGTAATATTAACAGGCAAATTTTAAATTCCATAACTTGTTTCTCATTTGGGTAACGGAAGACTCATTTGTAATGTTCCTTTTGCCACCTGATAACTCAAAAAACTCCCCTCTCCTTTGGCTACTGCTCGCACTGTTGCTGCTCTTCCATCTGAGCCCTCCCACATTTCCTACTTCCCCAATCCCTTACGGCTTACCTTCTTTTAGAACAAGGGAAATGCTCACCCTCCTCTGTAGTCTGCTTATTTTATTTTATTTTTGATACAGTCTTAGCTTCGTCACCCAGGCTGGAGGGCAGTGGCAAGACCTCGGCTCACTGCAACCTCTGCCTCCTAAGTTCAAGTGATTCTTGTGCCTCAGCCTCCTGAGTAGCTGGGATTACAGGCATGTGCCACAAGCCTGGCTAATTTTTGTATTTTTAGTAAAGATGGTGTTTCACCATGTTGGCCAGGATGGTCTCAAACTTCTGGCCCCAAGTGATCTGCCTGCCTCAGCCTCCCAAAGTGCTGGGATTACAGGTGTGAGCCACCAAGCCCAGCCCTGTAGGCTGTAGTCTGCTCTTTTTGAAGGTTCTCCGATCAATACAGTCTAAGCCAGAGGTGTCCAATCTTTTGGCTTCCCTGGGCCACATTGGAAGAATAATTGTCTTGGCCCACACATAACACTAACTGTAGCTGATGAGCTAAAAACAAAAAACAAAAAGAAAAGAAAAAGAAAAAAGTCCATGCATAAATCTCATGTTTTAAGAACGTTTACAAATTTGTGTTGGGGCGCATTCAAAGCTTTCCTGGGCCGCGTGCAGTTCGTGAGCCATGGGTTGGACAAGCTTGGTCTAAGCCAAAAGGTGTTATGGGGTTTACTGGACCACTGTTTCACATATGGCTTTCTTGTCCCCAGGACATGTGTTTGCCAGCAGAGTAACTGCATCAGGGAAAGATTTCAGTGCAATCACCATACTGCCTGGAACACCATTCTTCCACCAACAGCCCTTGTTGCTGAATTCTGTTTATAGAACCTAATAGTTTCTTCCCTCACAGTGAATTTTTTTCTCAGGGGTCAGCAGGTTCCCTTCCCTGCCAGGTTCACCAAGTACTGCCCTTGCTACGTATTTTACATTTTGTTACATTATATATGATATAAAACTTTTCAACATGTGGAGAGAGAATGAATTTTGAGAACTCCAAGAACCATTTCATTTACTTATCCTTCATGGTATAAATTAATTTTTACCTCCACAAAGTTTCCCATCTGCTCCAGTTGGAAGTTTATTCTTCCTCTAAACTCCAGATCCACATTGTCTTCATGAATAATTGGCACTCCTGTTGCCTTAATCACCTTCCACGTATGTATGATGCCTCTCATATTGTTTATCATCTCAACGGCACAGCCCCTTGAGGTTTGGGAGCCTCTTGTAAACTTTCCTTGTCTCTGTGCATAGTAGATGCTTAAGAAGTATCTGGTAAGTATTAAATGAGTGACTTGTAAATATAACTCTCTGCTCCATCCACAACACCTTACCTCTGGATGCAGTAAGATTATCCTAAGAGAGGGCATCTTTAGATGCATGTAAAGATAGACTTTTGTGTATCTGTGCTTTTTTTTTTTTTTTTTTTGAGAAACAGGGTCTTATTCCCATTGCCCAGGTGGAAGTACAGTACAGTGGCATGATCATGGCTCACTGCAGCCTCAACATTGCGAACTCAAGCTATCTTCCTGCCTCTTTTTTTTTTTTTTTTTTTTTTTTTTTTTTTTTTTTTGTAGAGCCGAGGTCTCACCATGTTGCCCAGGCTGGTCTTGAACTCCTGGGCTCAAGTGATTCTTCTGCCTTGGCCTCCCAAAGAGCTGGGATTACAGGTGTGAACCACTGTGTCTGGCCTGTTTGTGCTCTTGTTTGTAGTCAGTCTAGGGGTTAAGTGTAGGGAACTCTTGGAGGTGACCCAAATGAGTCCATTAAAGTTTTTGTCCTTGGGAATTTTGAGCTGAGACAGAGCCCAATAGGTAATGGAACTGCATTATAGTAGCACCCTGGAAACAGTCAAAATTCTTGCTGAGATTCCTGGAGGTGCCCTTGCTTCTATCCTTCTAACCACTGTGAAACCTTTTTAGATTCCACGAGATGCCCTCATGTCCTTCTAGTAAGTTACTTTGCTTAAACTAGCTAGAGGCAGTTTCTGTTCTTGACCACTAGGAAAATCTGAACTGATATAGTAGAATAAGGTGGGTCACTGACAGCACATAGATAACACTCCCGAAATAAATAAAGACAAAGCATTATTTGTGTTATGCAAGTATCCCACTTCATTCAAATAAATTATTCTTTCCTTGAAGAAAAGCATGGCCATTAGCTCTCTGAAAAGGAAAGGGTAAGTTTGGGACTGAACTAGTAATAACAACAACAAATAAAACCTTCAAAAGTTGTGGGGAAACAAATTATTTTCAAAAACAATTTACATAGTTATACCATCCTCATATCATCTACACTGAGGTAAACAGATAGACAAGTACAAAATCTGAATAACATTTGCTGTATTTAAAGACAAAGATGCCCTTATTGGCTCTTCAAAGGGCAGGTGAGGATTTACATTGATCCAATTCTTATGGTCTTATCTACTCATCCTTTGGAGCCAGTAATAATCTGTATATAGGATCTGGTTAAGCCAACTGTCTCCATTCCTCCATCCATCCATCCACCCACCCAATAGTTCTTTGTGTGAGGCACTGTGCTGGATCATGAAGCCATCAAGATGAGTAAAATTAGATTCTCACCCATTAATAAGTTTACAGAACAGTAGGAGAAACAGTCAAGCAACTACAGTGATGTCATATAATACAGGCATAAACAAAGTACTATGGTAGCCCCTTACTGCCTGGAGGAATGAATGAAAGGAGTCAGAAAGAAGGTGATGTTTGAGCTGAAACTTGAAGCTAAATGGGAAACATTCCCAGGGAAATGAATCTTCAGCTCCTAATCTAAAGGATAGCAAATTTTGTTCCTATTTTAATGAGAGGAAATTAAAATTCAGAGAGAATGCTTACACCTAGTAGGGCCTCACAGTGACAAGGCAAAACCATAGTACGACTCAGAAATCTGGACTGCCTATTGCTAGATTCACAGACTAAGAACCTAAGAACACGGTCCCTGTGCATTGCTAGTACTCAAAAAAAAAAAAAAAAAAAAATCCAACTTTAAACATCTGCTTATTCCATGAAATGATCTTGCCAGGCATGCTCAACTTCTCTAAGAAGGTCATTAGACTTAAACTTTTGTGGAAAGGAGTTTAAAAAGCCAAATACATTTCTGACAAATGGAATGTCTGATAATTATGTGACTGAATCTCACATTTACTAATTCTGAAACTAGTTAATACCAAATAGTTCTTAAAAGACAAAGGAAGAGAGGTGATTTCTCTGTGGAAAGGTTGGGCCTAAGGGTCAAGGATGGTTCTAAGTCATCAGACTACAGAGTTTTAATCTAAACATTTTTCTTCATTTTTTACTATGTTAGAAAGAGCACCCTGAGATATTAAACTACTACCCAAAACATCTTTTTCAAAAAGTGAAAAAAGGAAAAGGGAGGCACTCCATCATGGATTTGCACTAAAACAAATATCTTCTATATATTTGAAGTTGAATGCTCTTAACTACCAACTGAATGGCACGTTCACATATGAAGACTTCTTGTGATTCCTGCAAGACAGTGAGAGTGTGAATGACCCCTGCTGTGGCCAATTTAAGAAGGAAAAATATTAAAGGTATGCAAAGGGTGAGGAAGAGCTGCTGTTCTATGTATAGTTCCATTAAATTTATTAAGAGGCTTTGTCTTTTTTTTTTTTTTTGGCTTTAGAGAGGCATTAAGAAGTAGGGCATGAAGGCACAAAAAGGGAACCTGAAATCCAATTGCAATAATTACTCATGCAATTGGCCTCTTTCTATGTGGCATTATAGAAACCTCCTGAGTAACACAGTTTATGGTTTTACAAAAGAGAACTCCTACATCATTGCATGGCATGGCTACCGCTTCCTTAGACCATTCAGAGAATGATCCCCAAGTATTTTTCATAAACCCCATAGGGTTTCCTACATTAAAATAAAGTGACAGAGATCACGCCTTGAATAATTTCACAATTCCAGCAATGAGTTGTACTACTTCCAAATGACGAATTTTCTGCTCCAAATAATGGGACAAAGGGCATCATCACATGGACACAGTCAATTTCACAGTGATGGACTCACACAGGTGGATGATCTGAGGCACAAGCTGTGATTGGTCTTAAGAAAATGAAAGGTAGAGTTGGGTTCAAAATCCACATCTCACGATTTCTGGTCCTTATTCATCCAAAAAGTTGAACTGCTTCATATCAGTGTATTAGACACATTTTAAATCTTTCTCAAGAGTTGCTCTGGGTGCAGCATGATAAGGAAAACCAGGTATTTGGCTTGATAGCAGATATTCAAGGTATAGGTGCCAAGCTTATGGTAAGCTTCTCACCGTAGGATATCTGAGATCTGTTGCCACAAAGAGGACTATGGTCCTATGATGACTACTATAGTTCAGTTTTCAACATTTTGGGAATAATTTGATCATAACCTTTCCTTCTCGTTACATTATAAGACAGGAATTTAGAGTATTCACTCAAGAGGTTCTCCCAGTAACAGGTGATGTCATCCATCTGCAAATGGTTCCTAATAAACTGGCTTCCCCTAGAGACAAGATTTAACAAGAAAATGTTAAAGCACAGAATTTAATGATAATAGCAGTCTGCATTTGAGTGCTCACCTTGTGCCAAGCATTATTCAGCATTTTATATAAATTAATTCATTTGAGCCTCAAGAACCAACCCTATGGCAATCATATCCACATACATGCATGTAGCAATACAACTTAACAATCTTTTTCCTTTATTTATTTATTTATTTATTTATTTTTTGAGACGGAGTTTCGCTCTTGTTGCTCATGCTGGAGCGCAATGGTGCGATCTTGGCTCACTGCAACCTCCGCCTCCCGGGTTCAAGTGATTCTCCTGCCTCAGCCTCCCGAGTAGCTGGGATTACAGGCACGCACCACCACACCCGGCTAATTTTTTTGTATTTCTAGTAGAGATGGGGTTTCACCATGGCTAGGCTGGTCTTGAACTTCTGACCTCAGGTGATCCGCCCACCTCGGCCTTCCAGAGTGCTGGGATTACAGGCGTTAGCCACCACGCCCGGCCCATCTTTTTCCTTTAAAACAAGCATATGTAGACATGTGTGTATGTTTTCCCCCAGGACAGGTTTAGTTCTGAATTATCTCCATATAATGAGGATAAAATACAGATGTCACCATGATAACAATATTCAGATAACTTTGGCTAGGGCATAATGGGGATGACAAAAAGTAAAGTGGAAAAGGGAAAATGAACAGAACTCACCTTTCAGCAATCTCTTGAGCTACATCATCATTTGCTTTTACAAATTGTAACAGCTCTCTAAAATGAAAAGAATTTTAGACTGTGAAATATAGACCAACTTCATTGGCACTAAGTCAGAAAGACGATATAGATTGAGGTCTATGGATAATTTTAGGTATGTGGATGGTGGATTATTTCCTTCAAGCAAAGATATCAGGGTTCTCTCAAGAACAAAATAATAACAAAAAAAAACCCCCACACACTGATTAAAGATACCCTATTGTAGATTTGGGACATATTTGAGAAAATACAGAAGTTACCTTATATATTTACATATATTTTGTATATTTATATTATATATTATATTAGATATTTATATTATTTTACATATTTATATATAAATATATTTATATATAGAAAAAAAATATATATACACAGATATCACCATGATAACAATATTCAGATAACTCTGGCCCTTCTCTATACTTCTTCCTAGCTCCTCCTGTCATGAAAGGAAATTTGCTGAAGCTTCACTTGAGTCAATTCTCATGCTGTATCTGAAAATCCTTTTGACAATATAATAAGATTGAATATCCCTATCTTTAGTCTTGGAGAGATTAGAGCTTTTTAACTTCATTTTGTCTGAACGTTTCATTTGAAACCAGTATTAAAGCGCTTTTTCAAATTAAATTCCACTTATAGCCTACTTGGATAATAATGCAATACTATATATGCAAACCAAGAGGAAAAAAAGCTTTCAATGGAAAAAAATCGTAGGACTAAATGTCTTACATGACTGGTTTTAAGGCATTAAGGCATTTTTAAAAGCAGATTGGAAGGGTCTTTAGAAACTCTGCATTGGGGGATAACTGCTTACTGGACATTGGAGAGATCTGTTTTGACTGGGATATAGTGAACCCATGGCTTCAGCTGTGGATAGAAGAATTCTAGCCACTCATCACCAACATGGAAAACAAGTGAGCCACACAGGAAGAGGTGTTTAAACCGGAAACTTGCAGCTACGCCTCGAAAATTAAACAGATACCTGGGGAAAAAAGAACAAAATACATTTGATACTATATGCCTGCTGCCACAAATATGACCTTTTATGCTTATTCTCCCCTCCCCTTCTTTCCTTTTATGATTCCTCTCCATTCTCTTTCCACTTTGAGTTTTCAAGGACACATTAATATGTTCCTAAGTGGTTTCTATCAGCCACTTTACCAGGGCTAGGACTACAGGTTGTTCTGGGAATGGCAGGGTGAGGAAAAATAGGGGATATTTTCTCCAGACAGCACTAGATAGGGTCAGGAGCTGGGTGCCGGGTAGAGTGTATACAGGGCTCAGAAGGAAATGACAGCTTGTAGATTTGGAACATATCTGAGAAAATAAATGTTCAATGGTAAACATAAAATAAAACGAGTGAAAAAAATTTCACAAGCTTTTCTAGGCCTAATGTCTCTAACTAGTCATGGCCTCCCAAAGCCTTGTTTTTCCTCTAGTGTACCCCATCTGGTCGAAGGTCTCCACTGCTTCCTGGACATCACCCTCTTCTCTTAAAGTATAGAGCAGCGGTCCCCAACCTCTTTGGCACCAGGGACCAGTTTCATGGGAGACAATTTTTCCATGGATGGGTAGTGTGGGGGAGATGGTTTTGGATGAAACTGTTCCACCTCAGATCATCAGGCATTAGTTAGATTCTCATAAGGAGCACGCAACCTTGATCCCTTGCATACACAGTTCACAATACAGTTTGTGCTCCTATGAGAATCTAATGCCAAGGCTGATCTGACAGAAGGCAGAGCTCAGGCGGTAATGCTCGCTTCCCCACTGCTCACCTCCTGCCATGCAGCCTGGTTCCTAATAGACCAGTACCATGGCAGGGGGTTGGGGACCCCTGGTGTAGAGAGGAGAATGAGGAAAACCTAATCAATTTTCAGAGATTGCCCACAGGGGAAAAAAAAAAAACAAAAAAAGCTGTCTTCTTCTCAGCATTTCTTATGCACGCACCTGTCGCCAACCAGAGTTGCTTTCACCATATAGCTCCTACTCTGCGTGTCATTAGCACTCCTAACTCTGAGCCACCCCCACCACCACTGCCCTCCTCTAGACCTGGTTTTACCTGTTCATCTAATTCTTAGTCCCAGAATTTTATTTTATTTCTCTTAGAGACAGGGTCTCACTATGTAGCCCAGGCTGGTCTTGAACTCTTGGGCTCAAAGGATCCTCCTACCTCAGCCTCCCGAGTAGCTAAGACTACAGGAGCATGCCAGCACACCAGGATAATAATTCTAATATTTATTAACTGAGAAATATTTATTCTAACTTCAATGATTGGGTGGGTGGGGCATATGGAGAGGTAATTCCATTACTGTGATTACTAGCTAGCATGCAGCTGTTTGGAAGCAGGAACCATGTTCCATTCTTCTCTACAGTCGCCACAGAACTCAGGTCAGTGCATTTAGGCCCTGAGGAAAAGCCAGTGAAATGAATTAATGCAACTTTCATTTACTCCAGCTGGGCCTTTATATTAAAGTTCTCACCCAAAGTGAAGCTATTTCAAAAGCAGTATGGAAACCAAGAAAGTGAGGAGTCCTGCAAATCTTACTTGTATTTGCAGTGATCCACAAGATGGACATCCTTAGCAGCTGGCTTTCCTAAGGTATCCTTTAAGTGGAAAGGAAGTTATTAGTATTAACAGCAACAGCATTTATTGTGATCACTGTGCAGCAAGCATTGTTAAACATTTCATCAACATTACCTCATTTAAGCTTCATAATCAATATACTCAGGAGACATTATTATTCCCATTATATAAATGCAGAAGCCAAGGCTTTGGAAGTTGAGATTTGCTCAAGGTCAGTGTGGCTCTAAATAGAAGACAGAGTTTTAACCAGGGCCCGTCTGATTTTAAAGTTTAAGCACACCTAAAGCCATGTTGCCCTCCTTTGAATTCAGATGTCACAGCCTGCAGCACACTTCACTCTGTGTAAATAATGTATGCAGAGAAGGTCCCAAGTGCTGGCTGATGGCCTTAGGGGTGTATATAGCCCATGCTCAAATTTTGTTGGGCATGCAAAGTATTTTTTTTTTTAAATCAAATCATTGCCAACATTTACAGGTGGTAGGATATTTCTTGCAAAAATCCAGATTTCCAGTCTTTCTTGGAGAATAAAAAGGAAGATCTGGCAAACTGGGCTCTTATTAACATTTGGAACTGTTAGTATTCTCTCTTGCTCACCTCTTGACATCACCTGCTGGCCCCTGGGGACATCTGAGTTTGACATCCCCAGGTACATTCCATCCACCTTAGCAGATGGTAAACTCCTTGATGAGGGGACAAGTTTTGTTTGCTTCTGCAGCCTCCCACAGTAGATGCTAACAACTTTTGTTCTAAATGAACACATTTTTTCATATTTTTATTATTCAACAAAGTTTCTTAAGCTCACTTGCTCCTGATTAAAACTGTATGAAATAATACATGCACCTCAGATTTACTTAGTTTTCTCCCAAGAAGTCTAAAGCTTTTCCTCATAGCATCCTCATATGGTATATGGAAATTTCATATAAAGGAAGTTTAGGGCTTTAATTTCTTTGATTAAGGCAAAAAGCCATAGAGTTAAGAGGAGAGAGTGGACTGTAAACCAACGGTCCCATTTCTGGCTTCACCTTAGAATCACTTGAAAAGTTTTAAACAAATGAAGATTCCTGGACACCATTCCCAGAGATTCTGACTCATTTGATTCATTTTCTTAAGCTCTCTGGTTGTATTGCACAGCCAGGGTTGAGACCATTGATTTAAACCAGGGGTTGGCAAACTACGACCCACAGGCCAAATTTGACCCACTGCTTGTTTTTGTCATGGACTAAGAAATTTTTACATTTCAAATGGTTAAAAAAAAAGGCAAAAGAATAATATTTTATGACAACTTAAAATTACATGAAATTCAAATTTCAGTGCCCATAAAGTTTTTATTTTTTATTATTTTTATTTTTATTTACTTATTTTTGAGACGGAGTCTTGCTCTGTCGCCAGGCTGGAGTGCAATGGCGTGATCTCGGCTCACTGCAATCTCTGCCTCCCAGGTTCAAGCGATTCTCCTGCCTCAGCCTCCCCAGTAGCTGGGACTACCGGCACATACCACCATGCCCGGCTAATTTTTGTGTTTTTAGTAGAGACGGGGTTTCACCATGTTGGCCAGGCTGGTCTTGAACTCCTGACCTCAAGTGATCCACCCGCCTCGCCTCCCAAAGTGCTAGGATTACAGGCATGAGCCACCATGCCTGGCCGTAATAAAGTTTTAATAAAAACACTGCCAGGCTCATTCATTTACAAACTGCCCATGTCTGTTGGCAACTGCAATAGAGACCATACGACCTGCAAAACCTACAACATTTACTATTTGGCCCTTCCTGGAAAAAGTTTGTGACCCCTGGTTTAAACCTTCAAAGTAGTGCAATATACTAGTCATAATATGGCCAGAAAAGCAATGTAAGTTTGAAAAAGGAGAATTTACATATATGCTAATGCTGGTTCATGGAACTTTCTTTACATTCACCTCACCACTGACAGGAAACCTAATCTCAAATTCTACCCAGGTGGCAATGTTCTTTGAGTGAGAATGTTCACTGCTGTAGTTCTAGTCAGATGACTGGTGATTACTTTCATAGATTTCCAGGCCTGGTTTTTGGTGTATTCTGCATCAACAAGTTTTGGGTTTTTCCGAGACAGAAGAATGAGAGGATCTCGTTCTGGACTTGTCCTATAAAAGAAACACGTGACATAAAACTGTGTGGCCTGTATTAGAAAACTGTTCCCAATCCCTGAAAGGTGAGCAGGACTAGGACCCAATGCAATGACTCTGCACAAGTGGACAATTCACTGGTGACGTGACAGCGGAGGAGGGGTATACTGGGTACTGCAGCATCTAGGTCATCCAGGGCTGGTCCCCTCTGTACCTTTAGGGTTGGGGGGTACTTGGCCCTTCTTTGCTTGCATTTGGTCTTGAAGGGTATGTTGTTCAGGTCACTATAGTCAAATCCCAGGGAATGATTTCCCTTTTAGGAAAGTTCATGTGGCTTCTATAATCACTGGTGCTCATAACTGTGAGGCTAGGTAGTCACGACTCACTAAAACAGCTACATGACCTTTGTTATGTATGCTCTGTACAGCCCAGTATAATATTTAATTTAAAAAAAATGCACAAAAACCAAAGGGCTTAAAAACCTGACGACTGTATGTGGAAGAATTTCTAGTGATGTTCCAAGTAGCAGAGGGTCTTGACATGTGAGGCATCATGGATTCCTTGATAATCTGTTAAGAACTATGAACCAACCCTCTCTCCTTCCCAGAAAAATGCACATATCCTCACATAATTTCAAGGGAGTCCTAAAACTCTTGAAGTCCAGACATGGTCCCCAAGTTAATTTGTGACTTCAAGATTTAAGAATCAGAGAAGTTGGTAAGAAACAGGACATAGTAGCTGGATAATCCATTTACCTCCTAAAGTCTAGCTCCGAAGTGAAGAGGAGGGTGAAGAGGGAGTATAATCTCTGGCAAGGACTCACTTGCTAAAACTACAAAACCCTGCTCCCTTCATGGTCTTTTCTATTCATCTGCTCCACAGATATTTATCATATATTGACATGCTAGGAACTGTTCTTGGCCTTGGGACTATGGAGCTGAACAACACAGGGTCCTCCTACTACCTTTGCCATTTTTCTCTTCTCTTTCCTCCCTGCTCCCTTCTTCATTTTCAGCAGTCTCAGTCTGTGCTCTTAACCACTATTTGGCAGCCACAGGGTGTGATAAAAAAGGCAGTCAAGAGATATGGTGATGAGTCCTGCTCTGCATTAACCAGCAGAGTACCGTGGCATGATCATAAGCTACTCCTAGGGACTGTAAGAAGACACCCATCTGTTGTGTTTGGCATCACATAATCAATGACCGACACATTTGTGACACTATGTAAAATATCTGTTAAATGACTGAAATGGATGAACTTTACTTCTTTGAATATCAACTCAATCAATGGCGATTTCGGCAAATAATGTGAATTATTCTCGAATCTAAAATTGTGATTCCACATTTCTTTCTTTGTTATCTTAGCTTTCCCTTTGAACTACAGAGCTTGTCATACCCTCAAAGTTACTTACATTTTACATTACTTGGAAGAATATCTTTGTAAAATGTCAGAAAATAACTCACCTTGATCCTCGGAAATATGCTGTAGAGTTTTTCTTTTTCCATGGCCACTGTGCTGCTGACCTAAGAATATAGAATTTAATTAGTTTCAATATATCTTTTTCAACTATATAAGAATGTGCTTTAACCATTTCTGAAGATTAGTTCAGAGCTTCATATTTCTTTTTTTTTTTTGAGACGGAGTCTCGCACTGTCGTCCAGGCTGGAGTGCAGTGGCGCGATCTTGGCTGACTGCAAGCTCCCCTTCCTGGGTTCATGCCATTCTCCTGCCTCAGCCTCCTGAGTAGCTGGGACCACAGGCGCCCGCCACCACGCCCGGCTAATTTTGTGTATTTTTTAGTAGAGACAGGGTTTCACCGTGTTAGCCAGGATGGTCTCTATCTCCTGACTTCGTGATCCGCCTGCCTCGGCCTCCCAAAGTGCTGGGATTACAGGCGTGAGCCACTGTGCCTGGCCAGAGCTTCATATTTCTAAGTAAGTCTAATCAAAGTCACTCAAAAGAAAAAGCCCTAAAGGACACTTTGTTTCCTTTTGCTACCATTTCATTGCTCTGGAGGTGCTACCCAGTTGTATCTACAAATCTACTCCCCATTAACAAGTTAACAACATTGAAAGAAAAGCCCCCAAACCCTGAAGGTCATGATTAGGTCTGTTTATAATTTGGCAAATGTGGATTTCCTCTGTACTTTAAGTAGGGTGCTACTGATGAAATTAATTATGTGTACAGAACTGCAAAAAAATAAAAAAGCATCAGAAATGGAATGAAAGGGAAATCACTCTCTGATTTTATGTTTTCCATAGGTGGGAAGTGTCATCAGATTTAGTTTGATATTTGAAAAGCACCTTTGTATTCTTAAAGCCAGACTAAGTGCTCTATAAAGATGAAGTCCTTGAAAGTCAGATCTCAGTACACATTACCATGACCAGCCTTCCTTACTGAAACTGCTAGCTCACAGATGCATCATTCTTAACTTGCTTCGTAGGAACCCTCCCTGCACAGAAGTCTGCACAGCATCTTCTCTGAAAAAGGAAGGGAAGGCTGAACTGAAGTTAATGAGGGATTGATGGGCTGGATTACAGTAACGGAGAAACTTAGGATATAAACTTTCTAGGCACAGGTCCTTTTCAGATACATATAATGTCATGCTGCTCATTTTCACTCAGCTGAGAACGCTGCTCAGTATTTTCCAGGCCCTCAGACCTCCACCCTCAGCCAACGTGGCTCATCCTCTGGCCTTTTCTGGATGGATCACCTTTACCTGATTCTCCAGTCTAAGGCCAGAACTATCTTGTTTTCCCCATACTTCTTCCTGCCCAAGCAGAGACACTATAGCACTGGATTTTTGTTGTTTTGTTTTTAGTGGAAAATGTTTCATGCTCCTCATGCAAAGTTCTCATGAAAAAGCATAAAGATAAAAGTAAGAAGTCGTCTGGAATCTCCCTGTCCAGAGGTAACAATGTAACATTTTAGCCGAGAATTTCCTTGCAATCATTTATTCATATTAGTAGCTTTCAACTGGGGGTAATTTTGCCCGTCCCTCCCACCCAGGGGACATTTGGCCATGTCTGTAGACATTTTTGATTGTTACTACTAGGGGACTGCTACTGGCATTTAGTGGGTAAAGATCAGAAATGCTGCTGAACAATCCTACAGTGGTTAGGACAGCTCCCAGGACAAAGAATTATCCAGCCCCAAATGTCAGCAACACTAGTACTGAGAAACTTTGCTCTATGTAACAGAGGTCACACCATACATACTGTTAGGTAACAATCTTAATAGGAAATATAAATAATAATAACAGCCAACATCTATATAGCACTTCACTATGTTACAGACATTGTTTTAAGTGCTTTGTAAATAAAAAATCATTCTCACAATCTTAAGAGGTAGGTTTTATCACCCCTATTTTACAAATGAGGTCCTTTAGAGGTTAAGCAACTTGCACAGAGTCATGCAGCTAATAAGAGCCAGGATTTGAACCCAGAGTTTTTAAAACCTACACTGCCTTTCCATTCATGCACGATATTCCATTTTATAATCTCTGGCAAAGACTCACTGCAAAAATTCCATTTTATAGTCATGTTATGATTCACTTCATCCTTTATTGATGGACTTTTAGGTAGTTTCCAACTTTCTGCTCTAAGAAACAACATGGTAGTAAACATCCTTGTACACAAATCTTTGCACATTCATCTGATTAATTCCTTAGGATACATTCTAGACATGAAACAGCTAGGTCAAAGGATACACAGTATACATTTCCAATTTTGATACATATTGTCAAACTATCTAACAAAACATGTATCAATTTATACTCAAAGTTACTTCTCTTTATTTCCTTGGCTCCTGGGGAAGCTGTGTTTCATATACACAAACCCAAACTGTGTATCACTGTTCTCTCTCTTTCATTCTCCTAACCTACCCATCCTCCCTCAAAAGACCTAGGTTAGGACTTGTTTCTCCAGGCAAGTGCTAACGGTGGCCACCACAGCCTGGTGCTACCCCAGCCCTCTTTTTTAAACCCTCTCTGACAGTAACAAATGAAATCTTCGATCTGTAAAGAACAATGAATTCTTCTACAGAGTGAAATATAAATCAGTGGGCACAAACTCCCAAAATATCAGAAAAATAGAATGAACAGTGGCAGGCAGACATCAGTGCAGATGGATAAACAAGCAGATTATTAAATTTTCAAGGTAACAAATGAACATCATTAGAGATTCTAAACAGAGGGTTCTAAAAAACAAAATTGTATTTCTATAACCATGAATAAATTCAATTGAATAAAATGGGAAGGTATCAAAAGAAAAAAGTATTCATATAAGATTAGACTTTAAAACATTCTATCTGCCTAAAAATTGCTTACTAGTTTACCTGGGGGAAAATGGTATTAATAACTACACGGTGGAGTAACTGGATAACACCTTGACCCCAGGAGTTTGAGTCCAGCCTGGGCAACATAGTGAGATCCTGCCTTTTAAAAATAAACAAACAAACAAATAAATAAAGTGACTCTTTCATATGTACTGACATGAAACAAAGACATGGAAAGATTACTTAGATACACCAATAAGTTAGGGGGAAAGTTGCCTGAGTTATACATATTTGTAAAATTTTATGAGCATATATAGGTTTCATAATCAGTAAAAATGTTTTTAAAGATTTTGAAAACAAAGCAGCTGCATGGCAGGTGGGAAAAGAGCTACAAAAAGAAGAATGTGAAAAGGGTATTTGCAAGTACCTGAGGAGGGGGGGAAAGGATTAGAAAATTAAGGCCAAGGCCAAGAATAACTTAGGGAAAAAAAAGTTTAAAACCTTTTTTCCAGCTTAGTGTGGTGGCTCATGCCTGTAATCCCAGCACTTTGGAGGCCAAGGTGGGAGGATCACTTGAGCCCAGGAGTTTGAGATCAGGCTGGGAAACATAGCAAGACCTGTCTCTACAAAAAATTTTAAAAAACAACCAAGAAACAAAAAAACCACACCTTTTTCCCCCCCTCTCAAAATTATGTTCAAAACCCAAAAATAAACAAGAAATGACAGTCTCAATGTCAGGAAAACACAAGGAATATTAACCAGTAAAGTAGGTTGGATAATGCACTTGGAAACCTGGTCTTTAGGCCTAGATTTGCTTCTGACCTTGACCAGATCACTAAACCTTTCTGTACCTTCATTCCCTTATCCCTGAAATAAAGGGCTGGACAAAGACAATTTCTAGTTCCAGTTCTGTAAAATATGAGACTAAGTTATTATTTTTTAAAATTTCCAAATTATACCCACTAGAGAAGTTTGTTTTTTAACAAAGGGCTCTACCCACCACTGAGGACTGCAGCCCTGTACGTTTCTTCAGGAAGGGAATATTACCTTAATCCTCTTTGAATCTTCAGCCACACTTGGGAGAGGTGATAGGTATTTATGGAAACAAGGTTGAATTGTTTGCTTTCCTTATACCTGAGAGAAGGCCTATAATGACTGTGTTTCCGGAAGTTCTCTAATTAAGCACCAAAGTTGTTTGAATCATGATGTAAAATGTAGCTAGGTAAGAAATACCTACAGCTTGGATGAGCTACACAATCTAAATTCTGAAATGATAGCAGGATGGAGTCAACAGGCCAAGGCATGTCTCAGTCATGAATCAGAGAGGATCTGGAATAAGCTTGTACTTGAGATGCTTATGGGACATTTATGCTCCCTCAGCCCTGCCTAAACTACTTAGCTCTCAATTGCCAAGTATGTTTATATTCTTCCAAATAATTTTCTATCCCCCCTATGACGAGGTCATTCATTTTTTCTTACTATGAAAGAATGCACTCTTATTTAAAGAATCTTAAGTATAGAAAAATTGAAAATACTGACTGAGCACAGGGGCTCGTGCCTGTAATCCCAGCACTTTGGGAGGCCGAGGTGGGTGGATCACTTGAGGCCAGGAGTTCCAGACCAGCCTGGGCAACATGGCAAAACCACATCTCTACTAAAAATACAAAAAATTAGCCAGGTGTGGTGGCACATGCCTGTAATCCCAGCTACTCGGGAGGCTGAGGCAAGAGAATTGCTTGAACCTGGGAGGCAGAGGTTGCAGTGAGCCGCGATAGCACCACTGCACTCCAGCCTGGGAGACAGAACATGACTGTGTCGCAAAAAAAAAAAAAAAGAAAGAAAAATTTAAAATACAAAACAAAAGTCTCTGATAATCCCTTGCAAAGAGGCATTGCTGATAGTTTAGGATAGACTATTCTGCCCCTTTCTATGGATATGTAAATATTATTAGACACGTACAAAATTGTTTACACTACAGTTTTCTGTCTTTAATTTTTAACTTAAAAATTAGTCACTTAAAAATAAATAGGCTGGGCGCGGTGGCTCACGCCTGTAATCCCAGCACTTTGGGAGGCTGAGGTGGGCAGATCACCTGAGGTCAGGAGTTCAAGACCAGCCTGACCAACATGGAGACACCCCGTCTCTACTAAAAATACGAAATTAGCCGGGTGTGGTGGCACATGCCTGTAATCCCAGCTACTCGGGAGGCTGAGGCAAGAGAATCACTTGAACCTGGGAGGCGGAGGTTGCGGTGAGCTGAGATCACGCCATTGCACTCTAGCCTGGGCAAAAAGGGCGAAACTCCGTCTCAAAAAAAAAAAAAGTAAATAATTGGTTATATTCTATGGCTTATTTCAAGAAAACCCAGAAAGAGAAAAAATAAAACCTCTTTAAAGGACCTACCTTACCAGATCTTCTCTGAAGAGGTCCCACCGTCCAAGACCTGTAGGATAAATTGGCCAAACAGCAGGTCCCCCTTCCCAAAATGTCCAAGCAGGATACATGATATCATGGTACTCTGATGTCTTCAACAAAAACAGACAGGTCGTCCTAAATCAGTCTTGGAACAGTGAAAAGAGGCAACTGCAATCATGCCACAGGATCTGGACAGCCTTGGTTTAGTGTCACATTGTCAAAGATATATTTTCCCTATTTTCCAAAGTCTAGCCTGTAGACATTAAAAGGCAAAAGTGACTATGGATTAAAAGTCATGGGCTCACTGAATTCCAGAATTCAGAATCACATTAAAGGTCAGCTTTTTCAGTTCCCCCAAATTCTGTTTTTCTAGAGGATATATACTGTTAAGATTTCCAATTTAAGGAAACAATATGCCCAATTCTGAATAATCACAGAGCTCTCTCATTGTTTAACTATTACATTTAAGAGTTTACACTGTCTTACCAGTTTTTGGTTATTTCCCAATGGGTTTTTTTGAGAGTAAGAGCCAAGAAATACATGCAATGGTTAAGAGTGTGGGCTCCTGATGTGGATCACATGGGTTTGGATTCTGACTCCACCTCTTTACAGCTCTAGGCAAGTTACTTAATGGTTCTATGCCTCAGCTTCCTTATCACTGTAATGGGGGAAACAATAATATCAATAATATGATCTAACTAAAAGGTTTATTTTGAATATTAAATGAGTTGATACACGTAAAATTCTTAGAACAGTAGCTGGCACATTGTACATACTTGATAAATATTGGCTAGTGTTATCTCATACTATGGCACTGTTGGGCTCACATTGATTGGTCAATAAATTCTTGGTTATTCACTGATCGGGGTCAGAAGTATGGATGAGCAAAATGAGAAGGGGTGTTATCACATATCTTTTGAAAGAAGTTTGAGGTTGGGCACGGTGGCTCACACCTGTAATCCCAGCACTTTGGGAGGCCGAGACGGGTAGATCACCTGAGGTCAGGAGTTTGAAATCAGCCTGGTCAACATGGTGAAACCCTGTCTCTACTAAAAAATACACACAAAATAATAGCCGGGCATGGTGGCAGGTGCCTATAGTCCCAGATACTCAGGAGGCTGAGGTGGAGAATCACTTGAACCTGGGAGGTGGAGGTTGCAGTGAGCTGAGATCGCGCCACTGCACTCCAGCCTGGGCAACAGAGTGAGACTCTGCCTCAAAAAAAAGAAAAAAGTTTAAAGCCATATGTTCCCCCCTTTTTTTTTTTTTTTTGATCCACCTGCCTCGGCCTCCCAAAGTGCTGGGATTACAGGTGTGAGCCACTACACCTGGCCTCCATTTGTTCCCTTTTTATGGTTACTTCTGTTAAAAATCTGGCCACTGATAAACCTCTAACTCTACTATTTCTTCCACTGGAAATACATGTGCAATATGCTGTTTGCTGTCTCTCAAATATGTAAAAAATGTGATTCATCAAGCACCTTAAACATAACAGCTATTCAATAGAAGCTGCACAATTAACTATAAAGTTGACAGAGTAAAACTCTCCCTTGGAAACTAGAAGTCACTGATTTAAAAAACAGAAGGGAAGTAAAGATGAACGGAAAGTTAGTATACCGACGGTCATACTTTATTATCCATAGAAACAACAGATAGATAACAAACACGAAGTCCCTACTGACTTACATGGGAGCCTCTATCTGTTCTTCTGAGTGAGTTTCATGACAAACAATGGAACCAAACACTTTCGAGAAATGAGGCTAGACCATGGGAAATGCAACACAAATGTGGCCTCTGCCCACTTGCAACACAGGAAATAAAACAAGTCTAGGGAGAAAGTAAACTATGATAAAGAAAAAGTGGGGATAAAAGGTCCCTCTGCTTTAGACAAACCAAATCAGAAATAGTGTTCCTTTTCCCAAATTTCATGGGGTTTTCCTCAATTCACTCTTACCCCATAGAATCTTCCATCCACTCTCTTCTAGCCTTCCTGCCTTCACCCCCAAATGCTTTCCTTGTCTCTAGGGAACCAAGGCCCATCCCTGCCGATACAACATTTACATGAACCTGAGCACTGACAAGACATTCCTTGCCCCCAATTCCCCAAGCCCACAGGTGTATCCTAGCTACTCCAATCTTCCATGATGAGTCTAAAAGATCACCCCCTTGCATAGCCCTCTAGGCTATCTCCAGCCTATCCCTTCAATGCACGGCTTGTACACACACCGTGTGGAGTTATCTGGCACCTTCAGGTTCACTTTTAGCCACCCTGGGCCCCCGGAATATGGTGACAGATGGGACAGCTGATACCCAGCACTATGGCTGAATATATACATAGTAGGAGCTCAACAAACTTTTGGAATGAAGGTGTTCCCTAACTCCAAGCTTTCTTGGACCCCTTCCTCCCATGCTCTGTAAGATCTTCAAGACCCACCTCTAATTCCTGTAGGTTTCTCAGGCCTCTCACGCCCTAGCCTCCATCTCTAGCCCTATAGACACTCAAGCAATCTTACACTACTTACCAGCTCTCAACTTCATCTCCTCTGTCTTTTTGCTCAATCACTGTGATGCTAATAGAGACACAGACCCATTTCTGGACCTCAGTCCTCATCCTTACCATTATCCATCAGACTATGTCACCGGACAAAGATCTCATGCTCATATCCTAGAGGACCACTCTCCATCCACCCATGTGGCTCTCCCTGTACTTACCTTACTGAAGGAGAAGACTGGGATGGCAGGCTCCATCCATTTAGGAACCTGAGGATAATCTCGTACATTGATCACCATCTCCATGTCAGGGAGACGCCCGATCACTTCCAAAATAAAGTGCTCAACACCACTACACCTGTCAACCAGACATACCATAAATTCAGCAGAGTAGTGCCTGCAGGCTCTAGGACAAGGCGAGGTCCCATTCACATTTTAAAGTAAGACAAGCCAGTGTTCCAGTGTTCCATATCATCAGTCTACTGCAAAGTCTCCTGAAAACAATGCTTCTAAAGGGGCTATTCTGCTTTTTTGTATTGTGCAAGTTCACTCATA
Organism: Homo sapiens; assembly: GCF_000001405.40. Lineage (NCBI taxonomy): Eukaryota > Metazoa > Chordata > Mammalia > Primates > Hominidae > Homo > Homo sapiens. The sequence continues at coordinate 119,477,115 of NC_000003.12, read as the reverse complement.
GCTAAGCTGCTCCAGCTTACAATACTTAATAAAATTTTCCAAATAAATCGTCATAGCTTTGAAGGGAGTATTATTGCTACTTCTACCACTTTATTCATTCCAGTTCTTTTCTTTATTTCCCTTATATGGAATAGTTTAATTAGTAGACAAGATACAAACTCTCGTAATAGCTGAAATAGCTAATTTTCCACCTGTGTTCCTTTGGCTTTGCTCCTCACAAAGACACCATTTTTATTTCCATTATAATTAAGTCTCCTAGTTTATGAGAACAGATAGAAAACCTTTCATTACCTTCAACCTGAATAAAGAACATTATCAAAATCAGTTCTGCAAGCCAGAAAAAGTGTTATATACATAATCATAAATAGTGTAACACAGCTTTCTGACTAGATTCCCTGGGAAATCAGGGATTTCTTGAAAGAAAAAGAAGATACACTGACAGTTTAGCTTGTTTCTGCCTCATCCTCTGAGGTCCTGACCAGCACTATGCTAGGGGCAATATTCAAAGGCTTGATCAAAATTTTCTGGCAGCATGGAAATAACTGATTTAAAATATTGTTTTACTACTTGGGAGACTTAGGCAGAAGGGTTATTTGAGCCCAAGAGTTCTAGACCAGCAACATAGTGACACAGTAGGCAATGTAGTGAGCTCCTCTAGCCAAAAAAAAAAAAAGTGTTTTTTATATAGGGAGATAACTGCAAAAAATATCAACAGTTCACAAACATAGGAAAAGATGCTCAACTGTATTAATAATAAAGAAATGTCAATGAAACTAGATACCAATTTTACCAATCAGATTGGCAAAGATCAAAAAGTCCAATAGTGCAGTGTTGGTAAGGGTGTGAGATCTATTCACAGCATATGATATATCGGTTGTGGAAGTGTTTAGCCTCTTTGTAGGACAATTAGATTCTATTTACCAAGATTTCTCTTTTTTTAAGGTTTTTTTTATTTGAGGCAGGGTCTCTCGCTCTGCCACTCAGGCTGAAGAGTGCAGTGGCATGATCATGGCTCACTGTGGCCTCAAAAATCCTAGGCTCAAGCAATCTTCTCACCTCAGCCTCCTGAGTAGCTGGGACTACAGGTGTGTGCCAACACACCTGGCAACTCTGTATGTGTTTGTGTGTGTGTGTGTGTGTGTGTGTGTGTGTGTGTGTGTGGAGAGACAGTCTTGGTATGTTGTCCAGACTGATCTTGAACTCTTGGGCTCAAGTGATCCTCCCACCTCAGCCTCCCAAAGTGCTGGGATTACAGGTGAGAGCCACTGTGCCCAGCCTGTTTATCAAGATTTTTTTTTTTTTTTGAGATGGAGCCTTGCTCTGTGGCCCAGGCTGGAGTGCAATGGCGCAATCTCAGCTGACTGCAACCTCCACCTCGGGTTTCAAGTGATTCTCCTGCCTCAGCCTCCCGAGTAGCTAGGATTACAGGCACAGGCCACCATGCCCAGCTAATTTTTTTATTTTTAGTAGAGATAGGTTCTCACCATGTTGGCCAGGCTGGTCTTGAACTCCTGACCTCAGATGATCTGCCTGTCTCAGCCATCCAAAGTGCTGGGATAACAGGCGTGAGCCACCTCACCCAGCCTATTTATCAAGATTTTAAAATGACATTAATTGCCCTAGTTATTATACTTTTAGGAATTTAGCCTACATATATATTTACATGAGTGTTCACAGTAACAAGGATGTTCACTGCAGCATTGCTTGCGTTATCCAAAAAGCAAAGTGATGTGGTAAGGGATAATCTAAATGTCCACTGATAGAGGGCTGAATAAAGAAATCCATATAATAAGTTATTATGCAGCCATGAAAAAGTGAGGCATTCTCTATGGACTCTTATGGAACAATCTCAAAATCTACTGTTATATGGAAAAGAAATCTAAGTGCAGAACAGAAGACAGCATGTTTTATTTTGTTGATGAGTCTAGATGCTTGTAAATGTACAGACTATTTCTAGAAGGATATACAAGACACAGAATTCTAATTGTCTTTTGAAAAGAGGTCTCAGGGACTAGCAGTCTGAGGGTCTGAGGTGGAAGAGAAACTTCCTTTTCACTGAATGTCTTTTGGAGGTATCCAAATATTTTAGCATGGTAAAATATTTGGATATTTTACATATCCAAAGTGTATGTAATACTCTTTGACACTAAAAGAAAAAAAAAACTAGTTAAAAAATGTAAAAAAATATTGCAGTACAATTTATACATTACAGCTAAAATGCTCGTATTTCTTTCACATTTGGCTTTTAATTTAGTTTAATTTAATTTTTATTTTTTGAGATGGAGTTTCTTTCTTGTTGACCAGGCTGGAGTGTAATGGCGTGGTCTTAGCTCACTGTAACCTCCGCCTCCCGGGTTCAAGCGATTTTCCTGCCTCAGCCTCCCAAGTAGCTGGGATTACAGGCGCCTGCCACCATGCCTGGCTAAATTTTTTTGTATTTTTAGTAGAGTCGGGGTTTCACCATATTGGCCAGGGTGATCTCGAACTCCTGACCTCAAGTGATCCACTCACCTCAGCCTCCCAAACTGCTGGGATTACAGGTGTGATCCACCATGCCCGGCCACATTTGGCTTTTCAAATATACTCTCTTATATGATTCCATTTATAGAAAACTAGAAAATAATCTATAATTCGAGAAAGTAGTCAGCGGCTGCCTGAAGGTGGGGCATGGGGAGGAGAGGGAGACAGGGAGACGCAGGAGAGAGGGAATGCAAAGAGGCAGAAGGAACGTTTTGGTTGTGATGGAAGGTTCATTATCTTGGTATAAACATACATGAAGACTTATCAGTGTACACTGTAGGTTTTATTTTTAATTGATAAATAATAATTGTACATATTTACAGGATACAATGTAATGTTTTGATATATGTTTACATTGTGGAATGAGTATATCAAGCTAATTAACATATCCTCACATACTATTTTTTTGTTGTGGGAACATTTACATTGTATACTTTATATGTAATTTATGTTAACCACACCTCAATAAAGCTGTTATTAAAAAATACCATTACTCCTCATCTTTGAAATGACTTGTCTCTAGCATTAATTAGATAAACCTCTGGTTCCTCTGCTCATCCTTGAAATGTGGAGTTTATATTTTATTTTATTCAAAACTGAGTTTTTAAAATGTCACATAGATTTCTGAAACTGGATGAGTTAAAAGTATCTAGACCTGCCTGTAATCCCAGCACTTTGGGAGGCCGAGGCAGGCAGATCATGAGGTCAGGAGTTTGAGACCAGCCTGACGAACGAGGTGAAACCCCGTCTCTACTAAAAACACAAAAATTAGCCAGGTGTGGTGGCGGGCGCCTGTAGTCCCAGCTACTCAGCAGGCTGAGGCAAGAGAATGGCTTGAACCCGGGAGGCAGAGGTTGCAGTGAGCCGAGATCACACCACTGCACTCCAGACTGGGTGACAGAGTGAGATTCTCTCTCTCAAAAAAAAAAAAAAAAGTATCTAGACGTAGAAAGATATTATTTCTAACTATATGGGAATCTTTGAGATATCATACGACTGTGTGCATTTCATTCAGGATTGTGTTTTGGAATACTGCATTCTATTCGTATTTTGTCCCTCTCTGTTTTCCTTAGTTGTATATGTAGCTAGGATAGGGAACTTTCAGTGTCATTGGAAATATATATTATTTTATTGCTAATGAAGGTCCTGTACTCCCTTCAGAACATTTCTAAGCTCATGATTATGACCAAAATGTTCTGAGCTCAGGAAGAAGAGAATTGTGCCTTTCAGAAACTTTGAAAGCATTTCATTTCATTTGGCAATTGTTCAGCAAACTATTAAACATTGGGTAAGCTTTCAAAGTCCAACAATGTCTATATTCTTATTTTATTTCTCATCTGTGGAAATCAAAAATTCTCCTAGACTCACAATTTGTACTTAAAGTCTCTATTATTGAGTTCCAAATAATGAAACAAATGTCTGTTTAAAATACCTTAACGATTTTTTCCTCTACAACCTTATTTCCTCCGATATCTGATAGCCAAAGGGTAACTGATTTCCTCAGGGTAGTGAGATATTAAATAATCTTTCTTTTTTATTGTTCTTTATTATTATTTATTTGAGACAGGTCTTGCTCTATCACCCTGGCTGGAGTGCAGTGGCATAATCACGGCTCAGGCTTACTGCAGCCTTGACCTCCTGGGCTCAGGTGATCCACTCACTTCAGCCTCCCAAGTAGCTAGGACTACAAACACATGCCACCACACTCAGCTAATGTTTGTATTTTTTGTAGAGATGAGGTTTTGCCATGTGGCCTAGGCTCGTCTTGAACTCCTGAGCTCAAGCGATCTGCGTGCATTGACTTCCCGAAGTGCTGGGATTATAGGCACAAGCCACCATGCCCAGCCTGTTTTCTTGTTTACATTTATTTATTTATTTATTTAGACAGTTTCGCTCTTGTTTCCCAGCCTGGAGTGCAATGGCACAATCTCAGCTCACCGCAACCTCTGCCTCCTGGGTTCAAGCAATTCTCCTGCCTCAGCCTCCTGAGTAGCTGGGATTACAGGCATGCGCCACCACAGCTGGCTAATTTTGTATTTTTAGTAAAGACAGGGTTTCTCCATGTTGGTCAGTTTGGTCTCAAACTCCCGACTTCAAGTGATCCGCTCATCTCAGCCTCCCAAAGTGCTGGGATTACAGGCTTGAGCCACCGCACCCGGCCTTGTTTATATACTTATAAGAATAAATATTAAATTCTTACAAAGTTGTTATTAAATACAAATAATACAAATCTTTATGAACGAATCGATAATTTTTTGCAACTCTGCACATTTATTTCACTTTTAATGACAGAATAGGGATTGTTTAGAAAGATGCTCTTACATAAGGGAATATTATGCCCTCTGAGTTTTGTACCTTCTAATTTTATAAAGATCTGAGTTAAAAAAAAAAAACAAACTCCAAAAATAAAGTTTATCTTTTGGTGTGTGCAATGCTGCCTAAACCCAACCTCCACCCTCAGCCCATGACCCTCCCTGCTTACCACCCTGCCTTCAGCCCACTGACATGGTACCTCAGGTCTCACACCTGAAGTTCTGAAGTCCTGGCTAGTGTAATTTGCAGCACTAGTTACTCCTCTTTATTTATTTATTTTTTAATAGACAGGGTCTCACTCTGTTGTATTATTTGCCACTGCCGGATTATTTGCCATAATCCAACTCCTGGGCTCAAGTAATCCACCACAAAGTGCTGGGATCACAGGTGTGAGCCACCACCACCCCATCTAGTTACTCCTCTTGACTCTACCACCTCCCCTTGAATATTCAGTATCTAGAACTACACTGGCCGATGACAGACATTCAACCAATTCCTCTTCCTCCTTCAGCCTAGCTCCCTCCTGCTAGGCCTGCTAGGCCTCATCAGCCTGTGTCCTGCCGCTACTATATCCCAGGGAAGGAGCAGAAGAGGCAGAGCCACCACCAGTACAACCAGTGATGAACCAAGCCTCACAGAGGAGACAGGCTTTGAGAGGAGCTCGCAAGAAAAATTCCCAGGCAAGGAGAAGAGCTCGTCACTATTTCATAGTCCGCCTGAAATGTGAGGAGGGATCTGCTTGTTAGTCCCATGAATTGGCTCCTCTATAAAAGGGTATCAAGCCCATATGTAATAAAGTCAGAAGATATATCTACCTCGTTAACTCTTACCTTGAGGGGAACATGCAGTCATTTTCCCGGTACAGTCTGTTCTTAGTGATCTGATAGTGGGTCCCTAGCTTCCGTCTGACTACCTCTGCCATCATCTTCCTGGAGATGCCTCCTCGGAAAGGAGTTAGATCCTCTTCTATGACACTGGGAAAGAATGGGAGTCATCAAGGAAAGCAGGCCAAGAGAGTGGTGCCATTCCACCTACTTCCTAAGTGCATTTAGGTTTCGTATTAGAGAACACAGTAAGTGGAAGGAAAGAATCGAGAGTGAGAATGAGCAGCTCTTCCCTAGAAGCCCTGTAGGTAATCTGAAACATCAAATGCAATAAAGCAATAAAAAGTAAAAAGCGGGTCAATGTCTCTTCTTCCTCCTTCCATCTGGATTGCCCCTCCCTTGGCAGTTCTGTATTTCTCTTTCGCTACTCATGCCACACCTGTGTCCTTCTAGTCACTTCAGTCCTCCTGGCATCTCCTCCCAATCCCACAGGAGGTGAAGTTTACGCCTTACAGTCTAGCACTGACTCTCTTGTTCTGGTCTGTCTGGTCCACACTCTCCCCCACAAGCCCTTACTCTGGTAGCGTGACAGCAGTAACCAAAATTACACTATTTTGTATTCCTTTTAAAGTGAGTGCATAGTAAGTTTTCAATAAGTATCATAAGCATCCAAGGAATTTTTTGAGGAGTCAAAAATAACATAAAAAGGAGCTTAAAAGACCCTGTTATTTAGCTGATGAAGAATCTGAGACCCAGAGGAGTTGAAGTGGCTCGGCACAGGGGTAACCAGTGGGAGTACCGGCACCAACACCCAAGTCTGTTTTCAGAGTTATCTTTCTACCATACCTCATCCCGGCCCTGATGTGCATTCTCTCTCTTTTTTGAGACGGAGTCTCACTCTGTCACCCAGGCTGGGGTGCAGTGGCATGATCTGGATTCAATGCAACCTCTGCTTCCCGGGTTCAAGCGATTCTCCTGCCTCAGCCTCCCGAGTAGCTGGGATTACAGGCACGTGCCATCATGCCCAGCTAATTTTTGTATTTTTAGTAGAGACAGGGTTTCACCATGTTGGCCAGGCTGGTCTCGAAATTCTGACCTCAGGTGATCCACCTGCCTTGGCCTCTCAAAGTGCTGGGATTACAGGCATGAACCACCATGCCCAGCCTGATGTGCATTTTCTAAAGATAACCATCAGGAAATTTAGGACTAGATTCAGCGATAGATGGGTTTATTTCCTCAACAATATTTATCGAGCACGCACTGACAGCTAGCACCAGGGAGACAACAGCAAATAAGACACAGACCCTGACCTCAGGAAGCTTGCAGCCCAGTGGGAAAAACAGATGCACATGCACTGAATCCCGCAGTGAGTCAGTGGTTAGGTTGACACCACCTGAGCCTTTCCCATGCGAGAGCATTTTTATTCCCCAGAAATAGAAAAACATCCTTGCCTTTCTGACCACTGCAACCAAAATCTCTCAAGGATGTTAGAATACTTCCTGTGACAGCAACTAAACTCTCAAAGACACATCAAAGAAAAGAACTCACCCATGGTAGCAGCTGCAGTTTTGACTTGAACATGGTTCGTAATTCTCCAAAGACCTGTTAATTTGGTCAATAAATACTTTCCATTTTGAACCTTTAAAAAGTGAAGTAAATGAGAGTTAAAAAAATTTTCCTGAATGTTATTTGCTGACACCACACCAACAGAAGAAACAGAAGACCAAAACTTTCAGAAATCCCCTTCCCATCCCACTGATGGAAACGAAACGCTAGGGAGGAATTTTTGTGTGTGCAACTCCCACGCTCACGTCAAGTCTGTTCCTCTATCCGGCTGTCAGGTGTCCAAGAAACTGGAAAATTCCCAAGCTTAATGCTCAACCCTCAGAATGCTATGGATAGTGACGCGGACTCTCACTTTCTACTAATCAAATTGAACTCCACAAAGAGGATCAGTTAAAAGCTACAGACATTAAACCCCTCTTCTCTTCTGGCAACGCATATACACACACGCTCGCGCGCACGACATTTGCCCCCATCCCCGACCCCTCAGTGTTTCAGGCAGGTCCAGAGTAGCCAAGCACGGGCCACGCCTCCTGCGGGTGAACGGGGAATTCCCTCTCCTCCCTGTCATTCTGAATTCCGGGGAATGGGTTACTCTCCAGGGTCCAGAGCAGGAGCAGAGACCCCGGCACCTCACTCTCCGCCGCAAGGCGCCCCGGTGCCTTCTGCCCAGCTCCGAGCTACAGCGGCCACGGCATCTTCCCGGGAGCCGGCCGCGCGGGGGAGCGCCTCGGGACTCCGGCCAGACCCCGAGCCCAAGGGGCAGGCTCGGCACTGCCCGGAGCCCACCTGACTCCTTCTGGCGGCCCTGCGCTGAGGGCAGGAGGAACAACAGCAGCCAGAGCCGAAGCGGCGAGCTAGCCCACCACTCCATCGCCGGCAGACCTACTGCAGATTCCCCGCTGCGGCGCTGGCGGAAGCGCGGCCCCGCACAAAGATGGCCCGGGAGCCGCAGCACGTGGGCGGCGGGTCGCCCCGCACAAAGATGGCCACCGTGGCCCCACCACCCTTCCTCCAGTCCCCAGCCTTGAGGCGGAGTTTCCCTGAGAAGGCTGCGCCGGGAAGGTGGGGAGGATAAACGAATGGACCAGTTGCCTATCCTCCCTCCCTGGCACCCCTGGGAAAATAGGTCTGCAGCCAGAAAACTGAAGGTCAGAGAGGGTATGTTTCACGGTTAGTGGCACAACCAAGACTTGGCATAGAGCCTAGGCCAAACAGTTCTTCTCTTGACGTCAAATTGCCTCTTATCAAATAGCATAAATTTGTTGAGCATGTGTGTGTGTGTGTGTGTGTGTGTGTGTGTGTGTGTACAGCACGGTTAGACCCCAAAGGTTGCAATTAGCATAGCAGGGATCCCTTTGTAATAGGAATTTATAACAGTTGGGGTGACTTAGACGTAGGAAAAAAGATCAATGGTGTTAAATAAAGTTTATGGGAGGTCGTTGTTTTGGACAGAACTCTGGCACTAGGCCTCAAGAGAGCAGACAAAACCAGAATGGAGGCAACTTGTCCTAGGTGCTGCGTAATTAAACTCAGCTTTAAAAGGGGTCAGTTTTCCAACAAATAGGAGAAGGGGCCCATATACCTGAGCTGGCATGATAAAGAAGTCCCCTCTGATGTAACTCTTTGAGGAAAGTAACTTCAAAATGACCAATCTGCTTTTTGTTCCTTATTTCTGCTTTCTTCAGCCCTTTTCTGCCTATAAGCCCAACCCCTTCTGCTCAGCTCATTAGAACACTTTTCTGTTTTATAGATGAGATGCTGCCTGATTCATGAATCACTAATAAAAGCCAATTCGATTTTTTTTTTTTTTTGAGACAGAGGACAGTCTAACTCTGTTGCCCAGCCTGGAGTGCAGTGGCACAATCTTGGCTCACTATGACGTCTGCCTCCCGGGTTCAAGCAATTCTTCTGTCTCAGTCTCCCGAGTAGCTGGGATTACAGGAGTGTGTCACCATGCCCGGGTAATTTTTGTATTTTTAGTAAAGACAGGGTTTCACCGTGTTGGCCAGGTTGGTCTCAAACTCCTGACCTCAGGTGATCTGCCCACCTCGGCCTCCCAAAGTGCTGGGATTACAGGCGTGAGCCACCATGCCTGGCCAAGAACTTTAAACTAAATTTGATGAAATTTTGTTTCTTGACAGTGGGCAACATGATACTGGACAATATAGGTATATAGTATAGTACAGGTATATATCTTTATACAGGTATATATAGGTCAGTGTAGATATATTTAGTAATCATAGAACTACAAATATTTATCTATTTTCTTTTTTTTTTTTTTTTTTGAGATGGAGTTTCGCTCTTGTTGCCCAGGCTGGAGTGCAATGGTTCAATATCGGCTCACCACAACCTCCGCCTCCTGGGTTCAAGCAATTCTCCTGCCTCAGCCTCCTGAGTAGGTGGATTACAGGCTTGCGCCACCACACCCGGCTAATTTTGTATTTTTAGTAGAGATGGGGTTTCTCCATATTTGTCAGGCTGGTCTCGAACTCCCGACCTCCGGTGATCCACCAGCCTCGACCTCCCAAAGTGCTGGGATTGCAGGCGTGAGCCACTGCGCCCAGCAATATTTATCTATTTTCTAAAATGTACATGGTTATATCCCTAAGCCTTGTGGAAATATGGAAATACAGGGAAGTACAAGATCAAATCTGTGCTCCCAGGAGTTTAGAACTAGTAGGGAAGACAAATATGCTTCCTTAGAGATAGTTTACAATTTAAGGCAATAGTTAAGTGCCACTGGTTTCAGTGGAGGAAAAGATCAATATGAAGTGGAAATCTGGAGAAAGGGGTAGGAGGGGTATATTTTGTACTGAAGAAAAGGAAACGTTACAGTTAAGGAATATTGTGCTGGAGTCACTAAAAATATGGGAGCCATAATTTGCAGAAGGTGGGGATCAAATTTAGCTTGACAGTAGTGGAGGCTTTAGGATGCACGTTAAGGAATGGTGGAAGAGAAAATAATGTTGATTACCTAGGAATGGGCCGTATCGGTCACATATTACACCCATATGGGCATTTGGTCTATATTCCACCAGGGCAGAACCACCCAGTTTTTGTATGAGTGAGGCTCACTTTGGGTGAACAGACAGGAAAAAAAATGTATATCCAAAACTATAGCATATTTCTTCTGGAATCCAAATGAAACTTTAGTCAAAAATTTTTCTACTTCCAGGAAGGTGTGCAGTACAGTCATGTGTTGTTTGACAATGGGAATATGTTTTGAGAAATGTGTCAGGCAATTTTGTTGTGTGAACATCATAGATTATACTTACACAAACCTAGCTAGTATAGCCTACTACATACTGAGGATATTTGGCATAGCCTATTGCTCCTAGGCTACAAACCTATTCAGCATGTTACTGTACTGAATATTACAGGCAATTGTAACACAATGGTAAGTATTGGTGTATCTAAACATTGAAAAGGTACAGTAAATGAGTAAAAATGATACACCTGTATAAGGCACTTACCATGAATGGAGCTTGCAGGACTGAAAGTTGCTCTGGATAAGTCAGTGAGTGGTGAGTAAATGTGAACACCTAGAACATTACGCTACTATAGATTTTATAAACACTGTACAGTTAGACCATACTAAACTTATAAACACGTTTTTCTTTCTTCAGTAATAAATTAGCTTATTGTAACTTTTTTACTGTACAAACCTTTTTTTTTCAACTTTTTGACTTTGTAATAACACTTAGCTTAAAACACAAGCACATTGTACAGCCATACAAAAATATTTTTTCTTTCTTTCTTTTCCTTCCTTCCTCCCTCCCTCCCTCCTTTCTTTTCTTTTCTTTTTTTTTTTTTGAGACAGTCTCGCTTTGTTGCCCAGGCTAGAGTGCAGTGGTGCTATCTCAGCTGACTGCAACCTCTGCCTCCCAGGTTCAAGCAATTCTCGTGCCTCAGCCTCCTGAGTAGCTGGCATTACAGGTGTACACCATAACACCTGGCTAATTTTTGTATTTTTAGTAGAGACAGGGTTTCGCCATGTTGGCCAGGCTGCTGTCAAACTCCTGGCCTCCCAAAGTGTGGGGATTATAGGCATGAGCCACTGCATCCGACCTATTTTCTTTATTTCTATCTTTATTCTATAAGCTTTTTTCTATTTCTAAAATGTTTTATTTTGTTTTTTACTTTTTAAACTATTTTATTGAAAACTAATATGCAAACACACACGTGTGTGTTTGGGTCAGGCCTATGCAGGGTCAGGATCATCAATATCACCATCTTTCACCTCCACATCTTGTCCCTCTGGAAGATCTTCAGGGTCAAGAACACACATGGAACTGCCATCTCCTAGGATAACAATGCCTTCTTCTGGAATACCTTCTGAAAGACCTGCCTGAGGTTGTTTTACAGTTAACTTTCATTTTTTTAAAATAAGTAGAAGGAGTACAATCTAAAATAACAATAAATGTATAGTATAGTAAATATATAAACCAGTAACAAAGTAATTTATTATCATTATTTAGTATGTTATACTGTACATAATTGTATGTGCTATACTTTTATACAACTGGTAGTGCAGGTTTGTGTACACCAGGATACATTGCACTACAACATAAAGACAGCTACATCATTAGGCAATAGGAGTTTTTCAGTTTTATTATACTCTCATGGGCTCACCATCATTTATGTGGTCTTTCATTGAAACATCATTATGGGACACATGACTGTATTTAAAAATGAAAAAAAAACCAGAATGGTTGTACGAGTACTGGAAGTACAGTTTCTACTGAATGAGTGTTGGTTTTGCACCATCATAAAGTTGAAAAATTGTGAGTCAAACCATCCTAAGTTGGAGACTTGTGTGTATTCCTAAGTGACAGCTCTGTGGTACATTAGGACATTAGGAATATTTGGGAATATTAGCAACTTTACTGGTTTCGATATCAGTCATTCTGGCTCTAAATTCTGGTTCTGGCTCTTATTAGCCAGGCTATTTTCTTTTTTTTCTATTATTATTATTATTATTTTTGAGACAGGGTCTCTCTCTGTTGCCCAGGCTGGAGTGCAGTGGCACAATCTCGGCTCACTGCAAACTTGACCTCCAGGGCTCAAGTGATCCTCCCACCTCAGCCTCCCAAGTAGCTGGGACTACAGGTGTGAGCCACCATGCCCGATTTATTTTTTTACTTTTTTCATAGAGACAAGGTTCCACTATATTGCTCAGGGTGGTCTCAAACTCTTGGGCTCAAGTGATCCTCCTGCCTTGGCCTCCCAGTGTTGGAATTACAGTCATGAGCCACCCTGCCTGGCCAGGCAGGCTATTTTCAACAAGCTACTTAACTTCTCTTAACTTCAGTTTCTTCTGTAAAATAATAACCATAGTAGAAGCTATCAAAATGTGAGATTTAAATGAAATGTGTAAAGCTACTAATCCAGTGCCTGACACAACAAAATTCTTAATAAAGGTTAATCATTCAATCAATACAAACAACTTTCTATTAAGGAGATTAAAATCTCTGGAGTGAAAGATTACACAAATGCTCCTTTTGACACTCTTATCTTCTTCTAATACCAAACTATTGTCAATTCCTGAACTCAAGATGACGTTGCTCACAGATCTTTACCTTTTTATCTGCCACTTCTCCAGGAGGACTGCCATTCTCCCACAAAGCCCCTATGCCTTTGTGGAGTCTTGGCTGAAACCCCAAGCTCTCTGCAAAGCTTTTCTTGGTATTGACATCACCACCATCCCACAGAATTCGTTAGTGTTACATGCTATCTCTGGACCTTGGACACACTTTTAATATTGTAACAAATGGTAATTACTGTATTTTCTTAGTGTCGCCTCTCTTCCACTAGACTCTGAGCTTTTGTGGTATTCGCTTTGTAACCACAGCATCTGTCTAGTTCTTAGCAAACAATAAGCGCAGGGTTGGATGCTGACGCATGACTTCATGACTTGGGCTCCCTCACTTAGCAGTAACGTGACCCTAGGTGACACCTCCTAATCTACACTCATCTGTAAAATGGCGGTGATAACTTGTACATGGTTACTACATGGAGTCCAAGAGACAGCAAGAAGGATCAGTAGCATGGTGCCCGCACCTAGCAGCCGCTAGCTGACTGAGGCCGAAAGAGGAAATGCTTTGGCCAACACTGGCCGGAAGGGGCGGGACCGCGAGTTAAGAGGAGAAGGCGCGCCCCACTGCGCAGGTGCAAATGGTAGGGGTTGTCGTGCCGGCTGATTCCGGGGACGCACTCGCGGCTGGGGCAGACCGCGGTCGCGTAGCTGACGTCATCGCCGTGCGCTGCCACGTCTGCTCAGCTCCGCGGTAATGGAGGCTAGGGATGGGTGCTGAAGTATCAGGCTCTGGCTCTAGCTTTAGCTCTGGCACTGGAACTGCGTCGGAGTCTGGGTCTGAGTCTGGCAGCCCGAAGCCTGGACACCTTTTCTTGATTCTCTAGGCGGGGGCTGCCTGCGTCCAAGCAGCTGGTTTGCAGCGTTCCAACGCTGGGAGGGAGTTCCCTTACCTGGGGTCCAGTCTGTAAAGTTGTCGCCGCTTTCTAGGGACCCCGCCCCACCGGCTGGGACTCTTCCATGCGTGAGTATTACTGAGCTGCCCCAAGGTCCGGCTGTCCTGGACCTGCCTCGGCCCTCTTGGGTGTGCGGCGGAGACTGCTTTGTCTACCTTTCTGCCGACTTCTCTTAGGGACCAGTCTGTTGAAGTTTGTGGTCTCCTGCAGTCCACCACACCGCATACTCTCACCTCTTCCGTCCCAGTTTTTTC